>NW_011332691.1:0-300000 GCF_000001405.40 Homo sapiens | reverse complement strand
GCTGTCCTCGTTGAAGGACATTTGTAATCTGGTGACCTTAGTCCAAAGACATGAACTTAAAGGTGGGAATATGGGGCACTGTGGTGGGAAAAGTTTGTAGTGACCTTTCAAGAAACAACATTCACATTTTGACAGAGGATGCCTTGGCTAGTGATAAAGAATTATAATGCTTTTTTTCCTTCCTTCCTTCCTTCATTCCTTCCTTCCTTCCTTCTTTCCTTCCTTCGTTCCTTCCTTCCTTCCTTCATTCCTTCCTTCCTTCCTTCCCTTCTTCCCTCCCTCCCTCCTTCCTGTTTTCCCCCTTCCCTTCTCTTCCTGTCTCCCTCTACCCCGCTCCCTTCCTCCCTTCCTTCCTTCCTTCTTTCCTATCTTGTCAAGAGGGGTAGTATGGTTGACTCTACCAGTTACTAGCTCTGTGATCTTGGACAAATTACTTAATCTTTCCATTTCTCTGCCTGTAAAATGAGTTTACTAATTAGATCGACCTCATAGAGTCTTTGTGAGGATTAAATTAGTATCTATACAGTGTATAAGATAGTACCTGGCAAAGAGTAATCTTTCAAAACGTATTTGCTCTCTTTGTTAATTCATTCATAAAATATATAAAACACCTACTGCTTGACAGGTCGTGCGGCAACGGGGTGGACTAAGCCCTGAAGAGCTTAGGGAGGAAGGTAGTGTAGAATATGGCTACTCAAGCTGCCTTGAGATGGAAACCATAATTTTAAGTTCTCTTTCTTCATTACATTAAAAAAACTCAGCCCATTTTCGCTGGGAAACTGAGCACTCCTCCAGGAAGCTGTCCCTGATAAGTGCAGCAAACATCATCTCAACTCATGAGTGCCAGAAGGAAGGAAAGCAGAACTGTGCTTCTGGTAGCTGATGATTGGGCGCTGGTTTCAATGGCTCCCAAGGCCTATTGGGAAAGAAGATAAAAGAGAGGTTCTAGAAGGGGCTGGAGTGGGGCCTGAGGCTCTGGGATGGATGTCCATGAAAGGGGTTCAAACAGTGATGGGTGGACAAGAGAAGGGGCCCTGCAAGGGCGCTAGTCCCAGGCTCAGTGTTCTCAGCTGCTGGCCTCACCTGCTCTGGAGCAAGTGCAGCAGGCTGGTTAACAGTATGGACTCTGGGGCCTGGCCGTGCAGGTTCAAATCCCTGCTTCCTCACTAACAAGTGGTGGCCAACTGCATCTTCCAAAGATGTCACAGCTCATCCCGCGGACTCTTCTCACAATGTGGCTGCCACTTCTCCCACCAGAGGAGGGTGTCTGTGTCCCCTCTCCTTGAATACGAGTGGGGGCTTGTGACTCCTCTGACCAAAGGACTGTGGCAGAGGTGATTCTATGTGACTTCCAAAGCTAAGTCATAAATGATCTAGGGTCTTTCTGGCTCTCTGTCTCTACCTGGGGACACTCACTCTTGGAACCCAGCCACCATATTTTAAGGAAGCTGAGGCGACATGGGGAGGTACATCTGGGCATTCCGGCTGATAGCCATTACTAGGCCCTCAGGCAACAGCCAGCATCAATCACCAGGCTTGTGCGTGAAGGAGCCTTCAGATTATTCCAGGTGCACACTATTGAAATGTGTGCCTCATAGCAGTAGTGACTTAATATATGTAAATAATTTAGACATGGCACCAAGTAAGTGCTATGCGTTCACTATTAAAATTGCTGTTATTGCTGTAGTTGTTACGATCACATGTATTCCATGTGGTCTGCAGGCATCTGCAGGGTGGCCCCATCTACAGAGGGCTTCCCCAGTACTGGCTGGTGACACAGGCCATGCCACCCCTGACAGACCAGGTGTACTCTACTCTACAATGCCCCAGGTTACCCATGACTCAAAGAGGGACCCTGGACATGTAGCAGATGATGTCAGGCTTTCAGAGCTGAACTTGTTAGGGGGAGCCAGAACTGGGCAGAAGTGAGAGCCTTGGATGGGACACTGGTCAACGACAGCAGAGTACAGCTATGTTTTATTTTTTAGAGACAAGGTCTTGCTATGTTGCTCAGGCTGGTCTCAAACTCCTGGGCTCAAGGAGTCATCCTGCCTCAGCTTCCCAAGTTGCTGTGATTCCAGGTGTGAGCCACTGTGCACAATAGAGTTTGACAGATGCTCAGATGGGCCAAGCTTGGGTGGTAAAAGCCTACAGGAGGGGCTTTCATCTTAGTCCTAGGGGGCCATAAGAAAGGGTATCAGAGAAAGTTGAGTAGGAATTGCCCAGTGAAAGAGAAAGGAAAGGGGATTCCAGGTGGAGGGTTTTGTGCAAACAAAAGCGTGGTGGGGAGAAAACATTTCATTTCTGAGGATTTGCAAATCTGATGGTGGTAAGAGTATATACAGTGACAAGTTCAAGGGCATTCTATAGAACCAGTGGTCTGCACTCTTCAAAATGCCAATATTATGAAAGAGAAAGAAAGGCTAAAAAACAGTATTAGATTAAAAGAGATAATACATGCGTGTACACTAAATGTAATGCCTGGTCCTAGACTGGCCCTGGGTAAGGAGAAGCGGGAGTAGTACAAATGACATTATCGAGACAGCTGGAGACATTTACATATGAACTATGTATTAGATAACAGGTCAGAATAGTGCATTTTGGGGGGTGTTGATTTTGAGGGGGAGAGAGTAGGAGAGAGCCATCTGGGGTGCTGGGATTTGATACCTTCATCTGGGTGGTGATTACACAAGTAGGACTTGAATATTTAGCTGAACGTAAATTATACATAGTAGAAAAATAAACATTGATATTAAATACAGTTCTATTTTATCTTATATAAAAGGATGTCCTTTTCTAAGGAAATGCATGCTGAAATACTAGGGGTAAGTGGGTGTGATGTCTACAATGAACTCTCAAATGTTTTAGGGGAAGATGATATTTATTTTGACAGGGGGAGTGATACAACAAATATGGCAAAATGTTAATTGGTGAAGTTGGGCAAAGGGTAGAAAGGAGTTCCTTCTATTCTTCAATTCTGTAAGTTACTTCAAAATAAAAAGTCTTAAAAAATGAATGGAGAAACAGAACTTGCAGGCAAAGAGGAGGGAGGGGAAAGAGGAAAGTCTGGAAGTCAGGCCGCCCGTTTATTGGAAGGGACATTGAGTTGTAGAAAGGCTAAATGGCTGGTCAAGGGTCAGTGAGCGATTAGTGTGGGCTTTGTGCCCCTGACCATACCTCTGAGACCCAAGTCTCACCTCTTTCCAGTCAACCAAAGGGTCCCAGGAGGGAGGTGTGAGTGTTAATATATGGCCTCCGATGTGGAGAAGACCTCAGGGGTGTAATTTGACAGAGCTCCTATTATTTCAGGTTACCATTAATGTGAGTTGTGCCATGAATTCCCCATGCATGGCCCAGAAATTTGCCCCATATGTTTGTAAAAGTTGATTACATCTTTGGGAGCTTTTTTCTAATGTGAACAGAAGCTATTAATATATAGATGCAATTGTTGCAGCTCATTGGGACCAGGTGTCTTTTCTGGTGTGTCATAAAAGGGCTCTGTATCCTTTTATTGTCAATACCTGAAGGCAAACAACCAGGTATTGACAATCTATTGATTTCAGATGATGTGTAATGCCATCATTTCTTGGATAAGAAATTAGGAGAAAATCTCTCTTTCTCTTTCCAAAGGAGAGCAACTCAGTAAAGAGTAATGGAATCCTGGCTAACTATGGGGCTAGGCTTAAAAAGAGTCCCCACTCTCACACATTTTAGCAGCAGTATAAATTGGTACAACCACTTGGAAAAACTGTTTGACAGTAGCTAATATAACTTAATATATGTTGGGCCAGGTGCAGTGGCTCACACCTGTAATCCCAACATTTTCGGAGGCCGAGGTAGGTGGATCACTTGAGATAGGGAGTTTGAGATCAGCCTGGCTAACATGGCGAAATCCCATCTCTACTAAAAATACAAAAAAAAAAAAAAAAATTGCGGGCAAGGTGGTGTGCACCTGTAATCCCAGCTACTTGGGAGGCTGAGGCACAAGAATCTCTTGAATCCGGGAGGCAGAGGTTGCTGTGAGCTGAGATCACACCCGGGCACTCCAACCTGGGTGACAGACAGAAACTCTGTCTCAAAAAGAAAAACCCAAACAAACAACAACAAAACAACTTAATATATGCTGAATAAAAGCAATTCCATGCTTGTGCACTTAATCTAAGAGAAATGAGCGTGGATGTCTACCCAAAAACAGGTACGGAAATATCCATAGCAGCTTTATTAATAATATCCCCCAAACAGAAACAACACAGAAACTGTGGTGTGTTCATGTATGGAGTACTACTGAGTAATGAAAGAGAATGAAATACTGAAATATACAGTAACATGGCCGAATGTCACAGATACATCAATACAAAAGAAAACATTCAGGGTGATTCTATTTAGTTGAAGTTTAGAAACAGGTGAACTGAATCTATGATAATAGAGGTCATTTTGGAGGGTGTTGATTTTGAGGGGGATAGAGTAGGAGAGAGCCATCTGGAGTGCAGGGAATGTTGATACCTTCACTGGGGTAGTGATTACATGAGTAAAACTTGAGTATTTAGCCGAATGTAAATTATACATAGTAGAAAACTAAACATTTTACAAAGAATTTCTTTCCACTGGTAACGTTGTCTTGAGGGGCTGCAGAATGGGACATCCCAATGACTGTGCTTGATAGCAGCAATCTGGGGTCGGTTGTGTCCTCAACCCCATTCTACAATGGTCAATTGCATATGCTCTTGCCCACCTGTGCTGGGCAACAATCACCAATCAGCCAAGGCTCTGTCAATGCCTGTGCATTAAGCCAGTGCCCTCAGGACTGCTTCCACCTGGAGGACAAAGGCTGAGGCCACACAAGCTCTAGGACAGCGGACAGCTTTTCTCAAACTTCAGTGTGTAAAATAATCACCTGGTGATGTTATAAAAATACTGATTCTGATCTAATAGGTCCTGGGGTGGGGATGTCCTCAAATGTATTTCCAATAAGCTCCTAGGTGATACTGATGCTGCTTGACCAACTTTGAGTATCAAGGCTCTAGAAGCTGACAGGCCAGGGTAAGAATCTTGGCTCTGCCATGTATGAGCTCTGTAATCTTTGTTTTTTTGTTTGTTTGTTTTCTTTTTTCTTTTTTTTTTGAGATGGAGTCTCACTCCATCACTCAGGCTGGAGTGCAGTGGCACTATCTCAGCTCACTGCAACCTCTGCCTCCCGGGTTAAAGCGATCCTTTTGCCTCAGCCTCCCTTGTAGCTGGGATTACAGGCCTGCACCACCACACCTGGCTAATTTTTATATTTTTAGTAGAGACGGAGTTTCACTATGTTAGCCAGGCTGGTCTTGAACTCCTGATCTCAGGTGATCTGCCCTCCTCAGCCTCCCAAAGTGGTGGAATTACAGGTGTGAGCCATCTTTTCTGGCCTGAGCTCTGTAATCTTTGCCAAACTACTTGACCTCTCTGAACCTCAGTTTCTTTTTCCATAAAATGGCAGGGGTGGGATGGCTTAGCTGAGGTGGAGTGGGGAGGGACAGGTAAGACAACCATCTCCCAGAATGGTGCAGATTAAGCAGGATAATATACATAAAGTGTTTAGCAGAGTACCTGCTCTATAGCAAGCACTCACTAATTGATAACTCTTGTTATATTATTTTTAATAAAGAAGAAGGCTTGGGTCATGATTTGGAGAAAGGTGAGTGAAGTAGTTAATGAGAGCAGGAACGAATGAGCAGTTCCCTTGTATCTTATCTAGGAAGGATATTTTCTCTTCTTTTTCTTCCACTTCATCCATCATCCTTCCCTTGAATTCATTCCCCGGGTCTTCACTATCAAGATAAGATGTGTTTCTTCTTCATTCTTCCTCCCACCCCAAGCCACCTAAAATCTAACAAAGCTGGAAGAACTCAGGCAGAACTGAAGCTTGAAGCCAGACAGATTGTCAGATTGTGCCCGGAGGTGATATCTTTGTTAAGGAAACATCCTCCCCACCTTGGCTGTTTCTAGAGGGGCAGGCTTGGCCCTTGAGAGTAGAGGTCCATGGCTGGGTCTCCACGCATGCCCACGCCCAGCTGCCCTCCTCAGAAACCGCCCATGCTTCTCCACACGCAAGGCCCCTCTGGAGGAAGACATATGTTTCTCAATCTGTGGGGCTGTCAGTTGGCATCTTTTTCAAGAACTGAATTAACTTGTCGTCCTAGAGGGAAAAAAGAGAAGTGCTTTGTTTTGTGTTGTCTGTAGGGTAACAGGCCTGGACTGGGTCCAAGTTTGGGGGTGCTCCTCTTTCAGTTGGTGGTGGGGGAGCCATCTGATTGGAGCCTTGAGGCTGGGGGAGCTCTAAGTCACAGTTTGGCTCAATTCTATAAAGTGACGTGTGTTTAGTGAGTGCCAGGCACAAGACCAGGCACCAAAGGCTCAAAAATAGTTAAACAACAGCACTCATGGTGGAGTAGAGAGACAGAAGAGAAGCAACTGTAAAGTCCTAAGATAAGTTCTTAGGTAGGATGTACATGATGTGCAGAGAACGGGGAAAGACCAGAAGGTGTGGTAGCCAGTCTTCAAGATGGCTCTCAATGAGACACACTGCTTGACATTCATGCCTTTTTTTTAGTTCCTTCCCGTGTTGAGTCTGGGCTGGCCTATATAACCAACAGAACGTGGTAGAAGTGGCTCTGTGTGACTTCCAAGGCTAGGTCATAAAAGGCCTTGCAGCTTCCACCTTGGTCTCTTGGAATGCATGTTCTGGGAGAAATCAGCTGTCATGTCAAAAGTCTGACTATGCTGAGGCCACCATGCTGTGAGGAAGCCCAACCTAGCCATGGGAAGGCATCACAAGAAGACACAGAAATACCATCTCCATAGCCAGCTTTTCCACCCATCTCACCCAGGCAAGGGACAGGTGTGTGAAGGAGCTATGTTGGATGTCCAGTCCAGTTGAGCCTTCAGATAACTCCATCCCTGGCTGCCATCTGACTGCAACTGGCTGAGAGACCCCGCGTGAGAAACTTTCAGTGGAGCTCAGTCAACTCACAGCACCTCAAATAACCATGAGCAATAAGAATAGTTGAGTTAAGCTGCTAAATCTGGGTGGTTTGTTACACAATGACTGATAGAAGAAGGGTTTCTGGTAGAAAGGATGATGAGGGAGGGAGTAGAACAGTAGATTTCTGGATGGGGAGCAGCATCCCATGGAGAAGTGCATCTTGGAAAACCACATAGAAAGGAGAATCAGAATAGGCTCTTGAGGAATTAGGAGCAGTTAAATATTAACAGAGAGCAAAGGCCAGGCAGAGAGAAGTGGAGAGAGCACTGGGAGAAGTGGGCAGGGGCCAGACCTATGGATTCTGCACAGGGATTTAAACAACGTACCATGTGGTTTGTGGGAGCTTTGTATTTACTTACAATTTTGAGAGGTGAAGATGTGAACTTCCCCTATAAATCTCCCTATGGCTGCTGCTATTATTGACTTCAGCAGCTGCGACAAAAACCACTCGGGAGGCTTGGTGAACACAAATGCTGAATGGCCTCATTGGCTCAAAGAAAGAGGGGAAAGGGCTAAACACTGTTCAGTGTTCTTCCACTGCTTTCCCCGAGTCTGGGAAATGTCGCATGCCTGAGAAGTCCTAGATTCCATCTTAGCAGCAGCCAGAAACCCCCTTCCCTGGATTGATGATTTATCCACAAAGTACCTGCCCACCAGCACTGTCAAATATGTGATTTAACTGATGCTAGCACCAAGCCAGGTCCTCCCTGCAGTCTCACTGGGGGCTACTTCCACCTGCAACCCTGGCTAAAAGAGAAGAGCCCAAGGGAGGACAGTCCCCATGGCTGCAGTTTCCCCTCTGCCATGCCATCTACTTACCTTCCTAGGCCTCTGTGTTCTCTACTGTAAAACGGGGACAGTAATGCCTATCTTACCCTTGACTGGAGAGTATTAAATGAAATACTGTGATTCAAGTAAGCAGCAAAAACCCCATGTACAGGGCGCACTCAGCCTATGGAGGCTGTTGTAAATATCGCCCTTGCCTTGGTGCTCTGGTCTTATACCCCGAGTCTTCTCTCGAGGTAGGAGATACAGAACAAAGGCGCTGTCCTTGGCCAATATCGCTAATGGATTAGACCACTCTTTGTCTCAGCATGCAGACAGCCTCATGGTCTCGGGCAGCCACTAATATTAATTAATAGCACACATTTCTTGAGCTCTCACCATGCTACAAACGAGTTTTCTCCTGTAATCCTCATAAAAGTCCTGCAGAAACATTTTAGATTTGAGAAAACTAAGGTGGAGCGAGGATAACCTACTCAAAACTGTGAAGCCAGGAAGAGCTGGGGCTGGAGTTGGAACACTCCAGAGCCTGCTGCTTAACCACTGCCCCGCACTGCCTCCCAAAGGAGTCTTCCCTAGAAAGGAGGAGCACAGGATGAAAGCGCACACCACCTCCCATTGTTCTCAGAACTTAGATGAACTGTACATTGTCTTTGTTTAGGCATAGCCCGTTCAATTAGCATGCTGGTGATTTTATCTTTTCCTACTAAGTCCAAGTGTTAAAGCAACAGAAGAAGGGCTCTTTTAATCCCAGTTCCCCATAATTACTAGTGAGAAATAGCCTCAGAAAACTCCATACCGTGTTTTGAGGTTTTGAGGAATGATCTGGAGCTTACACTAGAAAATTAAACCAATGAGGACAGGAACTCTATTTTCCTCACCTCTGTACTCTCTATACTTAGCGCAGTGCCTGGCCCATAGTAGATGTTCAATACATATTTATTGAATGGGTGAATGCAGGATCTACTTTTCCATTAGGCCTAGTAGACACAGTGCCAGAGGCCCAGATACTGTTAGGGATACATGATAGTGTTGTTATTTTCCTTTACAAACAGGAAAAAAAAATAAATATAAAAAAATCAATATGTAACAATGAATCCAGCCTAGATGTTATTCTTTATGCCAATGCAGTCGTAAAATATAATTTTTTTTTAAAATGAAGTGACGGCCAACCTAGCCATGAGAATTCTAATGCAGTCCTGAATGAGTGAGGCTTCTGTGTAAGTGCCCAGTTGGGTACAGGGTAGATCGTAGACAAGATCCATTTCTTCCCATCTGTGCTTTAGAAGTAGAAGTGCAGAGCAGGCCATCTGTGACACCACATGTACCCAGTGGCTCCTTCCTTTCATGTCCACGGCCTCTCCTTTGCGCCAGGGATGATTGGACCAGCATGCAACCCTGACCAGGGACAGCCAATAGGAGCTGCTCAGGGGCATAGAGCCGGGCAGGAAATGCTGTGCCCAAGAGGTGCCACAATCAGCAGTGCCAATCCAGAAGGACTGAAGCTGAAATATGAAGAAAGAATCAGTAAACAGTAGAAAAGCTAGAGAAGACACAGAGAAATGGAGACAGAGTAACTGGGTTGTGAGAAGTGTGGAATGGAGTGAGGATCCCTCAACTCTCTCTGCAGCTTGGGCTAGCTGATCTAGTTCCTGTGTGGACTCCAAACACAAGACCCACCTGCATTTACTGAGTGCCTTCTATTTTCTAGGCCCTGGGCTAAGTGGCTTATATATATCATCTCATTTAACCTCCCAACAACCCTATAGAGGTGGTTTTATCTTTATCCTACTTATCAAATGTGGAAAGGAAGCTTAATTCATTTGCTCAAGATCGCATAGCTAGTAACTGGAAGAACCAAGCCTCAAAAACCCAGCCGGTTGGACTCCAAAGTCCACAATTTAACCAACAAACCAACTTGCTTTGTCAAATTCTAAAGTCTATTCCAGACTCCAGGAAGCTCAGCAGTTCACCTTTCTTGGTTTCTCTTGAGATCCCTGTTATCAATATGTTATATGTGTCCTTGCAATTCACTGGAGTAATGGCTTGAGGTAGTCTGAAAATCTGTTCTTTATCTGCAAAAGACCAACGGTCCAGGAGAAGGTCAAAAAAGACAGAGGACCTGGGGTAAACAACAGGCAATAAACATGAAAAACAAAAACAAAAACAAAAAACTGGTGAGGAGCTGTATATTGGTGAAGAGAAGCAGCCCCAGTTTGCCAGGTCATGGTGAGAATGAGCTTCAAGTAGTCAGGAAGAGGCCAGATTAGGGAGAGTCCAGAGAAAAAGACCAAAGAGGTTGTTCTTTCCCCCCATAGACAAGGGGCTTCAATGGTAAGAAACAAGAGGAAGTGTGTACAAAGCGGCATTTAAGAAGCCTCATGTGGTTGGCTTAGCCAGGATGAATTTGCCACAGAGAGGGAAGAAGCAAGAGGTTATTTTTACAACAGTAGGAGAAAGATAACCAAGTGTGAACTTTGATGGTGGTGTGGGGGATGGGAGGTAAGCACATTGCATTGTAAAGAAGGACTGCACAGGAGTAATTAGAAGGCAGAAAGGGAACCAGAGGGAGGAACCATCTGTGGTTATGTCCAGAAAATTAAAATCTCAGTGGCAGAGATTTCTAGTTGTCCACGATATCCTTTTGCACCTTCTTATAAAAGCTCATAGTTTTTAGCTGGGCACGTGACTGCCTAAGATAAAGGCTATATTCTCCAGCCTCCCTTGCAGTTTGGTGTGGCTATGGGCCTGTCTCCTGCGGAAACGGATCTGCCCTGGAGTCCCTGCTGGGCTCTTTCACTGTCAGGGAGCAGCCATGGAAAAAATGGTCTTGGTCACAGTGTGGTGATGGATTCAGATTTGGAGAGCAGCAGCTGGGGCCATTAGTCAACTACCCTCCCCATGACAGGAGATCTGAGAGGGGCATTTTTGTAGCTGCCACATGCTTTCCATCCATTTTGTTGTTGTTGTTGTTGTTTTGTTTGTTTGTTTGTTTCATTTTGTTTCTGTCCTGGCTCAGGTAAGCTCTCACCTAGTGACCACAAGATGGCTGCCACAGCTCCAGTATCACATCTCACTGGGTAAACCAATGGGAAAAAATATTTGCCTTTTTCCCAGCACCCACTGTGAAAACCTCATTGTGTCTCATTGGTTCTGAATGAGTCACGTACTCACTTCTGAACCAATCACTGTGACTAGGGAAATATGACCTGCTGATTGGCTGAGGCCTAGACCACACACTCCACTCCTAGAGGGAGGGATGACACTCTAGCCAGATTCCAGAGTCAGAGTGTAGGGGAGGGTGAGTCCCCAAAGAAAAATGGAAGGTGGGGGAACTATGCTAGGGAGACAGCAACAAAATATCCTTGATAATAGTGTTAAATGTCCCCACACTTGTTTCCTCCTAGAACCCTATTTGCTGAGTTACTTGTGCAGAGCACATATTGAGAGATGTTGGACCTTAGAAATACAAGACATGCATAATATCTCTGTAATTACACCTTCTGCTTATTCTTTACAAATAGGCCATTCGAGTTAGGAATGTTAGCAAAGAGAAAATCTCCTATTAATTAATTAATTTATTTATTTATCTGAGACTGAGTCTTGCTTTGTCACCCAGCCTGGAGTACAGTGGTGTGATCTTGGCTCACTGCAGCCTCAACTTCCTAGGCTCAAGCAATCCTCCCATCTCAGTTTCCTGAGTAGCTGGTACTACAGGCATGCACCATCACGCCTAGCTAATTTTTTTTTTTTTATTTTTGGCGGGGTCGGGGGTGGTCTCACTTTGTTGTCCACCCTGGTCTCGAACTCCTGGCCTCAAGTGATCCTCCTGCCTCAGCCTCTCAAAGTGCTGGGATTACAGATGTGAACCACCACAACTGGCCAAAATCTCCAGGGGAGATGGGGCTACATGGTTGATGGAAACATCCACTTGGCCCTTCTTGATATATTCTATTCTCTTAGATATTTTTTCCAAAACAGATGAAGAGTTTGCCAGATTTTATGTATTTTTAGGAGAAAAGATAATGAGACCCCATAAATTACCCCAAAGTGTCCTTAATGACCTTTCCATTGCCTCTCCTCAAGTACCCCTGTAGCCTCCTCAATAGGAATCGATTAGGAGTCTTCATTCTCCTCTTATCATTGACAGCACCTCTGGGGAAAAAAAGGCCATGCCCTTCCCTCCCACCTGCTGTAGGGATTAATGTCCAGATAAGATCCTAACAGAAAGAAACAATTTGGGTTCAGCAGTTGTGAGCCAGTGGGGCTAGGTGACCACCAGCATTTAAGATATTATGTCCTGGGCATGTGTGAATTGATAATATCTTTATTGATTCTGAGGAGTTACATGACAATAAAAGCATGTTCAAAAATATTTATCACAGAGTATTGTAGCTAACAGACTCCATTTTAAAGTTTACAAAAGATAAATCATAAATGCCGTTCTTGCTTAATATTCTACAGTTTCTCTTTAAAATAAATGAAAAGATTATAAAAAATGATAAGAAAAACAGTAACACTGAGATCTTTCTGTAGGTCAGGCACTCTGCTAAGTACTTCATATGCATTTTCTTGTTTAATCTTTACAACCATATAATGGGGTAGGTAATATTATTGTTCACATTTTATAGATGAGAAAACTGAGGCTCGGATGGGCACAGTGGCTCACGCCTATAATCCCAGCACTTTGGGAGGCCGAGGCAGGAAGATCACTTGAGGCCAGGAGTTCGAGACCAGCCTAACCAACATGGTGAAACCCCGTCTCTAGTAAAAACACAAAAAATTAGCCGGGAGTGATGGTAGGCGCCTGTAATCCCAGCTACTTGCGAGGCTGAGGCAGGAGAATTGCTTGAACCTGGGAAGTGGAGGTTGCAGTGAACCGAGATGGCACCACTGCACTCCAGCCTGGGGGACAGAGACAGACTCCATCTCAAAACAAAAAAAAAAAAAGAAAATTGAGGCTCAGTGAAATTAAGGAACAAATTCAAGACTATATAACTAATAAATAAAAGAATCAGGGCCAGGCATGGTGGCTCACACCTGTAATCCCAGCACTTTGGGAGACTGAGGTGGGTGGATCACTTGAGGTCAGGAGTTTGAGACCAGCCTGGCCAACATGATGAAACCTTGTTTCTACTAAAAATACAAACATTAGTTGGGCATGGTGGTGCATGACTGTAGTCCTAGCTACTCAGGAGGCTGAGGCAGGAGAATTGCTTGAACCCAGGGGGCGGAGGTTGCAGTGAGCCGAGATCATGCCATTGCACTCCAGCCTGGGCAACACAGTGAGACTCCATCTCAAAAAAAAAAAAAAAAAGAGAATTTTTTTTTCTACAGATGAGGTCTCATTCTGCCACCCAGGTTGGAATGCAGTGGTGCAGTCATAGCTTACTGCAGCCTCAAACTCTTGGGCTCGAGCAAACCTCTCACCTCAGCTTCTCCAGTAGCTGGGACTATAAGCACGCACCACCATGCCTGGCTAATTTTTTTTCTTTTTTCTTTTCTTTTTAGACAGGGTCTCACTCTGTCGCCCAGGCTGGAGTATAGTGGTGCAGTGGCACGATCTCAGCTCACTGCAAACTCCACCTCCTGTACTCAAGTGATCCTCCCGCCACAGCCACCCGAGTAGCTGGGACTACAGGCACACACTACCATGCCCGGCTAATTTTTGCATGTTTTGTAGAGATGAGGTTTCACAGTGTTGCCCAGGCTGGTCTGGAACTCCTGGGTTCAAGGGATCCACCAACCATGGCCTCTTAAAGTGGTGGGATTACAGGCATGAGCCACTGCATCCAGCCTATCAGAGTCAGAATTTGAAATCGGGTCTAATTTCAGTATGTGTGTTCTTAGAATTAATGTGCTATACCCTACCACTTAATGACACAAGCTTTTCTCCCCCTAGCATACCTATCTCATCGGGATACTGGGTAAATCAAACGCACTAAAATATGTAAAGATATCAGACACTTTGCAACCTGCAGTGAATGAGCCATTGGAAGCTGTAGGTTTTGTTTTGACCAAACTCTTTGTTTATTGTCGCCTTTAACTTTTGTGGAGTGGCATTGCCAAAGATCCCTGATGCTTCTGTCTCCCTTGAGTTGCCAGACCAGACCCAGTGACATGTACCAGGCTTTTGTCGGCTCTTGCCCCCACTTATAAGGCAGGATCCAGGCTTTTTACTGAATCTTCCCCTAGTAAGTATTTATAGAAGTCATTAGGGTGCCACATATGTGCTCATAAATATGAACAGTCAGTACATCCTGGCATAAACCACTCTATTTCCTTTCTCCTGCTCTTGCCTCCTTATTCTGGGCACCCTTGGTATATGAGGTACCACTGCTGCTTTCCCTGTACAATTGGGTACAATTGTGCCTGATGCAGGGCACTGTGACTTCTCATTTCTGCTTTGCTGGTTCCCCCGAGGACCTGAAGCTGCATGTTTTCAGGAGTCCTCAATGGGCAGGAGTCCTCAAGTGTCATCCCCCCTATAGTATAATAATCTGTTGGAGAGCATGAGGAATCTGAATAAGAGATTTTGGGTAAGCTTTATTAAAGTGTAGTATGTATATAGAAAGAGACATAAATCATAAGTATTCAGCTCCATGGATTTTTCATATTTTTCATAAAATGAACCCACGCATGTAACCAGCACTAAGATCAAGAAGCAGCAGATTCCCAGCACCAGAGAATCTCCTTTGTGCCCCCTTCCATTAGCAAGGGTAGCCCCCCTTCCCCAGGGTAACCGCTATCCTAATTCTTTTTTTTGAAATGGAGTCTTGCTCTGTTGCCCAGGCTGGACTGCAGTGGCGCGATCTCCAATCACTGCAATGTCCGCCTCCCAGGTTCAAGTGATTCTCCTGCCTCAGCCTCCCAAGTAGCTGGGACTACAGGTGTGCACCACCATACCTGGCTAATTTTTTTGTATTTTTGGACTTTTTTTGTATTTTGTACATTTTTTTTTTTGTAACTTACAATTTATGTCTTTTTCTGTATACAGATGGGATTTCGCCATGTTGGCCAGGGCTGGTCTCGAACTCCTGACCTCAGATGATCTGCCAGCCTTGGCCTCCCAAAGTGCTGGGATTACAGGCATGAGCCACCGCTCCTGGCCCTGCTATCCTAACTTCTAACACTATAGATTCTGGTTGCCTCTTTTAAAACTTGATATAAATAGGAATCATATAGACTTTTTAAAATCTAGTTTATTTTGCTTAACATTATGTTCGTAAGATATAGTTACATTAGTGAATACAGCTGTAGCTTATAATTTTCATTTCTGTGTAGTATGCCATTGCGTGGATATAGCACATACAATGTTTAGTTATCCATTCTAGTGTAGATGGGCATTTGGGTAGTTTCCAGTTTGGGACTCTTACGAGTAGTGCTGTTGTGAACATCTTTGTTCATGTCTTTTGGTGAACATATGCAAGCATTTCTGTTAGGGATATATACATATGTGTGTGCATGTACATGTGTGTGTGTATGCGTGTGTGTGTGCATGTGTGTATGTATAAATTGTTGCTAGGTCATAGGCTATGCATATGTTTAGCTTTAGTCAATACTGCCAAACAGACTTTCTTTTTTAAATGTTATTTATTTGTTTATTTTTTATTATTATTATACCTTAAGTTCTAGGGTACATGTGCACAATGTGCAGGTTTGTTACATATGTATACATGTGCCATGTTGGTGTGCTGCACCCATTAACTCGTCATTTACATTAGGTATATCTCCTAATGCTATCCCTCCCCCTTCCCCCGACCCCACGACAGGCCCCAGTGTGTGATGTTCCCCACCCTGTGTGCAAGTGTTATGATTGTTCAATTCCCACCTAGGAGTGAGAACATGCGGTGTTTGGTTTTCTGTCCTTGCGATAGTTTGCTGAGAATGATGGTTTCCAGCTTCATCCATGTCCCTACAAAGGACATGAACTCATCCTTTTTTATGGCTGCATAGTATTCCATGGTGTATATGTGCCACATTTTCTTAATCCAGTCTATCACTGATGGATATTTGGGTTGGTTCCAAGTCTTTGCTATTGTGAATAGTGCCGCAATACACATACGTGTGCAGGTGTCTTTATAGCAGCATGATTTATAATCCTTTGGGTATATACCCAGTAATGGGATTGCTGGGTCAAATGGTATTTCTAGTTCTAGATCCATGAGGAATCGCCACACTGTCTTCCACAATGGTTGAACTAGTTTACCGTCCCACAATAGTGTAAAAGTGTTCCTATTTCTCCACACCCTCTCCAGCACCTGTTGTTTCCTGACTTTTTAATGATTGCCATTCTAACTGGTGTGAGATGGTATCTCATTGTGGTTTTGATTTGCATTTCTCTGATGGCCAGTGATGATGAGCATTTTTTCATGTGTCTGTTCTGCCAAACAGACTTTCAAAGTGATTAGACCAATTTACACTCCCATCAGTGATACATGTATTTGGATAAAGTTGTTATAGTATTATGGTTCATTTTTTTCTTTGTCCAAAAGCCCTTCAAAACTTAAGTCCTGCTCAGGCCAAACTGCCCCCTCTCCATCAGTCTCTTCAGTGTATCAATTAGAGTTTGTGGTTGCAAGCAACAGAGATCAACTCTAGCTAACATATAGGAGATGCTCATACAATGACAGAAGGTAATTTTCCAAAAGGAAATCTGCATGCTGTTAGAATGGGAAATGGATTCTGGACTAATGGATAAGACTTGGATAGGAGCAGAAACTAAGGCAATGTTGGAGGCTATGGCATGAATCACAGCAGCAGTCTCCAAGCAGGAACCTTTCTGCGAGCATGTCACCCTGCATGGAATGGCCTCACTCTTGATCTTTCATTATACAGTAGCCCAGGAAAGAAAATCCAATTGCCTGAGCTTACATGGTGGGCCTGTTCTCCAACATATTAAGCTAGAGAGAGGCAGGGACTGTGCCTTTGAGTTCTGTAGTGGGAGATGATCCCATCCCATGATGCAGTACTTTCCCTGCAGATCTCATTAACCAAAAATGAGATAATTCCCCCAAAAGTAATCTAGAATGAAAGATGAAGATTTCTGGAAAAATCAGAATGTAAAATGAGTGCTGGGCAGCCAAAGAAAAAAGATGACTGTCTACCAATCTAAGAGAGATACGCATACAAGGAGTAATGACCAATAGGAAGCCAAGTCACATTGTTTTGGTAGCTGGGGCTTGGACCCCGAACTGCAACACAGACGACTTTGGTAGCTCAATTGGACCACATGGAACATCCTTGCTTTTCTAAACTATTGTATTAATTTTCTAGGACTGCTGTAACCAAGTACCATGAAGTGCATGGCTTAAAACAACAGCAATGCTTTCTCTCACAGTTCTAGAGGTAGAAGCATGAAGCCAGCTATTGACAGGAGCATGCTCCCACTGAAGGTGAGAGGAAGGATACTTCCTTGACTCCTCCTAGCGTTTGGGGTTGTCGGAAGTCCTTGGGGCTCCCTGGCTTGTAGCTGCCTTGCTTTGATCCCTGCCTCTGTCTTCACATGGCCTTATCTTCTGTGTGTTCCTCTCCTCTTCTTATAAGGACACCAGTCATTGTATTTAGGTCCCACCTTAAACCAGTATAACTTCTTGTTAACTAATTACTTCTGTGAAGAGGCTATTTTCAAATAAGGTCACATTCTGAGGTTGCTGATGAACACAAATTCTGAGGGGATGCCATTCAAACTACTACAGTTGATTCAGCTTCAAACCAGAGAATCTGGTGAGCTCTGATCCCTTTAATTCCTCCCACCACTTGCTGATACAAGTCTAATGTTTTCTTGCATGCTGGCTACATGGAAGAAGTGGAATCTATGAATTGCAATCATGGCCTGATCTTTTAATGCATTATATAACTTCACTCTCCTTCAAACCTGATCCACTCAGTTCCCAGAATTGACCAGATTGGTATGGTTCAGTGGTAAAGAGAAGAGGCTGTAGTGGAACGGCCAAGATTCAAACCCTGGTTTGGGCCGGGCACAGTGGCTCACACCTGTAATCTCAGCACTTTGGGAGGCCGAGGCAAGCGGATCACCTGAGGTCAGAAGTTCAGGACCAGCCTGGCCAACATGGTGAAACCCCATCTCTACTAAAAATGCAAAAATTAGCCAGGCATGGTGGCAGGTGCCTGTAATCCCAGCTAGTTGGGAGGCTGAGGCAGGAGAATCTCTGGAATCCAGGAGGCAGAGGTTGCCATGAGCCAAGATCATACCATTGCACTCCAGCCTGGGCAACAAGAGCGAAACTCCGTCTCAAAAAACAAAACAAAAGACAACAAGAAACCCTGGTTTGACCTTTTTACTATCTGGGTGACACTCCTTGTGTCTTGGCTTTCTTATCCATAAAATGTACTTGATGAAAAATGTACTATTTCATCAGGCTATAGTAGTAAAAGTTAAATGAGAAAATGGATCTAAGTTCTTAGCTCGGTGCCTGGCACAACATAAGCACTAACTCAATGTTGTCGTTATTAATTTGTGTGTTCCCGAGGGAAGTGGGTATGGGAAAGGAGGCTTAAACATGATTCCCCCTCAGAAAGGCCTGATGGAGTTTTAATAAAAAACTTGTAGCTTTTTTCTCCCTGCAGTCTTTATGGCCCTCCTCCCTCCTACCCCAGTCTACAGGAAGCCAGGCTGGAATAGAAAACCTAAGAGCAGACCTCATGGTATATGTGCCCTCCTTAACAATCAAGGCTTTGTTATTAGGCCAAGCTTAAGGCTCCCGGCTCTGTTTTCCCTTAGGGCTAGTCCTCTCTCAGAGGCACTCTGAGCCCACGTGCAAAGACATTTCAGAGGCCCATCCCATCCATTTACCAGGCACACCTGGATGGGCCTGGGGCTCTAGCTGAGGTCACTGCTATGCCTAGAAATAGCTGAACAGGCAGCTCAGTTATCCCTCGGACTGGAGACTGCCCGGCTGGGGCACCTGAGGCCGGAGCAGATCCCTGAGGTTGTAAATCAGGGCTATGCCAAGATCATCCTAGGAAGAGGATTTGGGCTTCTTTCTGTCTGAAGGCTCTGGTGCCCTGGCTTCATCTAGGGGATGGCAAATAAGACTGGCTTGTCCAGAGTGACACAGGACTGGCCAGGGGCCAAACTGCTATTGATTTTTCTTGCTAGGGTCTGAAGCTGAGATAGGAGATGGCTTTTTGCTTCAGTTGTGTGGACCAGCTCGGGGGAGGCAGGGGGTTGGGGGGCAGGTGAGGGGTGAGGGGCTCCTTTGCAGGAGCCTGGGCCCCTGGCTGAAGTCACTGGAGGAGAGGGCACATGTCAGGAGCAGAATAATGACTCTGCAGCCATCATGTGTCATGTGCAATGGAGGATGACCGTGATGGCCCTGTTGCACTCCAGCCAAGGGTCCAGTGGGCTTTTTGTTTTTTTTATAGCTTGCCGAATTATCTTTTAGTGTCTGACTTCACAGTAGGAAAGGGTTTGACACCTCCAACTGCCTTTCCTCCTTCTGCCAGGATGATGGGAGCTAAGCAGAGCAGAACCACAAGCTCTGTGTTCAGGCTGGCCCCTGTGGCAAGAGTGCAAGTGGGGGCTTATGAAAGCGATATCTAAGTATTCAAACATTATCCATCCCAGTACAAAATGCTATGTAAAATAAGTTCTACCCTCCAACTTGGACAAATGTATCTTCCTAATGCCCTGCAACACCAGGATGGACTTTAGATTTCTCGGGCTCCTTGGTCCTCCACACCCAAATGTGATCTTGCAGGGAGAGCAGCCCTGACTCCACCCACTCCCCTTCTGTTCCACCTCTCGTTCCATTTTGCATTGTGAAGAATGTCCCTCACTCATGCATGCTGTCTTTCTCTCTCTGTCTCTGTCTCTGTCTCTGTCTCTCTCTCTCTCTCTCTCTCTCTCTCTCGTTTGTGGACACTCCAGCTGCATATCCATGTCCTTCAAACTCCATGTCCATCCCCGCTGTCCTTCAAACAGCTGCCCCTAAGTCAACTCTCAGACTTGGGTGCACATGCTGGTGGGCAGGTTTGGACTTCCAACAAAGAAAGAAGGGAAGAGGCCAACGCACATTCTGGAAACAGGATTACAGCTACTTGGGCAGAGAAGTAAGGATTCCAGGAACCCAGACTAGGGCCTGGAAGCGGGAGTGCATGGGGCTCAGGTGGGCACATCTCCTTGGTCCCATGGACTCCTTAAACATCTGCCCCTTTGAGGAGGCGCAAACCCAGAGGGGACCCTTTGAAGTGGGAGGCCAGGGCAAGACCCTTGTTGCCTGGTTCAAAAGGCTGTTCTGCCCACGATCACACCACCACGAGACTCCAATCTTGTTCCACGACCACAACACCATGGGCACCATGAGATTCCAATCTTGTACCAGTGCTTCATGGTAGAGAGCATGATTTCTGAAGTCTTGGGGAGATGCATCTTTGACCTCTCTACCTTCCAAAGAACAGTTCCCCGGGATAGTAGGGACTGCCTCGGAATTAGGAAAATGAGAGGAGGAAACAGCATCCCAGCCCTGACCCATGCCTTCGTTTTGGGCTTCCCTAGATCAAGGTTCCCTCGGAAGGCAGCTCTCCCCTCCACGATCCATGTGTTTTTTGTTGTTTCCTAATCCTCAGCTTGGCAGGCCCCTGAGTGCTGCATCCATATTTTTGTCTGCTCTTTTGTCTGATGAGTTTCTCCCTACATGCCTGAGCTGGCAGCAGCAAGCCTGCGAGATGAAGCTCCTGCCCCTTCACAAGAAGATTCATCATGTTCTTTGAAAAAGCCTTTGCAGCCTTCATTTTTGTCCCTCTTGCCTGCCATCTCCCTCGTCTTTTGGTTCTATTATATGTATTTTTTAGCAGCCTTGGTGTTCCCTGCATTTTTTTTTTTAACCACAAAGTTGACTGTTATGTAACAGTCTCATGGACCTGCCTCCCAGAATCTAAAGTGTCTGTTGCTATAACTACAACGCTCATAAATTCAGCCTCCCTTAAAATTATGCATTTTCCAAACTCCCCAAGTGGAGACTCAGAAGGGTTAGGTTAGCTGGATTTTAAACCATAAAATTCATGTCTAGACCCCCAAATCTGTACTGTATATTTTTAAAACATTTATAAAGGGACCTGGGTTTCTTTTCATTTCTGCAGACACTTTAAAGGATAAGTTTTATTTCTGCATCTGGAATCGCAGACTTTCTCAACTCTCCAGGAAAGAGGTTTTTGCCATACTACCAGATCCTACTGAATCATACTACCAGAAACCCACTGAATAGCGGGGAATGAGAGGAAAGGTGTGACTTGGAACTAGCCAGTGGCTTTTGTGCCCAGTCTGTTTTTCCTGCAATGCTTTGGATTTCTGATTTGAGCTCCATTTCTGGAACTCTGTGTAGGAACCAGGTCATGTATGAGAGGAGCTAAGGGGACCTTGCCAACTGGTAATAAGTGAAAGGAAGACTGTTCTAAAAGAAATAAGATTGCTGCTACCTCAGGAACCAGGAATCCAATCGCTACCCTCCATTCCTGCTGCCACTGCCCTGATCCAAGACACTGGCTTCTCCTCCCAGGTATGCCTCAGTGGCTTCTGTGAGATACCTGTGCCTTTCCCAGCAATATCCATTCTCCTCCTTTTTCGTAGGGAACCCCAATTTTGTTGGTGATGGCAATGTACCAAGCTAAAAATTACCTTCCCAGCCTCTCTCAGAGATGAGGGTATGTATTCATTATTCATTGCTGCATAGAAAATTGCCACAAACCTGGCTGCTTAAAACAATGTACGTGGGACTGGGAGCAGTGGCTCACACCTGTAATCCCAGCACTTTGGGAGGCCAAAGCAAGCAGATCACTTGAGGTCAGGAGTTCGAGACCAGCCTGGCCAACATGGCAAAACCCTGTCTCTACTAAAAATACAAAATTAGGCAGGCACGGTGGTGCATGCCTGTAATCCCAGCTACTCGGGAGGCTGAGGCAGGAGAATTGCTTGAACCCGGGTGGCAGAGGTTGCAGTGACCTGAGATTGCACTGCCACACTCCAGTCTGGAAGACAGAGCAAAACCCTGTCTCAAAAAAAACACAAAAACCAAAAAACATACATGGCCAGACATGGTGGCTCACGCCTGTAATCCCAGCACTTTGGGAGGATCGTTTGAGGCCAGAAGTTTAAGATCAACCTGGGCAACAAAGCAAGACTCCATCTCTACGAAAAATATATATATTTAAACACACACACACACACACACACACACACACACACACTCTCTCTCTCTCTCTCTCTCTCTCTCTCTCTCTCTCTCTCTCATTATCTCACAGTTTCCATGGGTCAGGAATCTGGGCGCAGTTCAGCCAGGTCCCCTGCTTCTGGGTCTTTCATCAGTTTGCAAGCAAGATGTCAGCCATAGCTGGCATCTCAGCGGGAGGTTTGATTGAGAAAAGATCTGCACCCAAGCTCACATGGTTGTTGGTGGAATTTGGTTCCTGGGAGGGCTGTTTGATCGAGAGTCTCAGTCCTCACTGGTTGTTGACTGGAAGCTGCCTCCATTTCTGGCCATGCAGGCCCTTCCAACATGGCAGCTATCTTCATCCGAGTGCACAAGCTGAGAAGGCAAGAGAGAGAGTCTGCTAGCAAGACGGAGGTTATAATCTCTTGTAACCTAATCATGAAAATGACAACTCATCACCTTTGCTGTGTTCTGTTGGTTAGAAGCAAGTTGTTTCTAACCGCCATATCATGCTGCTGTTGTTTGAGCTCCTGGGGTCAGCCATGCTTGAAGTCCCTCAATCCCTGGACTTTTCAGTTACAGGAAACAAGAACCCTCTCCCCCGCTTTTTTAGCTGGAGCCCACGTGAGCTGAGTTTTCCATCACTTGCAACAAAAAGAGAATATTCTAATACAGTAGGCTTCTATAAATATTTGATGAGTGGATTTAAAGGAAGTGCTGAAGAATTGATAAGCAATTTTAGAACTCTGAAGGCTCAAGAGCCTAGGAATAACACCCAAGGGTTGGCAAACTTTTTCTGTAAGCAGCCAGCTAGTAAATATTTTAGGCTTTGCAGACCACACAGTCTCTGTTGCAACTAATCAGCTCTGTGTTGTAGTGTGAAAGCAGCCCTTGACAATACAGAACTGAGAGTGGCTGTGTTCCAATAAAACTTTATTTACAAAGTCAGGCAGCAGGTGGGATTATCCCACAGGCTGTAGTTTGCTGACCTCTGCCATAAGCTACTGGCAAGTGTGAGAAGGATTGTTAAGTGTTTCATACTGAAAAAAAAAAAAATCTGAGCAGGCTGGTGACCTTGGGGGTTGCTGCTACAAGGTTGGATGATGTTTCTTCTCAATCTCTTCATATCTGTCAGTCCTCTCCTCTTTTCCCAGTCCCGTCAGTGCCTGAAGGGCTTTGGTAAAAGGGAGAGGACATCCAGGTCCTCGGTGGCTTCACATTCATCCCACCCTCCATCACTGGGTTGGCCACAGGTGTCGTCATCCCCAGCCTTACTTTGTTCTCTTCCCTTCCTGTCATCCTCAACTTTTTTCTTCTGTTCTTCTTCATTCACGAACATTTTATTCCTTCTTCCTTTTGCCCCTTCTTCCATCCAGATAGCAAGGAGGGTGTTCAGAAAGAGGAGAGAGAGGAAGCTAAAGAGAAAAGTAAATGAAACCAGAATGGCCTTCTCCCCAGGACCTCCATCCTGAGCCTTGCAGCGAGAGTGAAGAAGCATCTGAGCTGTCCTCCAGGGACAAGCAAGGAAAAGGATCCCCCATTTTGGGGAGAATCACGTGGTAAGATGGGCATTCCTGTGGGAGTGGGGCCTTTCTCCTAGAATGTAAGCTCCAGGAGGGCAGGGACCATGTCCCCAGTCCATCCCTAAAGCCTGGTGTGGTGCCTGCACTCAGATATAGAGCAAAGAGTTGCTGAATGAATCAGTGAGCAGAGCTCTTGCAGCTGGTGTTCTGAGTGATTTCTCCAATGAAGGCTCACTTTATTTTCAGGCTGCTATAGACTCTGCTTCCTTAGCTTAGCTCCAGGCCAGCTGCAAAGACTCTCTAAGCTGGAGGCAGGAGGGGTGATTCTGTCCTGTGTAATCTTTTTAAGTGACTTCTTTGGAAAAGGCTTTGCATGCATTAAACACTGGGTTCGCAGAGTCTTAGGCATCTTTCAGAGGCAGTGTCAGGCAGCTGCTGCCAATAGGGACCACGCGAGGCTGGGTGAAAGATGGATGAGGGATTATCTCCTCTCTGTGGAGCCAAGGAGGGACAGAGCCGAGGGCTGCTACCGCACAGTCCTCAGAGTGACCAGGCCCCTCATGGTTTCCAGAAAACACTGAGTGTTCCTCCTTCTCCCTCAGGCACAGTGTGGCCTTGCAGTCAGGAACACAGATTTGATACCTAAATGCCTCAGCAACAACCCTACCACCTTCTCCTATTAGCTGTGTGACCCTGAGCAGGTTCTGTTCCCTCTCTGTGCCTCTGTCCTCTTCTCTGTGAGTTGAAACACTGACGGTGCTTCAGACTTAACGTTTTCACACGGGGTTCTGTTGTAAAGTCAGCTGGAAGTCCAAAGTACCCTTGAAAAATGCTCTAAATCACCCTTAAATTTGGTCTATGAGATTTTATATTATCTACAGCTCTTAGAGAAATTTCCAGGCCCACTAAAGGACCCAATGAGAAGTCTCTGTGCAAGTGTCTGGGAAGTCAAATCATTCAGTCTTCCAGACAATTACCATCCCCTGGCAGTGGCTGGTGGTGGAGTGAGGACTCCTCAGGTGTTCTTGCCTGAAGGCTTTTCTCCATGCTAGTTTCATAGCTTCTATAATCGTCATACATGTGAATAACTGTTTTGTTTGGAATTGGAAAGATCAAAGAAAGAGCGGTGTTGCATGGGCTGGGGGTGGAGTGGGAGTTAGAAAACTTGAAAGCCTCAGAAATTTGTCCCATAGATTAAATGAGATACTGCATGGTCCATGTGTAGGGCAGTGGTTGGCTCAAAGTAAGTGCTTGATAAAAGATAGGTTTGGGTCTAACATTATTGTTATTATTATGTCTTTGGAACCTCAATTCCACCTGGCCTATAATTATTTAGACAATGTAGTGGATGCTGTGAGCGCATCCCCTGCGCTCCACCCTTGGGTCCCTTTGCCGTTTTCAGAAAGGCCAGCTCTCACTCCGGCTAGCCTGCACCTGAGTCTCTGTCGAGGGGGCTGTCCTCAGGCTGCTGCAGCCAGTGGAGAGTGGAAGTGCCTGGGAATTTATGGTCTACTCAGCTCCCTCACCCTGATCTTCCCAGTGGGGACAGCTCTGAGGCTCAAGCCACACTGTCCCCAGCACTCCCCTGCAGGATGGAGACAAAAGTACCCTCTATTTGTCTCCTTGTTCCCCAGTTCTATCACCCCACTTCCTAATAAGTCACTTTCACACGAACCCTCATTTCCCACTCTGCTTCTGGGAACTCGGTCTAAGAAAGAGAGGTGCTGGGATTTTCCATATTGTGCGGATGGAAACCAATGTGAGGAATAGTGCAGAGAGGAGAATAGAGAAAAGAAGGAAACACTGGGAAAGAAAGGGACAGGGGGAATCAGAAAATGGGGTGGAGGTGACTTCAGGCATTATAGAAAGCACACCAACCCAGACCTGACAAATGGAGAAACTGAGAACTGAGGAAGAGGGGCTTGCCTGAGGGCTCATGACATTGCTAGACGCAGAACTTGGCTGGTACCTGGCTCGCAAAGGTGCCCGGTATGTATTTGTAGAATGAGTGAATTGAATGGATAAGTGGCCAGGACTGCAGTCCCGTCCCCTGAGCCAACAGGCTCAACTGAGGCTTCAGAGAACATTTTGCCCTGCAACATCTGCCACCCAGGTGCCTGACCTTCCCTGCAGATTAGTCTCTGGGTATCTGCTCCCTGCACACCTGGAGGCCTCTGGTTCTGGGGCGCCCCGGCCAAGGTCCCAGGGTGGGCACATCTATATGACCTTGTCATTGGCCCAAACACATGGGGAGGTTATCTCTTCTTCCTTCCTTCCTTTGCCACAAAGGCATTTCTCAGAGATAGCAGAGATCATCTGTCCTGAGCTCCTCAGACTTTCATCTGCACCCAAACCTCCCAGTTGTTCGAATGCAGATTCTGATCCAGTGGGTCTGGGTGGGACTGAGAATCTGTATTTTGAGCAAGCTCCCGGGTGAAGCAGGTGCTGCTCGTCCATGAACCACACTTCGCAAGGTTCTAGGAATGTGCCTTTGTTTGCCTCGCCCCCTGGTCTCCTTACCCACCCTTTAAGGCTCAGCTCGAATGTCACTTCCAATTCCCTCTTGAGTCTTCCTCATTTTTTTTTAACAGGAAGAAATCTTTTGCCATGTCACTTTTTCTGTGCCTCTTAGAACATTTAAGATATGCTCCTCATGGCATGGTTATTTACATCCTGGACTGTGAGCTCCTAAACGGGCTTTGTCTGATTTCATTTTGTAACCTTGCGGCACCTCTTTTGCTCTCTGGTACACTGTAGCGAATGGTCACTTGCCGGTGCCAGGCACTGGGCTCAGTCCCTAGTGAGCATTATCTGGATAATCCTCAAATAGTCTTGTGAGGTAGGTATGAGTATCCCGGGACTCAGAGAGGTGAGGTGAATTGCCTGAGGCCACATAGCTAGTAAGTAGCCAAACCCGTTAAATCTATCTGTCAAACCGGGCATGGTGGCACACACCTGTAGTCCCAGCTACTTGGGAGGCTGAGGCGGGAGGATCCCTTGGACTCAGGAGTTTGAGTCCTGTCTGGGCAACATAGCAAGACTCTGTCTCTAGAAAAATAATTTTAAAATATTAAAAAATCCAGTGATTAAAGCCCAAGCTCTTATGCATTTTATATTTGTTAAAGGAGTGAATAAGTAAACGAATAAATTAATAGATGGATGAATGCGTATTTCAGATGAAAAAATTGATTCTGTGTAAAGTGCTACACTTGAAAGCCCAGGAATGCACAGATTTTAATTTGAGATGGGACTGATTCTCCCCGAATCCCTCCTTCCTTTCAATCCCAAAATTTCCATGAAATTCTTATTCATAACTGAGACCCCACCCACAAAGAACAGGAAACTGACATATTCAGCCACAGCCATTACACTTCTCAACGCCCTCGGGTTTAGTCCCCAACATCTCATCTGTCACTAAATAGGATCTCCCTCCCCCAGAGTATGAAGGGAGAGCTCCCCGCCTCCTGGGGGTGGAGTGGGGGTGGGTGCTGGAAGGCAAAGCTGCCTTTTAGAAAAGCGCAGCGCTGATGTGGAACCAGGCAGCTGTTGGCCTTTATTTCACTGGAGCAGCTTACCTCAGATCATCTCCTCAATCACAGGCCCTTAAACAGCTTCTGACAATCAATTCATATCCCTGCTGCTGCTGCTACTGCTGGGAGGTGGAGGAAAAGAATTACCGTATTTGCCTGTGTATAAGCAGCAGCCTTCTGGTGGCCAGTGACTCCCTGGCATGAGCCAACCTGCTGCCCCGTGGGAGGACAGCACAGGCAAAGTAGCTGACATTGCATGGAGCCCTTGGCATGGGTCAGAGGCCCATGTAAGTCCTTTCAGGGCCTCATCTTGAATTTTCCCCACATTCCTGCCATTCTCCCTCACTCTGATTGGCACACTCCAGCCCCACTGGGCTTTCTCTATACCTAAAATAGACCAAGTTCCTTCATGCCCCAGGGCTTCTGTACTTGCTGCTCCTGTTGGCTGAACAGCTCTTCCCCAGATCTTTGTCTGCCAGGTTTCTCCCCTCCAACTGGGTATCAGATCCCAGGTTACCTTCACAGACAGCCCCCCCCCGACCACTTTGTCACGGGCAGCCTCCTCCTTCCTGCACCATTGTCCTGTTTTATTTTCTTCCGAATGCTTATCACTATTTGAAAGCCTGACTGTGTGTGGGTGCATGTGTGTGTTGGTCTGTATTTCCCCTTAGAATATAAACTCCATGAGTGCAGGGGCTTGTCTTGCTTACATCATCAGCTCCTACTACCATGCCTGGCAAATAGTAGTTGCTGCATGTGGCTTGCTGAGTGAATGAAGGCAGAGCCCCATAATGATCTCTATTGTGAAGGTAGGAAAGTTCAGAGAAGTTAAGTGACTTACCCAAAATCACACAGCAGATAGGCCAACCCAGATGTGTTTGATTGCAGAGAGAGAGAGGAGGTATGTAGTCAGGCTCCCTCCCTGTCTGGGAAGGAAGGAATTGTGCCCAGGGTACCTAAGCATGAGTCCTTGTTTTCCTTCTTATCCCATTTTCTCATCTGGTCCTGAAAGAGTAGGTGACATAGTGGCTCACGTTTAATGGCTTTCTATGTATTATCCTGTTTAGTGCCCCAAGATATTTTTATCCCCATTTTTTGCGCAACTGAGCCAAGGAGGCAGGTCACCTGCTGAACCACATCAAATATCAGCTTGTTAGTGGCCAAGAGCAGGGCTTGCCACCCCCTCCCTGCTTTTCCACGTCTAGGATTGTCTTTGTGGACCGAGCACTGTGGGGAAGCCAGATTATTCTTCTTAGGCCCAGCTTGCTAATGATGGGTGGTGGAGCAGGTGCTCTGCCCTAAAACAGGGGGCATGGGAATGGGGTGAGGGGTGAACAGAGTGTCTAGGGAGCCTGGGCTTAGATGGCAGGTCTGCTGCTCACAAGCTGTGTGAGTCTTCTCTCTGAGCTGCATTTTCTGCACAGCCTCACCTCGCAGGGTGGTGGTGAGGACTGAGTGAGATCAAGCATGGAAAGCTCAGCAAGTGCCCGGCACATGGAAAGCGCTCAGCAAACGGGAGGTGTGCTCAGACATCGGGCACATTGAAGCAGATTGCTGGACCCCTGGAATCACAGCATGGCAGGCTGGCTTCCTTGACTTCATTGCTGTGCCCCAGACCTCCTGGCCTCCTACTCATCCTCCAGGAATCCTCCTTCAGGGAGCTCCTGGGACCTGGGGTTAAGTGCCCCTTTCTGCTTCCAGGCTGAGCTTCTCCATTGGAGACATTTCACAACATCTGTCTGTCTTTTTTGTCTCCACCTTCCCTGCTCAGTCTATTCCTCCAAGCCAGCACCTGACACATACACAGTAGGCCCTCCATAAATATGTGGGTAAAGAATATCAGAAAAAGGGAACAGCTTGGGCAAAGGCAGAGAAGCATGAGGAGGCATGCGTATTTGGAAAAGCAAGCCATTTGGGTGGGAGGTGGGTGGGAAGGTGAGGCTGAAAAGGCATTTGGGACCAGCTCACAGGGGCAGCTGGAGACCTACGAAGGAGTCAGGACCTGATGCAGGGGAGAATGATGAGGAGGCCAGTGAGTAGTGCAGATCAGAGTTTAAGAAGGCTGTGTGAAGGAAGACTGTGGGAGTCGAGGGATGGAGGGGAATGAAGGAGAGTAGATAGGAAACTGTTGCCAGCCAGGGTGATATTCAAAATATTTAACTACTGGTACCAGATCAATGAGACAACTGGTAGGTCATGAGCATCAACCAATCAGAAGCGGCTGGGTCAGGGTCTTGGAGGCCCCTGCTGCACTCAGCATTAACCCTTCAGTGGCTAGCCTGTGGCAATCTGTGGGATTCAAAAGAGGGCCTGAGTGGCCTAGGTGGGGGAAGCCAGGGACTCAGGCCGGTGGATATTTACCAACAGGTGACGGAAATAGTGCAGTACTTTAACAACGATGGTGGCCATATCAGTGCACACATGCTGATGGTCAGCCCTGGCTGGTGCCCCAGTCACAGAAAGGAAGAAGCAGATGTCTGTGAGATTGTTCAGATAACATTGACAGGAGAGCGTGGTGACTGCTTTGGTTCCCATATTGTTATAAGAAACCTGCTTTGTTCAGAGCTCTTTAGGGTGGGTGGAAGGGTGTGATGTCACCCCTTGACCATGTTGGTTGTTTACTTCTGCCTCCTCAAATCCATGCCTCCTTTTCCTTTTTCTGGTACCAGCACCTCAGTCTTCTTTGGAGAAAAATTCTCCTCCTGCTTTTTTTTTTTTTTTTTTGCTCCTCACTGCAGCCTCGACCTTCCCAGGCTCAGGTGATCCTTCCACTTCAGCCTCCTGAGTAGCTGGGACTACAGGCGCACACCACTGGGCCCAGCTAATTTTTCTATTTTTTGTAGAGACAAGGTTTTGCTATGTTGCCCGGGCTGGTCTCGAACTCCTGGCCACTCAAGCTATCCTCCCACCTTGGCCTCCCAAAGTGCTGGGATAGCAGGCATGAACCACCGTGCCTGGCCATTCTCCTGTTTTTAGTCCATCTGGTTTCAGGGTGCAGTGTCACTCAGGTCTGGCCCATCAGCATTTCCATCCACTGGACAGAGCAACTGGTTCAGCAAGGGGGCTGTGATCTGGGTTGGCTCAGTGAGAGTCAACCCTAGGAATGTGATTGGAACTTCTGGCAGAAAGAAGCCACCTTTCTACTGAGACTGCTAAACTAGAGGATCTAAAGCTGGAGGGAACTTGCCTGAAAATGAAACCAACACAGATCAAAAAAGGGCTGAGCATCAGAATTCCTGACAAAAGAACTTAAGCCCCTGGATCCAGCAATGCCTGATGCCTACCCTTGACTTTTAAGTTACTTGAGGCAAAAAATTTGCTTTTTTTCCTGGAACCAGTTTGATTTGGGTCTTCTAATACTTACCAATCCAGTACTCTCCCTTGTGAATTAGGAACTGAGACATAAAGACTGAAGCCTATTTATATTGGCTTAAACTAAGAGGCCACAGAATGCCAGGTTGGAGTGGCCATGTGCTCACCTGAGCACAAATACCGGAGACACAGAGAGAGGTCGCAGAGAGGAACAAAAATGAGACAGAGATGGAACAGATGAAAAGATAGAGGGGGAGATGAGAGACCATGTGGCTTCAGAAAAAATAGGAAAAGCCTTTTCTCTACCCCTGGGGTCTTAGTGGTCTCTGCTTCTGAACCTAAAGGGAGCCTGGCTACATTTCCTGCCCTCGGTTCTTCCCCCAGCTCTCATATCTTCCCCAAAACTGGCCTCCTGGACTTGAATTAGTTTGAGTGGATTTCTTGCCTTCAAATAATTCACAACCAACACAGCAGCTGATTGGATAGGAGAGACAGGGAACAGAAATATACCAAGGATTACATCAGAGATTACATCATGGGGAGAGGAGAGGGAGGAACACAAGGTTGTGGGTGGGGGTGACCCGGAATTAAAGTCTGTTAAGGCCTTTTTATGTGCCTAAAGCCAAGCCTCCTACAAATACTGCAAATTCTTCTCTCCTGGAAACCAAAAGTCCATGCAGCTCAAACAACCAGAATCCCATGATCCTGCCCTGCATGGATGCTCAGAAGGTTGTTGGCCGGCACATGGCTGTATTTGTGCTGATCTGACCCTGGGGATTAAAGGTTTCACTTGCTCGTGCCCTCAGTCAGCGTGCTGGAGGGTTGCCATCCTCCTTTTGATGGCAACCCTTGCCTCCTCATTTCCATCTGCACCTGTCAATCTCACCACACTCACCAGCCTCTTCCTGGCCTCAGTCTCTCATGCCCTCCATCACTGGGTAAAGACCTAGTCACAGCCTCTGCTGCAGCCTTGTACATGTGCCCTGGGCACCACTGTTCCCACAGCCAGGGATGGTGTCCTTGTAGGTGCCTGTCATTCTCTGCCAGGGAGCTTGCTTTGGCCAGGAGCATGCCTGTGGGAGTGGGGTGGGCAGGCCAGGATGCTGGGGCATTGATGCCTCCAGGAGAGGCCCTGGACCAACACCAGACAGGGGTCTGTGGGCAAATACACCAGTTTCTTCATTCCTTAGGTGGGACAATTCTGACTCCTTTTCTAGACTATCTCAAGGTGTAGGGGAGCCCAGCCTAAGTTAAACTGATACATCCCTGCGTCCAGTCATTGTCATTTCTCACCTGGCTTCCTGTCTGGCTGCGCTCTAGTCCATTCTACAGCTGAAGGAGTTTTCTTTTCTTTTTTTTTTTTTTTGAGACAGAGTTTCGCTCTTTTGCCCAGGATGGAGTGCAATGGCACCATGATCTCGGCTCACTGCAAGCTCCGCCTCCCAGGTTCACGCCCTTCTCTTGCCTCAGCCTCCTGAGTAGCTGGGACTACAGGCACCCACCACCACGCCTGGCTAATTTCTTTGTATTTTTTTTAGTAGAGACGGGGTTTCACCATGTTAGCCAGCATGGTCCTGATCTCCTGACCTCGTGATCTGCCTGCCTCGGCCTCCCAGAGTGCTGGGATTACAGGCGTGAGCCATTGCGCCCGGCCAGGAGTTTTCTAAAATGCAAAATTGGCTGGGCGTGGTGGCTCATGCCTGTAATTCCAGCACTTTGGGAGGCTGAGGCGGGTGCATCACTTGAGCCAGGAGTTTGAGACCAACCTGGGCAACCTAGGGAGACCCCGTCTCTACTAAAAATACAAAAAAAATTAGCTGGGTGTGGTGGCATGCACCTGTCATCCCAACTACTCGAGAGGCTGAGGCACAAGAATCGCTTGAACCCAGGAGGCGGAAGTTGCAGTGAGCCGAGATCATACCACTGCACTCCAGCCTGGGTGACAGAGCGAGTCTCCGTCTCAAAAATACATAAGTAAATTAATTTAAAAATAATAAAATAAAATGCAAAATTAATCATTTCCCTCCTCTGCTCCCTATTGCTTTTAGGCAGTGTTTGAACCCCTTACATGGATGACAAAACACCCTGTTAGTCCCTTAGCAGGGTTGCTCGGCCAGCTGTCTCCTCCATCCCCTGCTCCCTTCTCTCACACACAACTCCAGCCATATGCAATCATCGGAAATTGTCCTACGTGCAATGCTTGCCTTCAACCCAGGCCATTGCTGTGCTGTTCCCATCTCCTGGAATCTTCTCCCCCTTTCTCCTTTCCCAGTACCTTGGCCCATCCCATGCTGACTTCTGTCTTCAGGCCTCCTTCCTCTAGAAAGCCTTCCTGACCTCAGGCAGGGTTAGAGTCCATCTCTCCTTGCATCCACAGAACTTTACTCTTGCCCTCCTCACCCTGGGGCAGAGCTGTCTCCTTATCTGCCCTTCCTTCTTGAGCCGTGGCTTTCAGCCCTGGTTGCACGTTAGAAACATGTGGAAGCCTTTACAAAATGCAGATACCTTGGCCCCACCATGGACTAATCACATCGGAATCTCTGCGGGTGGGGCCTAGTATAGGCTTTTCTTAAAAGCTCCCCGAGTGATCCCAATGTGCAAAACCACATTCTGATAGTATGATCTCACGAAGGCAGAGGCTGGGTTTTATTTATTTCATCTTCAGTTCCTGGTACATAGTAGGAGGTCCCTGATAAATGTTGGCTGTGGATATGAATGACAGCTACTGACATGCTGTCATCCTTCTGTGTCAGGTGCTGTTCCAAAGCAATCAATGAATAAACGAAAGAATAAATAAGTGAGTGAATGAATGTATCAGTGAATGAATGAATGAATGAATAAAAGGCCCACCCACATGCAGCTGGGAACTAGAGGCTCCAAAAAAATGTCTGTCCCTCGAGATGTCTAATTGTCTAAAGGCAGTGAATAGCCTCTTGCCAAACTCCTAGCAGAGATTAAGTAGTCATCCAGCCCTGGGGCACGACCGTGGGTGGTCACTGCTGAGCTGCCAAGTCACCAGCAAGCAGGAGCAGCGGCAGCCACAAAACTGGAAACTGGAGTTGGGAGATGGGGGCTGGGAATTCAGCTAGGAAGGAGCCAACGGGCTCCTTATTTAGGAAGGAATTTGTTTTGGTGTTGCGGGTGCGGGGGTTAAAATTCATTGTTTCTGAGGTTGCTGTGAAGAGTTGGGTCCAACCCAGCAGCATGGGGTTGGAGCAGGGTAATTGGAGGTTGCAGGGCCTGGATTTGCAGCTCTCCTCCCAATGAAAATACACTGGAAAGCAAAACAGAGAGGCTGGAAAATCGTCTCCCAGCGTCACCGGCAAGAATGAAAATATATGGCTTAATAAAAATGGCTGATTCAATTTCAAACAAGTGGCTCATACCCACCTCTAAATAGCTGCTGTTAAAATGCAGACTATAGCCCTGTTTTAAATGAGGCCTAAGGTAGGGAGGAAAAAGGCCTCTCTGCAGGGAGGGGCATGGATCTTTGCTGAGGCCTATTTCAGTCTGAAGTTTTTAAATGGAGTCAAATCAAGGTATTGATGTTGCTTTAATTTTTTTTCCTGTCCGCACAAAGTAGGCTCTAAATGGCATTAGCTGTAATGAGGTAACCCTCTATGCTCCCCGGGGTGGGCACCTGAGCAGGGGCCCCCACAGGACTGCCTGCCGCCCTGGGGTGCTTCACGGGGAAGGGCCACCTCCCTTTGTTCTGTCTCCATGGCCAGAATGAACCCAGGCGGAGTCCAGTGGCATTCAGAGCTGCCCCCAACCCAGCTGCCAGTTCCCTGTTATCTGAATTGAAGAGGTCAGAGGTTAAGTGAGAGATCAGAGTCCCCGGGTCAGGGAAAGAAAAACAAATCCCCGGGGCCTCCGCTGTGCTCTTGAAGCGTGTAGGCCGTGCCCTCCGGTGCAGATGGGGGAATATTTTATACCAGGCCCTGTCCTTTTCTGTTACCATGTAAATTGACTGACTTTTTTTCTTTAACCGAGTTAGGGGAATTTCATGGAGGGGAAAAAAAGGATTGCATGGGCATTTGAATTTTTGCTGAAGACCAAGAGTAGCAACTCCAGTTCTGGCCTCAGCTTCATGACAGGAAGCCGTCGTTGACTGTGGGCCTGTTTTCCTCTTTTCAAACAAGTCCAAGAGGTGATAAGGTAAAAAGGGGTCGAGACACTCATGAATGTATTCAGAAACTAGGTGATCGCACCTGCTATCATGGAGAAGGGAGGCACATTTAAAAGCTTGTTATTGGCTTGGCATGGTGGCTCACGCCTGTAATCCCAGCACTTTGGGAAGCCGAGGCAGGCGGATCATCTGAGGTCAGGAGTTTGAGGCAAGTCTGGCCAACATGGTGAAACCCTGTCTCTACTAAAAATAAAAAAATTAGCCAGGCGTGGTGGTGTTCACCTGTAGTCCCAGCTACTCAGGAGGCTGAGGCAAGAGAATCGCTTGTACCCAGGAGGCCAAAGTTGCAGTGAGCCGAGATCACGCCACTGCACTCCAGCCTGGGCAATAGAGTGAGACTCAGTCTCAAAAACACAAACAAAGAAAAAAAGCCTTGTTATTCTGTGGGTCTAAGAAGCTCCTCATCGTTCAGGCTCCTCAATCAGGAAGCAGTTTTGGATTCTTTACTGGGTTCTTAGCCCTGTGCAAAGAGCTGTAAGGGTTACTGGAGGTTAAGATAAGATAATGCCTCTCAAGGGGCATTTTATGTTGTTTTAGAGCCAGAAAGACTTCAGTTCATCCTGGCTCTGATAGTTCCTAGCCATGTGACCTTGGACTGACTCCTCGAAGCCTCTGTTTACTTATCTGTAATATGGGCGTAGTAGGCCCTCCGTCCTCACCACTTCAGTGTACTCTGGCACCTCCATTTCTTCCCCTGGGGGCTTTCTCAGGCTGCCGATGCCCACTTTGCCTGCCCTTGCAGGTGCCAGCAGTGCCCAGGAATTAGTGCCATTCCCACCTACACACAGCCCTCAACCAGCGTCTGGTGGGAATTGGTGAATAAGCACCCCAACTCCTTCACCCCCTGGGTACGGTGATTCTGAGACGCATTCTATGCCACTTCTCAGAATTTCCCCAGCGGGATTTGGCTCTGGTTTTCCCCCAGGGTGAACTTGACTGATAATACACCCTCCCTTCCATGACCTCCCCACTGACCTGCCCATGTTTCTTTAAACTGCCAAGTAAACCAGGTGCTCTGAGTCCCTGTCTCAGGGTTACTTCCTCCGGGACTAAGACAATGGGATCATGAGAAGAAGAAGAAGGATGGTTGTGAGGATATTGCAATTGCTGAACAGTGTGAGAGCATAGAGACTGCTTGGCACAGGATATGTCCTCAAATCAGTGATAACTATCATTCATAAGACTCAAAATGTACCTGAGAGACGACAGCGCTTTACATTGAGAAAGCAAAGCTGCACAGGATTGAGTAGTTGAGGCAACAGGCAATGTAGATATTAAGAGGAGAAAGGGGAGAGCTGAAAAGGAGAAACACTTACGTTAGGCCCCACGAAGAAAGCAGGGAAGCGACTGAGTTACACAGCCACATCCACGGGCACTGGAAGAGCACCTGGCTCACCAAGGGTCCTCAGCGCTCCCTTTTAAGCTTTCAACACCCCTTGATGCTCCCCTCTTAGCATTGAGTCAAAGCTGGAATTCAATAACTATTTGAGGCTGGGCATGGTGGCTCACACCTGTAATCCCAGCTCTTTGGGAGGCCAAGGAGGGTGGATCACCTGAGGTCAGGAGTTTGAGACCAGCCTGGCCAACATGGTGAAACCCCATATCTACTAAAAATACAAAAATTAGCTGGGCGTGGTGGTGGGCACCTGTAATCCCAGCTACTTGGGAGGCTGAGGCAGGGGATTGCTTGAACGCAGGAGGCAGAGGTTGCAGTGAGCTGAGATTGCTCCACTGCACTCCAGCCTGGGTGACAGAGCAAGACTCTGTCTCAAAAAATAATAATAATAATTAATAAATAAATAACTGAAAATTTGGCAAGTTTGAATAACATTCGTCTTTCTTGCACAATTTTAAGATTCTGAAGCGGAGGACAGGCTGTGTCTGTTCAGCATTGTATCCCCAATGCCCAACACACAGCCTAGTATATGTTAGGTCTACAATAGATGAGGAAACAGATACGTGAATGAATGACTGTCAAAGGAAGGGACAGGCATAGTTAAGAGCTAAGCCGAGCTAGTCTCGGAGCAGGTTGGAGCAGGCCAGCTGAAAGTCCTAGTGAAGGGCTTGGTTTGGCAGGAATGGAAAAAGGAAGAATTGTAAAAAGGGAGGCTCAGGACAGGTTTCGGAGGGCTTTGGGTGCTGAGTTAGGAGTCTGGGCTTTTATTCCAACAGTAATTGGGAGCCATCAAAGGGCCTTGAGCTAGGAGGGAGATGACATGGTAGAAAAAGGATTTTGCTTTGTTTTTTTAAGAAGACTCTTCTGGCACTTTCCTTGGCTGTGATAAAGAGTTTTGATATCCCCTAATGCCAGTGGGTTTCTGGGAACTTGAATGAGATAATATATCGGCAGTGCCTAGCACAGTGCCTGGCATCTACTCATAGGATGCACCCAATAAATGCTAGTTACTGTTCTTGTATGAAGTGTAAATAAAATACTTTATTAGTGTTTTACAAAAGAGATTGTAAATAGAGAAGAGCAGAAGGCCATAGCCTGAGACCAGAGGAAAGTGGTCACCTACACCAGGGAAGGAGCGGCTGGAGAGAAGGAAGGTGTTGTGGACACTGTAGTGTGCTGCCTAGATCCCCTTTTGGGGAGGGACTGATTCCCCCAGCTGCTGGCAACACTGTTGGAATGAATGGCCCGTGGCTAAATAACACCACCTTGCCCAAAGCCTTGCCTACTTCCAGGGAGCCCACCCCCAGCGACTGATCAACCGGGTGTGTAAAGACCTGATTCTTTTGCTCCAACTCAGTGCCCCGAATGCCTGTCCCTGTGGAGCTGGCTGAGGCCTTTGCTGAGACTATTTCACAATTCAGCTTCTCCCTCCCAGTCCTGCTTCCCTCTGCTCCCTCCACGGAGTGATGCTGAGAGCACTCCCTGATCATCTCCATCTTAGAGACAGCTTACCAGGGGAGTCAACCTGCAGCAGGAGAGCTAGGTAGAACAGCGCCATGGAGACCTAGGCAGGAGAGCTGTCTAGAGGGAGGAGGTGAGTGAGAAGACCATATTGAAATGGGAAAAGTTCCCTTGTCCCCTTCACAGGGTGTGTGTGGCTCGCTTCTTCAGTGCCCCGCTGCTCAAACCTCTAGGGGGAGCAGGCAGATGGGCAGGCTGTGGGGCTCCCATCCCAAGGCAGCATCTAGGGGTGAATACTTATAGCTCCTGAAGCCCCAGTGGGCATGTGTTATGGGGTGCTCTTTTAGTTTTGCCATTTGTAGGTGGCTTGTGTTAGTCAGCTCTATTAGACTCCCTGCCTTATCACAAGGACAGAGGGCTTTCTGTATCCCAGGGTTTCTTGCTTTGGTGTACTGGAAGAATCGGATCACATGTGGGCTTGGAGAATGAATGCAAGGTTTTATTGAGTGGAAGTAGCTCTCAGCAGATGGGGGAGCTGAAGGGAGATGGAATGGAAAGGTGGTTTTCCCCTAGAGTCAGGCCGCTCAGCAGTGGGGCTCCCCTCCAACTGCCCCAGCCAAACTCCATGTTGTTGTGCTGGTCGATGGCCTGCCAGCCTGCAGGTGCCTGCCAGTGTGCTCCTGACGTCCAGCTGCTTGTGTGTTCTTCGGCTGGTGTGTTCTGCTCAATGGCTCAGCTACTTCTTGTGTGCATACCCACTAAGGTCTCCGGTTTATTTACAGCACAGGATCAGGGTGTGGCCGACCAGGGTGGCCTTGGGAAATGCAACATTTGTGCATGAAGGCAGGAGTGCCTGTCTTCACCTAGGTCCATAGGCTCGGGGGTGGAGCCGTAGCCAGGCACCATGCCCTTCCCTTCCCAGCACTTCTCTGCCCATCTTCCATATCAAAATGGTGCCATGAGAGCAGGAGAACAAGATCTGAGAAAAGGCCTCTGGATTCAGCAACTAGGAAGCCGGCATGAGCCCAGTGCATTCAATGAGTCCAATTAATGGCAGAGGCTGAAAAGGTGATGCTGGAGTGAAACAAAGACCACAGGTGCAGAGAGTCTAGAAATTAGGCTAGGAAAGAAGACAAACTGTGAGAAGACAGCCTGAGAGGTGCCCGGGTCCTGTCACGCAGCCTCTGGATCTGGCTTATTTTGTTAAAAACAACCAAGGATTCCCATCAGAAAACCCTCCGACCACATGTTCAAGAGACACCAAATATCTCTTTAACCGTGAGACTTTAAAAGGGCAATTTGTTTTTTGAGGATCTAGAATGCAAGCCTTAGGGATGTCATTTCCCCAGCACTGAAAACACTGCAGCAATCTCGATACTGGGCATTTTTGTAAAATGAGAATCACTGTCCACCCTGCTAAGCCTCTCGCACTCTCCCTCGTCCTCCAAGGACTCTTCAGGGTCTGCTCTTTGAACCCCAGTCCTATGCCTCTTCCCTTTTGGCCTCCTTTGGCACAGATTATTTCAACAAATAGTTATTGAAACCAACAAAATGACATCAAGTCAAAAGCAGCTCATTGAAATTCTTTTCCTCCTCTACTTCCACCCCCACTCCCCAGGCTGGGACAAAGAAAGCGTGGAATATATTCAGAGCCCACCAGCTCTCAGACAAAACTGGCCTCCCCAATTTCCTGGTGGACTGTGGCTGATTCCCACCCTAGTGCTGTGTCCCCCACCTCTTCCAGGGCCCTCTCCTAAAGATGCCTATGTAAAGTGTGGCCCTCCTCAGAAGAACCCAGTTTCTGGGGTCCTCAGACCCAGGCTTCTCTCTGGGTTGAAAACAAAGTCCAGATGCCCACTCACTGCTGATGGGAACATTAAATGGTGCAAGCACTTTGGAAGGCAGTTTGGCAGTTTCTTAAAAAGTTAAACTTACCATTTGATCCAGCCATTATACTCTTAGATATTTACCCAAGAGAAAGGAAAGTTGATGTCCATGCAAAGACCTGCACAAGAATGTTCGAATGTCTATAGCAGCTTTATGTGTGATTGCCCCAAACTGAAAACAATCCGAGTGCCCTTCAGTCGCTAAATGCGTAAACAAAACGTTGTGCATCCATACAGTGTCCTGCTACTCAGCAGTCAAAAGGAATAAGTTACCGATGCTGACAACAATACAAAACTCTAGAAAATGGAACCTAATCTATAGTGACAGAAAGCAATGGTTGCTCAAAGGGGAGATTGGGAAGAGGTGGAAAGGAAGGTATATTAGTCTGTTCTCACACTGCTGATAGAGACATATTCAAGACTGGGTAATTTATAAGAAAAAAGAGATTTAATGGACTCACAGTTCCACATGGCTGGGGAGGCCTGACAATCATGGTGGAAGGTGAAAGGCACATGTTACATGGCAGCAGGCAGAAGAAATGAGAGCAAAGCAAAAGGGGTTTCCCCTTATAAAACCATCAGATCTCATGAGACTCATTCACTACCACGACAATATGGGGGAAGCTGCCCCCATGATTCAGTTATCTCCCGCGTGGTCCCTCCCACAACACATGGGAATTGTGGAAGCTATAATTCAAGATGAGATTTGGGTGGGGGCACAGCCAAACCATATCGGAAGGATTAGAAGACACACAAGGAAACTTTTGGGGGGAATGGCTATGTTCATTACCTTGATTGTGGTTATAATCACACCGATGTATGAATAAATCAAAACTCATTGTATTGCATGCCTTAAATATGTGCAGTTTACTATATGTTAATTATACCTCAATAAAGCTGTTCAAAAAAAATTTTTTTAAGCAAAGTCCAGGAGAAGGAAGGCACCATGGCTTAGTTAAAGAGTAAAATCTTTCTCACAGAGAAAGTGCTCTGTTCCTGGGTTGACATGACATGAGCTGACATTTCAGCCTCTACTTCCTGGACATTGGACCAGGTGCTATATTGTTGGAATCACCCCTGCAATTTTATTTTTTTATTTTAAAAATGAAGACAGGATCTTGCTGTGTTGCCCAGGCTGGTCTCAAACTCTCAGGCTCAAGCAATGCTCCCACTTTGGTCTCCCAAAATGCTGGGATTACAAGCATGAGCCACCACACCCAGCCACCCCTGCCAGTTTAGAACTGAGTAGATTTGCTTTCTACTTGATTCCTGTATTCCAAAAAACCAAGCAAAGAATAGTTAGGAAATATTAGGTTTGGTGAACAAACAGTGAAAGGTGGGTCATATTTAAGAGAAAAGAGGAACTGTCTCTATTGGTCAAATTCCTAGAATTTGCCGTATGGTCACAATTAAATTGGGGCCAGTGTGGTGGCTCACATCTGTAATCCCGTGCTTTGAGAGGCCAAGGGAGGAGGACTGCTTGAGCCCAGGAGTTTGAGAGCAGTATGGGAAACCTGGTGTGACCTTGTCTTTACAAAAAATTTAAAAATTAGCTGAGCTTGGTGGTGTGCACCTGTGGTCCCAGCTACTCGGGAGGCTGAGGTGGGAGGATTGCTTGAGCCTAGGAGTTCAAGGCTGCAGTGATCTGTGATCACTCCAGCCTGGGTGACAGAATGAGATCCTGTCTCAAAAAAACAAAAAACAAAACAACAACCAAACCTAAATTGGGCTTATTTGTAAATGTGACTCTTTCCCTAAATGTTTAGAAGCATTCATTTACTCCTTTCAAAAGAAATGTATATGTATGTTGCTTTAAGTGAATGCATGACATTTATTGTATTGATGAACCATGGTTTATTTGGCTTTCTTCAGTAACCTTCTTGTTGGATGTTTAGGTTATTTCCAATGTTTTACTGTTATATATCATAGCAGACAATTTGGTCAAGAGCAATTTGGCTGGAAGCAAATTGATTAAGCTGTCAGTATGGTTGGAATGCTGAATTCGTTGATAATGAAAATTCTCAGTCACTATGTTTATACAAAAAGGAAATTTTTGTTTGCCAAGGGGAAATTTTGCCTGGAATGATATTCCAACTCTTTAAGCATCTTTCAGCAAAATAATCATTTAAAAAAAAATCTAAAGTTTTGTTTTCTTCTTTTCAACACCTCCCTATTTCCAGTCAATTATGCCCTGGTGGCTGGGTGCAGTGGCTCACACCTGTAATCCCAGCACTTTGGGAAGCTGAGGTGGGCGGATCACTTGAGGCTAGGAGTTCGAGACCAGCCTGGTCTGTGGTCAGTGTGCTGGTTAGTAGGCCCAGTGTTAGTAGGGTAGTGGATTTAAAGTGAAATCATATAGCTAGGCCAGATGTTATTAGGAGGGCTGAGAGAGCTCCTGTTAATGGCCAAGGGCTGGGCTTAACTATGTGGTAGGCGTGTGTTTGGTGGGTCATTATGTATTGTCGTGTAGGTAAAGTCTTACTAAAAGTGTGAAGACTTAAGCTTGGATGAAGGCAACAGCGAACTCAGCCTGGCCAACATGGCAAAATCTCGTCTCTACTAAAAATACAAAAATTAGCCAGGCATGGTGTCAGCGCCTGTAATCCCAACTACTTTGGAGGCTGAGGCAGGAGAATCACCTGGGAAGCAGAGGTTGTGTAAGCCAACATTGTGCCACTGCATTCTAGCCTGGGCAACAGAGTGAGACTCTGTCTTTAAAAAAACAAAAAAAACGCTCTGGTTTGGGATTAGACTAACAAAGAAGCAACTGAAGCAACTATCGCCTAAAAGATGGAAACGATCCTAGTGTTCACCATTTCATGTCTTGGATAGAATGCTCAAAATTTATGATATTTGCACTAGTGATTGAAAAACTAATCCTGGTTCAATTTACTAAATTAATACTTTCAGGAAAACATGGCTAAGAAAACAGAGGAAGAATCAGTTACAGAAAATAAAGCCTCTCCAGACTTTTTGTTTTTTTCGGTGCAAGTAAAGTTCCTAGTATTATCCCTATTCAGGTAGAGGGGGAAAAAAAAAAAAAAGGGTAATCTCTGGCACCTGGGAACCAGTGTGATACAGCAGGGCCATGGTGTTCTGCTGTTGGACAGACACAATCTCATAGAACACAGACAAGGTCACTCTGCAACCAGGATAAAGTAAACTGAAAAGAAGGTCATTGTGTAACCCATAAGATACCAAACATCTCTTTTTCTCACCAAACACGAGTGACTGTTGCTTCTTTGTCAATTACAGCTTTATCCTTGATTTAGTTTGCCTTCCGTATACGTAAGACTTATTGTGATACTGAATTCTAGAATTGTGGTTGCTTTCTGACAGCACTGAATCTAGAGTGAGCCTGTTTCCTTAAGCCTTCCGCCAGATCACTCAACCAAAGCCCAAATCCTGTAATAGATTCTTTCTAACACCCTCTACGGAAACTACCACAGTTCCCCATGGTATTCATGCTCTCTAGTTTCTACCAGTAACAAAACCAACTTGTTCAACAACAGGTGTGTTCCTGGGTGGTCTTTGGCTGAAGGGCATTGACAAGGTTCTTTAATTCTTTGTTCCTTTTATTTGTTTTCTTTCAATAGCTAGGCTTTCTCTTTTCAGGCAAAACAGGAAAACCAGACCAGCAGAGAGGAGAGAGACCAGCAATCAGACCCTCCCAGAGACAATCATTGTTAACATATTGGTGCGGACCTTTCCTAATTTCTTTTCTATAGATATGTTATAATTTTCCTCTTTAAAAATAGAACCAAATTATTCTATTTTTTAGTTGATTTTTTTTTCCAACTTATGACAGCGATGGTTAAATTTTATGCGTTACCTTGGCTAGGTTATGGTGCACAGTTGTTTGGTCAAACACCAATCTAGATGCTGCTATGAAGGTATTTCACAGAGGTAATGCGCATCTACAATCAGCTGACTATAAATAAAGGAGATTACCTTTGATAATGTGGGTGGGCTTCATCCAATCATGTGAAGGTCTTAGAGCCGAAACTGAGGTTTCTTGGAGAGGAAGGATCATGGAAATCTTCCTCAGTTTCCAGCCTGACAGCCTGCAGATTTCAGACTGGGATATAACATCAACTCTTGTCTGGGTTTCTAGCCTGCCAGCCTACCCTACAAATTTCAGACTTGGCAGACTCCGCCAATCATGTAAGCCAATTCCTTAAAATCTCTCTCTCTCTTTCTGAATTCTGTTTCCCTGGAGAACCCTGATGGACATAATGACCACCTTTTGATGTAAACAGAGGCATACAGCTCTATCCTGTCTCTACCATATCCCTTAAAATGAGGCACACCCATCGTATGCTTGCGCTGTCCTTTAACCAACTCCCTATTGACAGACATAAAACAATTTGTTTCTTCTTATTATTAGCAGACCAGAGCATATTTAATTGTCTGAAAGGGAATTAGAAATTTTAAAAGTAGAGGAGAATGAAATCCCCCAAATTCTGAAAGATACTTAACTTTTTTTTTTTTGTCTAAAGGAACAAAAAGGTCATAAAGCTACTCCACAGGGGATCGAAATTACCTGCACCCATGATTGCAATATTCTTTTCAACCAAATTGTCACAGAGACTACACTGCTATTGCCACCATTGTGTTTTCAACCAAATCCAATGAAGCCACTGTAAACGAGGCTATGATAGGACATTCTTGTAATATTTCCTTACATTAAATTCTCAGAAGTGGAATTGCTGAGTCAAGCAATCTGCACTTTTAAAGCTTGAGATCTATAATTGTCCCCTTGGGATTAATTCCAATTCATGTGTTTATTAGATAAAGTTTTTGAGCACCTCCTATATATATGCTGGAGTGTGCCAGGCCTGGAAAACAGAGACAAATAAGCTATATCCTTGGCTTTAAGGAGCTCATGGCCTCTTTCAGTTGCCTTTCTGCCTAGCACAGTGAGCCAACAGAAGGCTCTCAACACATATTTGTTAAATAAATAAGTGGATGAATGAATAAATGAATGAATGCATATCAGTTGGCTTTTCCTGTGTAGCAAACTACCTTATCATAGGCTTAAAATGACAGTTATTATTTTTTATGATCCCATGGGTCAGTTGGGTGGTTCCTCTTGTGTGGGGTATGTGGCTGATCTCCATGGGCAGCTGGTGGCTCGGCTGGGGCTGTATGATCTAGCATGGCCTCACTCACCTATCCGGCATTAAGCAGGCTAACTGGTCCTGAAGGGCTTCAGTTGGGAGGGCTCATCTCTGCTCCAGGTAGCCTCTCATCCTCCAGGTGGCTAACTCAGGCTTGTTCATATGGTGGACTCAGGGTTCCAACGAGCAGCAAACAAGGGCAAGTGCCAAGGTACAGTACTATTCAAAGCTCTACTTGCGGGGCTGGGCACAGTGATTCATGCCTGTAATCCCAGCACTTTGGGAGGCTGATGTGGGCAGATCACTTGAGCCCAGGAGTTGGAGACCAGGCTAGGCAACATGGTGAAACTCCATCTCTACAAAAAATAGAAAAATTAGCTGGTCATGGTGGCCTATGCCTGTAGTCCCAGCTAATTGGGAGGCTGAGGTGGGAGGATCACTTGAGCCTGGGAGGTTGAGGCTTTAGTGAGCTGAGACTGTGCCTCTGTACTCCAGCCTGGGCGACACAGTGAAACCCTGTCTCAAAAAAAAAAAAGAAATCTCTACCTGGGCCACATTTGCTGCTTTCCCATCAATCGAATCAAACCTCACAGTAAGCCCAGAGTGAGTATAGAAGGGTGTGGACCTAGGGTATGGCTCTCGGGAGGAAGATTCAGCGGCATTTTGGCAGTCTGTGCAGAAAAGATGTGCCTTTGCTTCTAAGCTCATGGCCTGTGTCCATTTACCTAGATGTTTAAGTGGGAAACTTGGTTCTTTGTTTTTGAAATTACACTTTGAACCCTGAACTTTTCCGCTACATATGTTTAGCTCTGCCTTCAAAGAAATAACCCAGTGTGTGTGATTCCGGAGGCCGTGGCTAAGAAAACCGTTTCTGGGGCCTCAAATGCATGTTCACCACCGTGTGCTTTGACCTTTTCCTTCACAAGTGTGGCGAATGATAACTCATTGTTGCTGAAGCCACTGGTGACTTATCTGATCTCTCCTCACGAGCACAGATAAAGTTCAATCTTTACCCTGGTCCCCCATCACATAGCCTATTGGCACTTCATTTGCTCAGCACTTGGAAGGTGACTGAATGTAAAATTCCTTAGCATCAATTAAACATTTGGCTCAGGATAGCAATGTGAGAGACCTTTTGGGGCAAAAGGGGTGCCTGTCATTAAAAAAAAAACTGTGCCGATTTTCAAAGAACAGTTGCTAAAAGATCCCTTTACTACCACTTCTAGCCTGGAAATCTCTGCCTGCTGTTAAACACACGTGGCATGTTCGAAATGGGAGAAAATAGCTGGTAGAAATCTCTTGCATTCTTTACTTGAGAGGGCACAGAGGTTAATTTGGGAATAGTTCTCTAATGGAAGCCAGATTGGGGAAAGTTAGGAAACAAATTTAAAAATCATGTCTCCAAAGTAAGTGAGAAAGATGCTTTATTTATTTATTTTGCATTCAAGATAAATAATCATTTATCAAAATTTTGGTGTTTTGTTTGTTTGTTTTTTGAGAGAGACACATTTTTATGGCATGGGCCACCACGTGCATGGGGCTGTCTCGGTCAGTTAAATGAATAGGATGATCTTAATAGCTGCAATTTATTCTCCCTTTGGGGACATCAGGTTCAGAAGACCATTCTATAAGCTGTTTATTCTGGCGTATTTGATTCTGAGAAAGTCTTTTGACGTTTTCATATGGAAAAGCTTCCCTGCGAATGCAGATTCAGCCAAGTTTACCTTCTAAATTCTTCCCTTTCCTGTTGTCACCCACTCCACAAACACCACACACACACATACGCACACACTGAGACCCCACACACATTTGTCTTGTTGCCCTAGGAACAGTGTAGAACAGTGCTTCTCAAATTATCTGGGCATAAAAGGTCAGTTTTTGAGATTTCTTTTTTTGTTGTTTGAGACAGAGTCTTGCTCTGTTGCTCAGGCTGGAGTGCTGTGGCACAGTCTTGGCTCACTGCAACCTCCAGCTCCTGGATTCAAGCGATTCTCATGCCTCAGCCTCCCAAGTAGCTGGGGTTACAGGCGCCCGCCACCACTCCCAGCTAATTTTTGTATTTTTAGTAGAGAGGGGCTTTTGCCATGTTGGCCAGTCTGGTCTCGAACTCCTGACCTTAAGTGATCCGCCCGCCTCTGCCTCCCAAAGTGATGGGATTACAGGCATGAGCTACTGCACCCAGCCAATGTTTGAGATTTCTAATCCATTGCAGACCAATACAGTAAAATACAATTGACATAATTTAATGGAAAAAAATAAAACCAAGGCATACAAAATACGAGCTCAGTGTTTTTTATTATTAGATTCAGCAGACATAAAATCACTCAGTTAAAGTGCTTTATAAGTTTTGAAACACACTCAATGTCTGTATTTAATTAGTTGCAAATCGGTAATAGCCAGTGGACAAGCAGTACCAGTTGGTGGCCCCCACTTACACAGCACCTATCTAGAACAACCCCATTTCAGTGGCCAACCGAGTGCCTAGCAAACGTCCATCCGCATACTCATCCACATATCATTCACGCATTTATCGAGCCTGTGTTCCACACTGGGAGCTCTGTGAGACACAGGTAAAACTACAAACCCATCCCTGGCTGCTGTGATTGGGGAGCCCACGGGTAGCATCTCACCCAAGTGTCAGGGGTCAGGCAAGGCCAGCTAGAGGAGGTGGCATCTAAGCAAAGTCTAGAGAAAGGAGGGAAAATGGGTTATGTGAAGAGAGGGGTTTGGGAAGGTGAAGGGGCAAAAGGAAGAAGTCCTTTCCAGGTAGAGGCAAATGTATTTGCAGATGTCTTGGACTGTTAGAGGCGCAGCAGGTAATTCTTTTTGCCGGGATGCAGAATTGGAGGAAAGGAGAGACGGAGCTGGGGCTGGAGAGCTGGGGCCTTGGTGGGAGCTTTGATGTTGTGTCAAGGAGTAAGGGCTTCCTCCCGGAGAGCACAGGGAGCAGCTGATGGCCTTGGTGGAGAAGCCCCCATCAGTACATGTGCATTTAGGAGGCTTCCTGTGACTGCTGTGTGGAGAGGCTGGAGGCCAGCTATGAGGAGCACAGCCTAGACAGATGCAGAGCCCACAGGGCCCTGAGATAGATTATTTGCAAAAGAGAAAGAAAAGAGACTGGGCACAGTGGCTTATGCCTGTAATCTCAGCACTTTGGGAGGTTGAGGCAGGCAGATCACTTGAGGACAGGAGTTCAAGACCAGCCCAGCCAACATGGCAAAACCCCGTCTTTACAAAAAATAGAAAAATTAGTTGGGTGTGGGGGCACGTGCCTGTAGTCAGCTACTCTGGAGACTGAGATATGAGAATTGCTTGAACCTGGGAGGCGGAGGCTGCAGTGAGCCGAGATCATGTGACTTCACTCCAGCCTGGATGACAGACGGAGACTCCATCTCAAAAAAAAGAAAAAAAAAGAAAAAAAAATAGGGAGAGAGAGAAGAGAGGCTTCAAGGAAGCTCTTGAACACAGAACAATGTAGCGTGTGGGTGTGGGTGTGGGTGTGGGTTGCCCAAAGCTGGCCCAATGAAAAATGGGGTTGAGCCAACCTTCAGGCCAGAGCTTCCTCTACTGCCGGCCTGGCACCATTCACGAACCAACACACAGCCTGGATGGATAGCTTTCCTGGGCCTTCCTTTTAAAAAGTGTGAGTTCTCCTTCATCGAAGTTATAGGAAAGCAATAGAGACTTGACTGAAAGAAAAGGATTCACTCCACACCACATTGGAGAAACAAGCTCAGAACAATAGGTCTGCAATTCTCAAAGTGCTAATTCTTGCCTTCTGGATTTTTTTGTTTGTTTTTAGTTCAGTGGAATTTTTATTTATTTATTTTTTAATTTTTATTTTTTAGTAGGGGAGAACATGAACGCAGTCCCCTACCACCAGAAATTATGTAGTCGAGTTTCCCACATTTGGGGAAATTGCATGAGTCAGCACATCTGGAGTGCAACGGATAAGTCTTGCCCTAGGAAAACCACTTTCATGATCACAGTATCTCCTCTGTCAGGTAGTTAAATTTTTTAGAGACAGGGTCTCACTATATTGCTCAGGCTTGAGTGCTGTGGTATGATCATAGCTCACTGCAGCCTCGAATTCCTGGGCTCGGGGATTTCAAATATCCTCCTGCCTCAGCCTCCAGCCTCCAGGGACTATAGGCTTGAACCACTGTGCCTGACATTAAAAACAAAACAAACAGAAAAACAAATAAAAAACAGCAGCAACTACCCAAAGCTCAGTGTTTGATGTTTGTAACACATGCCTCATCTCTGAGAGGCATGAGATGAGAAGTAACCTCATCTCTGTCTTTGTTGCCCGATGGACACGATGATGGAAGTGCAATGTGTTTGATGCTGAAATCACACAACATATTGCCATCATCAGTTAAGTGATGAATCTAGTACAAATTATTTGGTGTTCAGGAGGGAGTCGAACCAGATTTTGTGGATGTCTCTAATTTTAGATGACAAGGGAGCAATGTTTGGGAGTTTTCAAGGTAGCCAGGCAGAAAGGGAGGTAGTGTGATTTTCACAGGTGGACTCCAGGTCCCCTCTTTCCTCTGGGGAACATCAAGGTACTTACAGGCACCACAAAATCCAGAAGAGCCTGGGACTTGAGAACAGAGCCAGAGTGTGCCCTTCTTTTCTTTTTTCTTTTTTTTTTCACACACACAGTCTGTCTGTGTCTCCCAGGCTGGAGTGCAGAGGCACAATCTCAGCTCACTGCAACCTCCTCCTCCCAGGTTCAAGCGATTCTCCTGCCTCAGCCTCCCAAGTAGCTCGGACTACAGGCGTGTACCACCATGCTCAGCTACTTTTTGTAGTTTTAGTAGAGATGGGGTTTCATCATTTTGGCCAGGCTTGTCTCAAACTCTTGGCCTCAAGTGATCTGCCTGCCTCGGCCTCCCAAAGTGCTGGGATTACAGACGTGAGCCACCACGCTTAGCCCAGAGTGTACCCTTCTGCTGCCATTGTTTCAGGAGCAAATTCAGTTAATTGAAGGACAGTCCTCGGGGTCAGTTCTCAGGCTAGAGTTAGCACCCTGGGAGGATGGTGGATGGGGTGGAGAGAGGGGCTTTTCTAGCTAAATGTAAGCAATGGGCCTGTTCTTTAAATATCCTTGCAGCTGGATTTCAGTGTCTCACCCCTCTGGAGCTGTGAGGACTTCGACTAGATTGTTTTCCTTCAAGAAAAAAAAATTCATGAATTGCTTAAGGCCCTACAATTCTTGTTTCATCTATATATTCCCTATGTCTGCAATTATGACCAACACACAATAGGTGCTTACTAAAAGTTCAATGACTAGATGACCAGGTGAATTGTAATTTCCCCTCTGTTGTCAATTTTTGTTTACCTGGTTTTTGTTTGTTTTCCCCACTTGTTCTCATTCTCCTGTGGGAGCAGAGGTTGCATCTGTCTTCATGAGGACTATTTCCCCAGCACCTAGCGAGGGCCTGGCCCTGAGTCCACGAGGTGGAAGTTGGTTGAATGAATGGATGGAAGATTGTGGAGCAGATGCTAGGCCTTACTAGTGCTCGGCCCGAATACCTACTGCTCGGGGCCTTCTCTGGCTGCCACACCCATGGGGGCAGCCCCCATCTTGTGACTGCATTGGGTATAAATACCCCGGCTCTCACCTGAGACATTCTATGTGACTCCAGAGTTTCCCAGGTGTGAAGTCCCCTTGACTTTCAGAGATGGCAGAGACTTGATGATATTCTCCTTTTTGGTTGCCTTCTCCCACCTCACTTCTCCACTGCTGTTTCCTGGATCACTTACGGAATAAACAAGTTGCACTTGAACCTTCATCTCAGGATTTGCTTCTGGGGTAGCCCAAAGTAAGATGATAGACATCTTATCTCCCAGTGATGACAACCTCATCGGGAGAAATAGTGTATTTTCCCTCTCAACATTTTATTTAGAGGGACTTCAAGCCAAAGAAAAATTGAAAAAATATATACACTTTCAACCAGTCTCACCAACCAATAACATTTCTCCATATTTGCTTTATTTATCTGTCTCCCTCTTCTCTCTGTTTATAGATAGATAGACGATAGATAGATAAGATACATTAGATAGATGAAGCTGTGTGAGAAAGAGAGAGAGAGTCTTTATTTTTATTTTTTGTGGAGATGGAGTCTTGCTTGGTAGCCTAGGCTGGTCTTGAACTTCTGGACTCAAGTGATTCTCCTTTTTCAGTGTCCCAAACTGCTGGATTACAAGTGTGAACCACCATGCCCAGCCTGAGTCTTTATTACTTATTTTAATTTTCTCAGAGGGAATTTGTTTTTATTGACACAGTTGTTCATGCGAAGAATCCTGGATTTCCTCTGGTAAAGTCTGACCAATACAAGGTGGTAATAGTGTCCACCTGTCAGTTTTCATTAATAAAGAAATGACTGCAAACTTCCACAGTCAACATGGACTAAAGCCAGCATGAAATAGAGATTACTCCAACCTCAAAGCTGCAATGTTGCACAATTCACAATAAATGCATTATTAGAGAATCTTTAGACTTTAGAATCTAGAGATTTCAGAGGAAAACTCTCATGTAAATATATATATTACATATATCATTTTCTCCCAGAACATTTGAAAGTAAGTTGCAGACTTCATGGAATTTCACCTGTAAATTCTTTAGAATGTGTCTACCAAAACAAGGAGTATCCTCCTCCATAATCAGAAAGACTATCATCACAGCCGAGAAAACAGACATTGATACAATAATAGTGTCAAATATACAGTCGAAACTCAAATTGCCCCAGTTGTCCCAATAAAGTCCCTGAGAGCCATGGGACACTGTGTCTTCACACTCTACCGCTAGCCCCTTCTGTCACTGGGGCTCATACAACACCTTTCTGAACACAGGACTATCCATTATATGCAGGCCAAATTGGTCAGAATGAAATAGCTTCTCTAGGACCGGAAGATAGAGACGTTTAAGTTGTGCTTCTGGCAGAGGGACAAATATTGCCACCAGACTATGGGGCATGGCAGGGTTCCCTGACACCTAGTTAAAATATCTGAAGGTGCAGAGCTGGGCCCCAGCACAGCTCCCCACCCTCTTCTCCAGAGTCTTTTTCCAGAGAGTCCTGGCCTAGGGAGAGGAATTCCTCCTACAGGTAGACCAAGCTTGCAGCTCTGAGTCCAGTTCCTGATTTCGGATGGTTCTGCCATGACCAGCAACAGACTTGAAATTTTGTTTTAATTGGAAGGAAAAGGAAGTCAGGTCTGAGAACCCAGTGGCTATCCTTGGAATTCAGGACTGGCTACGTAATTTGCCAGGCTCGGTACAAAATGAAAATGTAGATCCTGTGTTCAAAATGTATTGTGAATTTCCAGAGGGTGTGGGCAGAGCACTGTGACAAGCGCAGGGCTCTTCTGAGAGTGGGGCCGCGTGTGACTTCAGAGGTCACAAGTCTGTGACGCTGGCTCTGTGGGTATTTGCGTGCAGCCTGGATTCACAGAAGGCCTTTCTGGACTTTGAAGTAGCGAATATTGACCAAAGGCTTGAAGGTCTTGCGGCACGCGGGAAGAAATTAAGGTGGAAAGACTTAGCCCCATGCCAAACTGGTCAGCAACAATTATAACTCATTATTTCCTCAAGAGAACAGCGTCTACAGTTTTTTGGTTTGTTTTCATGTCAGACAGGTAACGTGCTGACTTCAAAATGAGGTTCGAGGGTGGCATATCTCACACATGAGTGTGAGCACCCGATCATCACACTCAAGAACTACAAAAGGATCTGCAGTTCTTACGAATGCATCTGCAGTTGTCACATATTCACTGTCACCTTGCAGCACAATGTCAGGTCTGGGAGGCATTTCTACGGCATCACACAGGCATTCTCGCGCGTGCTGTAACTGCCCTCTTCTGTTCGGGCTGCTTTGACGTGAGGCCACTCCCCTTCCCTGTTACTCAGGGCAAGCTGCACCCCGCTCCCATCCCTTGATGGCCCCCTTCAGCCTCACACCGCATGGAACATTGCAGAAGCGGTATCAGCAGAATCAGAAGTTGAGATTGCCCATCCCTCCGCCTTGGTCCTTTTCGACACGGATGCAGTTCCCCAAAGAGGAAACTGAGGCACTGTCGGCAGAATAACGCATCACAGTTCTGGAAGAGAAACACGTGTTTGTCCTGTCTGGATGTTCCCCTCTGAAGACCCTGGAGGACAGGCTATTTCAGCACGGAGCCACGACCCTGGGAGGGGGAGAGCAGAGAGACAGAAAAATGATGCCAGGACCTCAGCAGAACTGGGGACAGAGGAGAGACAGGAGAAGGGGATCCAGGGAGACCAGAGCCAGGAGGGGCTCCCAAATGCCCATTTTTATGGACTAAATGATGACTTGTGGGGAAAAAGAAATGTTTTGTGTCTCCCTCTGGACTCTACAAGTAAAAGGCTTCCTTTCTGGGAGTAGCCTATGTATAAATTCCCTTCCAGACTTGATGGGCACGACTAACAGGATAAAGCACAGACCCTTAGTGGCAGCCAAAATAAATGTTATGCCGTGTTTGGGATCTGACAGGGCACCTGGGATAGGTTGAATGCCCAATGCTAGCATGAAGGTGTGTGGCTGAAATCAACTGTGAGTTTGTGTCTTGAATCACCGTCCTCAGTAGGACAAGATATGAAGGTTTCAACAAATGCCTGGAAAAATAAACATTGCCAGAGGGAGAAACTAGGACCTTATTGTCAACAGGAAACGTTTCCTTTCTGGTATGTCTGACCCAGAAGCAGTCTTGTTTGGTATGTGATGCCGACAGTTTCTCTTCCTGGGATGTGATAAAAATAGCCGGGAAGTTGATGTTGACTGAAACCAAAGAGTCTGAGACCCTGCGTCCCTGCTCAGCTTGGCTCCCGGAGAGTGCAACAGTGGCCAAGTCTCAGTACTCAAAGGGTAATGAGAAGAGCACCAGCCTCAGCATCATCCGGGAATTTGTTAGTAATGTAGGATCTCGGGCCCCACCCCAGACTTGCGGCATCGGAATCTGCATTTCCACAAGATCCCCGTGTGACGCAGGTGCTCGTTAAGGTCTGAGCAGTGCTGGTTTAAGCACAGGCTTACAGATGGAAAAGGCCAGGGCTCCATGACCTTGGAGAAGCCATAGAGCCTCTCTGAGCCCATTTCCACTTCCGTAAAATAGGCATAAAAATACAATCTATCAGATAGATTTGTTTAACTTCAGAGTTAAATAAAAGGATATGTATGCAGCTCTTAGTACAGCATCCCCCAGAAAAAGTGTTGGAAGTATTATCATTATTAACCCGATTATTACCTTCTGACCATGTTCTTTTGGGCCAGTCACACTGTTTCTAGGAGCCAGCTAAAGGCACTGTAAACAGTGACCCTCTGTCAAGTTCTTGCTTCATCGTAACCCATTTTCCTTGGCTTAATGATTAGTAGAAGTTCAACAGGTCACAGCTGGAAAGGAAGTTAGAGCTTTCCTAGTGAGTCCAGCCCCTTCATTTCCCACCTGAGAAAACTGAGGCCCAGGGCTTGCCTTGCCTAGGCTCACAGAGCTAAGGGGCTGGCAGTGCCAGGCGACAACCATGTTCTTGAATTCCCTGTCCAGAAACTCCCCTCCATAGTAAAAACAATTAGCTCCTGTGCTTTGGGCACCTCCTTGGTGCCAAGCTCTGGGCTCAGGGTTTACCAAAAGAAGCATCTCATTTAATCTGTGGGTCAATCTTCCATTTCAAAGAGAAGATACTCCTGTATCAGCTCCCAGAGTTAACTAATGTGCCCAAGGCCACAGAGCCAGTAAGGGGTCAGCTGGGGTGTTCCCAGTGGACCCTCCCCTTTTACCCCAGACACCCAGGAAGCAGGAGAGACACACAACGCTGTTAGGCACTTTTGGGTATTGACTTTTATTTTTTGGCCTGGGTGGTAGACACAGGGATATTCTTTTTTTTTTTTTTTTTTTTTTTTGAGACAGCGTCTTGCTGTGTTATCCAGGCTGGAATGCAGTGGCACAATTATGGCTCACTGCAGCCTCAACCTCCCAGGCTCAAGCAATCCTCCCATATTGACCTCCCGTAGCTGGGACCACAGGCATGTGCCATCACCCCTGGCTAATTTTTTAAAATTTTATTTTGTGAGGAGATGGGGGTCTCACTATATCGCCCAGGCTGGTCTTGAACTCCTGGGCTGAAGTAGTCCTCCCACCTCGGCCTCCCAAAGTGCTGGGATTACAGGTGTGTGCCACCAGGCTTGTCCAGGGATATTCATTTTATTATCACTCTTTAAACTGTACACATGCATTATATACATCACATATTGTATACCTGTAACTTAAAAACCAAATAGAAGAGGAATCCTGCAGGCACTTGAATACAATGCTGGGTGGTCTCAAGGCAGAAAGAAGGGGACTTGGGCTTGGCGTAAGAGCAGTAAAAGACCAACCTGGGCTTAGCCTAGGAACCATGCCCTACGGTGCTGGTTAGCACGTGACTCAGGACCAGATAAACAAGCAGGGCTGGAGGCGCTGGGGGCAGAGCTTAACAGGAAGAAGGGGATACAATTTGTCTAAAACTGGGTTATGAAGAAAATAATTTGTCTTTTGTTTCGTAAGTCCCAGGTTAGGATAGGTGGATCGGCTTATTCACTTTTACTAATTTCCCCAGACATCAGTGGAAATGATGCATAATTGTATTAATGGTAGAGTGATTTATGATAGTGGAAATTTGGGAACCACCTAAAAGTCCAACTATAGGGCCTAATTTAATAATGTATGGTGTCTGCATATGAGAGATGGCCATAAAAAGCCATTTAAAAATCATGACGTAGGGACCATAACAAGGACATTAAACACAGCTGTGGCCCTTTATTGCGGGTGCCTCCTGTGCCAGAGTCTGCGCTAAGCACAGAACACTTGTCCTGGTCATTGATTCTCACAGTACACCCCCTATTCCGCAAAGGAGGAAATGGAGCTTTAGAGAGGTGAAATGACTTGGTCAACATCCCACAGCTATGACATGGAAAGATGTTCACGATATTTTAAATTTAAAAAGCAGCTTATAAGGCAGGCTGTGCGGTATACATACACAGTGTCCAGTAACGGGACTGGTGATGTACATTACTTCACGTTGAGCCCAACTGACGGAGAGCTCTATGGCCATTGCAAAAAATGGTGTGTAGATTCCTAATAGCTGGCAACAGAAAGAGTTCATGGCATGGTAAATTTTTTTAAAGACAAGAAAGTATTTACAATATGATTTCATTTAGTGTGTGTGTGTGTGTGTGTGTGTGTGTGTGTGTGTGTGTGTCTAAGCAGTGATTTATTTTTATTTTTATTTATTTTATTTTTATCTCACAGAGTGAGATGGGGTCTCACTCTGTTGCCCAGGCTGAAGTGCAGTGGCGTGATCTCAGCTCACCGCAACCTCTGCCTCCCGGGTTCAAGCGATTCTCCTGCCTCAGCCTTTCGAGTAGCTGGGATTACAGGCACTCACCACCACTCCCAGCTAATTTTTGTAATTTTAGTAGAGACGGGGTTTCACCATGTTGGCCAGGCCGGTCTCAAACTCCTGACCTTAAGTGATCTGCCCACCTCAGCCTCCCAAAGTGCTGGGATTACAGGAGTGAGCCACCATGCCTGCCCAAAGCAGTGATTTTAAACAGAGGGTGATTTTGTCCCTCTGTGGACATTTGATAATATCTAGAGATAGGTTTAGTTATCCCAAGTGGGGGTGGGGAGTGCCACTGGCATCTAGTGGGTGGGAAGACCAGGGGTGCTGATAAATATTCTACAGTTCACAGAACAGCCCCCTGCAAAAAAGATTTATCCCATCCAAAATATCAGTGGTGCCTGATTTTATATATATACACGCATATATATAAATACACTCACGCGCGCACGTACACACGCATGCAGAGAGAGAAAAAGTCTAGAAGGAATATCTCAGAATGTTAACAGTGGTTATCTTTGGGTGTAGGGTGGTTTTTTTAATTCATATCTTTATTTTCTAATGTTTTTTTAACAAGGAGCATGATTAAGTGTGGGGAAAAAATAGAAAATTATATAGCTACAATTGCCTTAGAAACAGCCCAGTTAGAGACAAGCAGCAGAGGGAGGAAGGTTTGGGGGGTAAGGTTTTCCAGGGGTTCGACACAATGCCATGTCAAGCCTCTTGGGGAAACGTTTCCCTGATTCTGCAGTCCACAGAAGCCGCTGGGGAAATAGGTCTGAGCCTGCGGGTCCCTGCGTGAAAAGCCACACCCATCCTCCAGGCGATCGGACCCTGAACAGTGGAGGTGAACTTGCAGGGGCGTGATGTGTACACGAGGGTGTGAGGCCCAGGCTTTGCCACAGTTATTCGTACTGGGCTCTCATACCCCTCACCTGCTCCTCACGCTGTTTGATGGCTCTGTTCGCTCTTTGCCCTTTTCTGGACCAATAGCACTGCAGACTTGGCGGCAGCTCAGTAACCACCTGGGTCACGGCTCCTTATGGGAAATAAAGAGAGAGACAATAGTGTCCTGGCTTAAAACAGAAAGGCTCCACCAGCTGCTTAGCAACTCTTGTGCGGGTTCCCTCCCAGGGCCGAGGAGCAGACATAAACCATCCCATAAAAAGAGAGCAAGAGGGGCCCAGACAATGCCTGGAAACTCACAGAGGGTCCTGGCAATCTTCCTACAAGCTCCATGAAGAACCAGAAAAGGCTAACTAAACAAAGGGCCACCCCCTGGCCCACCTCCTAAACCCTGTTCCTCATCAGGGGGAAGTACAGGCCTCTATCCTGAGCCTGTTACTTGAGTGTCTCAACATTTGAACCAGACCAAAGTTTCCCAGGGATGAGTCTAGCCAAGAACACCTCCTATCCTCCAAGATCCTATCCCTGCTTTCCACCCCATTATCCACGTTCATTTATAAAATTGATCATAGCTGTGCCCAGCTCCTTCTCAGTGCATGCTGAAGAAATCTCTGTCTGGCCAGAACTCTAAAGCACTGTCACATGTCAGAACTGGTGGATTCCTGGGCATGTGACCTTAGGTTAAGGATTGCAAATAGGTCACAAGTCCTACGCCAACTGTGAATGGTTAGAGGTGGCTGCCTGGAGTGTTGTGTTGAGAAGCTCCCAGGGACTTGGTCCAGGAGAGTAGAAAACGTGTTGTGATTGCTGCCCTCTCTCCGTGTGGGTGTTCATGGAGAGCTGTGCCCATGTGCTACTTTATTGTGGCCTCTGTCCTTGGCTGACCTTCTAACCACTTAGTTATTCCCAAATGTATTGGAATTTCTAAACTGCCATACCAACTGGCAATTATTGTCAGTTCTGAGGTGGGTATTTTTACAGATTACCAGCACCAAATAACCTTGGGGACTTACCAAAATGCAGATTCCCGGACCTCATCTGTGTTAGAATACCCTGACAACTTAGCAAAATAGGCAAATTTCTGGGCCGTACTCCCAAGCTCCTAATATAGAATATTTTGGAGGTAGGCATAGGAATCTTTCCTTTTACCAAGCACCCCCAGATGATTTGTATGTACAATGAATCTGATAACCATTAACCTAGGAATGTGTCTGCCTGGGCTGTCACACCTGAGAATATTCCTAAAATTATTACTTTAGATTGGCTTATGGTGGCTTAAAAATATGTCCAATATTCTTTGACACTTTTCCCTTCAAAAGATGAACCTACCAACATGGCAAAACCCCATCTCTATTAAAAATACAAAAATTAGGCGGGCATGGTGGCGGTTGCCTATAATCCCAGCTACTCAGGAGGCTGAGGCACAAGAATCGCTTGAACCCAGGAGGTAGAGGTTGCAGTGAGCCGAGATCATGCCACTGCACTCCAGCCTGGGCGACAGAGTGACGCTCCATTTTTAAAAAGCGTTGGCTGGACTTAGGGACTTACTAAGTGTGGGCTGCACTTAGAGACTCACTTGTAATGAATACTGTGGAGGATCTGACAGTAACATCCAAGATCAGAGCATAAAAGGGGTTTCAACCTCCTCCTGGCTCTCTCTTGGATCATCTGCTCTGAGGGAAGTCAGCTGCCATGTTCTGAGGACACTCAATCAGCCCTACAGAGAAGCCCAGGTGGTGAGAAACTGAGGCCTCCTGCCCACAGCCATGTGAGTGAGCAGCTTGGAGGCCCCACTCACCCCACGTGAGCTTTCAGAAGTATTTAGCCCTATTGATATTTGAGCAACCTCATGAGAGACCTTGAGCCAGAACCACTTAGAAAATCAGCTCCCAAATTTCTAACCCACAGAAACTGTGAGATCATAAATGTGTGTTGTTTGAAGCCTCTAAATTTGAGGGTATAGTCATCCCTTGGTATCTGCAGGGATTGGTTCCAGGACCCCTTCAGATACCAAAATCCATGGATGCTCAAGTTCCTGATATAAAAGGGTATAGTATTTGCCTATAATCTATGTACATCTTCCTGTATATTTGAAATTATCTCTAGATTACTTATAATACCTAATACAATGTAATGTTATGTATGAATAGTTGTTATACTGTATTCTTTTTTATTTGTATTATTTTTATTGTATTATTATTTTCGTTGTTATTTTTTGAATATTTTTGGTCCATGGCTGGTTAAATCCACAGATGTGGAATCCAAGGATAGTGTAGTTTGTTTTGCAGCAATAGATAACTAATACATGTGTAAAAAGTCAGTTTCCATTCATTTCTTGCAGGGCTACACTATTAACCTAATAAGCCACCCTTGGACAAAGTGAACTTAGCCTCCCCCAAGAAGGCTTTATTTTCCTCCAGCCAGTCTCCTGGGCTGAGATATAGAGAATATGCAGGGGGCTGTTCCCAGGCTACCTGAGACCCAGCCAGGCTCTTCTTCCATGCAGCTCAGGGGTGCGTTTGCCCAGAGCTTTGTTTGACATCCCACCTGTGTGTGTATACCCTCTGCCCTGCCTGCCAGTGCTGGCGCTAAGCCCTTAACACAGCTCACAAGGCCTTGAAAATCCAGTCCCAATTTCTCCCCAGCCCCATCTCCCACCATTTCACCTCTCTACATGCCTCCCAGTCCCCCCTGCATGGTGAACACTGGCATCTGAGCCTGCGGGTCTCTGCACATGCTCTCCCCCTGCCCAGGACACCCTGCCGTGCCCTGACATCACCTTCTCTGGAGCGTTCCTCAGCTTCCTGTGTCCCTTCCAGGCAGTATTGATTGCTTCTCCTCTGTTCCACCAGTGCTTTGCACACCCTGGGAACGACAAACCTTATTTTACGGTGTAGTTTTTGGTTTGGGGGTCTAGATGGTAGTTCTTTTAAAGGAGAATGGTTTAAGTGCCCAAAATACGAGCTTGTAGAATTTCTCTTTGTGTCTTCCTCCGGTCTAGCTCGGTGGTTCTCAAAGGTTAGTATACCTAAGAATTATTGTACAGGGAAGATGCAACTGGAATTTACATAGAATTCTGAATTTTAGATAAAACTGGAAGGCTTGGGGCAATTCTGACTTCCCTAATTCGCACCTTATGTGCCTGCATTTGAATGCATTCCTTATAGCGAATCCACTGTCGTAAGGCATCTAGAATGACAGATTGCCAAAGCTGAGAAGAACCTTTAAGATAATGTAGGCCTGTACTTCTAAAAATTTTGTGTTACATCTTCCTTTGATAATATAATGGAAACTACGAATAATCTCACTGGAAAACTTTGGCCACCTGAAATTCCTACATGAATTCCAAGTTCAAAATCCCTGAACAGATTACCAGCACCAAATAACTTTGGGGACTATATCCTTTTATATCAGGAACCTGAGCATCCATGGATTTTGGTATCTGAAGGGGTCCTGGAACCAATCCCTGCAGATACCAGGGGACGACTGTACCCTCAAATGTAAAGGCTTCAAAAAACACACATTTATGATCTCATAGTTTCTGTAGGTTAGAATTTGCGAGCTGATTTGCTAAGTGGTTCTGGCTCAAGGTCTCTCATGAGGTTGCTCAAATATCAACCGGGGCTAAAGACTTCTGCAACCTTTTTTACAGATGAAGAAAATGAGGCCCAGAGGAGGGCCAAGGCCTCAGAGCCCTGTGGTGAAAGAGCTGGGACTGTAATGCAGATCTCTTTACTTTCATGTTTCTGGTTTCTTCCCTTGATCAGGGGCCTCCCTTACAGCACCGTGGGTCAGGGCCAGTATAGCCTCTGCTTGGTGATGTTCAGAGACCGAGAACCCTTCCTTCACTGCTTTAGCCTGCTTGACACTTCATCCAAGTTTGGGCGGTTCAGCGGAAGCCTCTGTCCCTGGGGCCATTTCATCACCCAGAGGGTTCAAGTAGTGGGAAGGTTATGGCTTCCTTGGTCCTCTGAGAAGGGAGGACTGGGCCCAGAGTTTTTGACCACTGATTTGTGGCTGATGAGACTGGCATATCAGACAGACCAGAATTCATTATAAAGAAACTCAAGACAACAGTGAGGGCCAGTAGTAGAGCAGAGAGCAAAGAAATACAGGCTGAAATAAAGTCAAAAAATAGTTATCTGCATGAGCTAGCTAGAATCAAAACAGGTGCTTAAGGATACAGGAAGCTATAGTTGATTGTAGGGAAGATAAGAAGTGTAAGGAGAGAAATGGCCAAGAGCCAAGTGGTTCTCCCAGGAAGCTAAACTGTGAGAAAAATTGCCTATATCTGTCCCTGTAACTAGGTACTATAGAGGTGACTGGTTGATGTCTGTTAGGATAGTTTTGCTTTAAAAGTAAAGCATAAAAAACAAAGCTCCTAAAACTGTCTTGAACCAATAAAGAGAATTTATTAGGTTTTATTTACTTTAAGGTTCAGAGGGAGGTTAGACTTCAGGAATAGTTTGATCAAGGACGTGGCTCAGTTTCTCTGTAAGTTTCTCTGTTCTGCCCTTCTCTGTGCACTGGCTTTATCCTCAGACTGGCTTCCCTCATTGTAACAAAGTGGCTACAGCTGTCCCAGGCCTCATATCTGCACACTATACTCTCAGGAATAAGAGAGAGCTCTCTTTCTTCAATCACCAAACAGAAGTCCCTGAACATCATTCTTATTAATCACTGTGGCAAGGGAGATGAGATTATAATGAAGGACTTGGGCCAATCACAGCTCATCCTGGGGATGAGCTGGCTCAATTGCTTCTCCTCCGGAAGCTGTGAAAGGCAGGGAAATGGATTCTTCCCAGAAGCCTCCAGAAGGTACCAGCCCTGCCAATACACTGATCTCAAACTTCAGACCTCTAGGACTGCAAGAGAATAAATTTGTGTTGTGTTAAGCCACAAAATTTATTACAGCAGGAATAGTAAACTAATACAGATTTAATTCCCATGAAACTTTATAAAGTACACACTACTGTCATCATTTCCATTTTACTTATGAGGAAACTGAGCCTCAGACCAGCTAAGTAACTTTCCCAGCAGTTAAGTGGAACTCATACAAACCCTGAGCTACTACACATCAGAGCTGGGCCGGTGGAGGGTGGGGAGGCCACCACAGTGCTCATTCTGTGGATTTAAGGGGGCCATGGCACTATCTACTAGAATTCTGACAGCTGTTATTTTTTATTTTTATTTTTTTATTTTTGAGACGGAGTCTCGCTCTGTCGCCCAGGCTGGCGTGCAGTGGCACGATCTTGGCTCACTGCAACCTCCACCTCTCAGGTTCATGCCATTCTCTTGCCTCAGCCTCCCGAGTAGCTGGGACTACACGCACCCGCCACCACGCCCGGCTAATTTTTATATATATATATTTTTTAATAGAGACGGGGTTTCACCGTGTCAGCCAGGATGGTCTCGGTCTCCTGACCTCGTGATCCGCCCGCCTTGGGCTCCCAAAGTGCTGGGATTACAGGCGTGAGCCATCGCGCCCAGCCCCCTGTTACCTTTTTTAAAGGTCCTGGTTTGGTATGGTCCACACTCCATTTCTGGAGATTTCTTTTGACTCCTTCTTCAGATGTGACTGAGCCCCTCTGAGTCCTACCTGCTCCTCTTGCAAGTTTGGGAACCTGGCACTGAAAGATGCGGATTCAGTGTTTAGAAGTCACAGAAAATTAGGACAGGAAGGGATCGTTTGAAGTCATCTGATCCAACTCCTCATTTCAATTTTTTTATAGAGGTGCTTCCCGTCTGGACTCCAAATCCTGTGGTCTTTCTCTGACCCAGTGGGAGGCTCTAGAGTGTAAGGTTTAGGAGGCCAGTTTTGACATAGTGCTGCCACTTAACTGCTGGGAAAGTTACTTAGCTGGTCTGAGGCTCAGTTTCCTCATAAGTAAAATGGAAATGATGACAGTAGTGTGTACTTTATAAAGTTTCATGGGAATTAAATCTGTATTAGCTTACTATTCCTGCTGTAACAAATTTTGTGGCTTAACACAACACAAATTTATTCTCTTATAGTCCTAGAGGTCTGAAGTATGAGATCAGTGTATTGGCAGGGCTGGTACCTTCTGGAGGCTTCTGAGGAGAATCCATTTCCCTGCCTTTCATAGCTTCCAAAGGCTGCCTGCATTCCTTGGCTTGTGGCCCCTTCCTCCATCTTCACAGCACATCACTTCATCCTGTTTCCATAGTCACATCTCCTTTCTTCGTCTTTGATCCTCCTGCCTCCCTGTTATAAGGAGCCTTGTGATTACATTGGTCTCACCTGGATAATCCAGAATAATCTCTCCATTTAAAGAGCCTTAACTCAATCACATCTTCAAAATTCCCTTTGCTATGTAAGAAAACATATTCACAGGTTCTGGGTATTGAAATGTGCACATCTTTTTGGGGCGGGGGCAGAGGTTGCTTTATTCTGTTTATGATAAAGTAACAACTAATGTAAAAGCATTAATTGCATAGCACCAGGTATGGAATAAGCATTCAACAAATGGCATTAGTATCATTTAGGGACCACCTACTAGTGCCCATAATCAAAATAGATATAGTTTTTGCCTTTGTGTCTTTGTGTCTTATCCAGTGTCCATAAGCCAAGGAATGCAGGCAGCCTTTGGAAGCTGTGAAAGGCAGGGAAATGGATTCTCTCCAGAAGCCTCCAGAAGGTACCAGCCCTGCCAATACCCTCATCTCATTTGATACTAATGCCATTTGTTGAATGCTTATTACATACCTGGTGCTACGCAATTAATGCTTTTACATTAATACTTTATCGTAAACAGAATAAAGCAACCTCTGCCCCCGCCCCAGGTGATTCTATCAGCCAGCCTTTCCTGTGTAATCAACTACCCTAAAGCTTACTAACGCAAAACAACTACCATTTATTTAGCTCTCAGTTTAGTAAGTCATCAGTTTCAGTTCTTCTGGTCTGGTCTGGGTTTAGCTAGTTTCCACTGGGCTCCCCCATGGTCACTGGGGCTGCTGGTTTATAATGGTCTTGGCTGGAATGAATGGGGCCTCTCTCCAAGTGTTTTTTTTTTTTCACCCAACAGGCTAGCCCAGGCTTGTTTGCATGTTGGTGGAAAGGAGCAACAAGAATAGTGAGACCTCTTAAGTCCTAGGCTTCGAACTGACACGTTGTCACATCCGCCACTTCTACGGATCAACAAAAATCACAAGGTCAGCCCTGATTCAAGGGCTTAGAAAATAAACTTAATCTCTGATGAGAGAAGTAGTATTGTGTCCCTTTTTACAATCTACCACAATGACATTGCAGGGAAGAGAAAGGAAGCATTGAAGTTGCATGCCAGTAGAATAGTTACTAGGGAAGAATTTCCCTCTGGAAAGTTCCCCAGGAAGGGAGGCAACAAGGCTTCAACAACCTGTTTAGGAGTGGCCCTGGGGTGGCTAATTATTCTTGTGCTCTCTGTGAAGGACAACACATTAGCATATTTCTTTCTCAGTGTGCTAAAATGCCAGGCCCCAAGATCTCTATTATAAATGACACAATTAAGTCCTTGGCAAGAAAAAGTCAAGTTCACCAGCCTCTCTTCTGTTTTTCAGAAAGCTAGTAGGACAAGCAGAGTTACTACACCAAAGTCCACACGAGTGACAAAAACACAGATTTTGAGAAATTGAGAGAAGTCATTGGAACATTAAATTCCTTTAAAACAAAGGCTTCTATTTGTCATTAGCAAATGTAGTGAAAAAAAGCAGGATGTAAAACAGTTGATCCAGCCTTATCCTAATTCTTTTAAGAGAAAAATATTTACTTATATGTAGGCCTAGAAAAATGATTGGAAAGACATATATGTATGTGTGTGTATATATATATATTTATATATATCTCACAATATTAACAGCAGTTAGATATCTTTGCTGGGATTAGAGATGACTTTTTTCTTTCTACTTCTCCGAAATTTCCTAATTTCTATAATAAACCTGAATTACCTTAGTAATCAGGAAAAAATTTAATTAAAAAAAAAACCCACAATGGATTCTTTTTTTTTTTTTTTTTTTTTTGAGACGGAGTCTTGCTCTATTGCTCAGACTGAAGTGCAGTGGCTCTATCTGAGCTCACTGCAACCTCCGCCCCCCGGGTTCAAGCGATTCTCCTGCCTAAGCCTCTCAAGTAGCTGGCTGGGATTACAGACGCATGCCACCATGCCTGGCTAATTTTTGTATTTTTAGTAGAGATGGGATTTCACCATGTTGGCCAGGTTGGTTTTGAACTCCTGACCTCAAGTGATCTGTCTGCCTTGGCCTCCCAAAGTGCCAGGATTACAGGCGTGAGCCACCGCGCCCAGGCCACAATGGATTCTAATTGCTTCAACATTTTAAAAATGAAGCCCTAAGTTATTTGATTATGTTGTTAATGGTATTTGCTGGAATTGGGACTTTCATATTTTTCCCTTTAAAATTATCCTGGGGCACTAAGTTACACATGTAGGTCTTGAACTCCTAATTTCAAGTTTATAAAATGTATTAATTAGTGCAAGTGCCTTTCATTTGTCCAATCTCTCAATTCTCTAGATGCTGGGAGCTCAAAACTCTTTAGCAAGTTAGGTACCCAGAGGCCATTCCACTGACTTTTTTTGAACAAATTACTCTACAGAGCTGTGATTTAATATCTTGCTCTCAGCTTTTATCAGGGGTCGATGCTGATATACCGAACAGGCCTGCAAAGAACATTTCTGCATCTTTTATAGAACTACTGCCAAAGGCCTTTTCTTTTATTTGGTTCACACTCCTTTCTACAGAGATCCCCTCAGTCAATTCCCCTTGTGTACCTTATGAGGAAGTTTGGTTTCTATAGTGCACTGGTGTGGTTCGTGTTAGGGAACCTTGAGATGAGGTCATTTATCTTGTTTTCCTTTTGCCTTTGCTGCTGGGAAGCTTAGAATCAAATTTTGTGCTCAATGAAGGCAACTATCCTTAACCAAGGTTTTCTATCTTGCTGAATAGTACCACCATCTATCCATCTCACTGAAGCTAGAAATTCCAGACAACATTCTAGAATTTTCTGCTGTCTTGCAGTTATTACCAGATGAAGGCATTCAGGAAATGTCACCCCAAAACATGCTGGTTTGGTATTCTGATTGCTTTGGCCTGAGGGCATTCAGGGAATAGCAATACAGGCAGAGCTTTCTCTGGGTTCCCTTTATCTGCCTAAAGTGGACTCCCCAAAAGAAACTCAGTGGTCATGAATCCCCTCCCTGGACTCTCATCAACCAGGGAAGATTGGCTCCTATCACAGGAGAGGGGACAGGAGGTCGATGCCATGCCAAGACAGACTTTGTCACAGGTTGTTGTGTATTCTTCTGAGGGCCCATTTATCTTTCCCCCAAATCATCCATTTTCCCTTAAGTTGCCAAAACCCCCTCCCCTGTCATACATGAAGACAGGATCTAAACTTCTAGATCTTACTGGATTTGGGGGTATTCACTTTTCTTTCATGTAATGCCTCTGTGCATGTAATCAATGTGTTCACCTTTTCTTCTTTAGTATTAGTCCATTCTCCCATTGCTATAAAGAAATACCTGAAGCAGCCTGGCCAACATGGTGAAATCCCATCTGTACTAAAAACACAAAAATTAGCCGGGCATGGTGGTGCATGTTTGTCATCCCAACTACTTAAGAGACTGAGATATGAGAATTGATTGAACCCAGGAGGCAGAGGTTGCAGTGAGCAGAGATTGCGCCACTGAATTCTAGCCTGGGCAACAGAGTGAGACCCTGCCACAAAAACAAAACAAAACAACAAAAAAACCCTGAGACTGGGTAATTTATAAAGAAAAGAGGTTTAATTGGCTCATGGCTCTTCAACTGTACAGGAAGCATTATGCTGATGTCTGCTTGGCTTCTGGGGTGGCCTCGGGAAACTTACAATCATGGCAGAAGGCAAAAGGGAGTCAGCAGGTCACATGGCGAAAACAGGAGCAAGAGAGAGAGGCAGGAGGTGCTACACACTTTTAAACAACCAGATTGCTTGTGAATTCACTCACCATCTCTATCTTGAGGACAGTACCAGGGGGATGGTACTAAACCATTCATGAGAAATCTGCCCTTATGATCCAATCACCTCCTACCAGGCTGTAGGATATAGTAAATTCCTCTTCCAAGTTTAGCCTGTTAACTTCCTTTAAAATTCAAGAGGGAGAAAAATTGTTAAGTACAATAAGTTCTGAGTTCTTCTTCAAAGAACCAATATGTCAGTACGTTCAGCTTCCCTGTTCTTTGTTCTCCATTTTAAAGCTAACTTCCTCGTTCTTTACCTTCCTTGCCCGTAGTTTCAGTAAACAACCCCCTCCTAGCCTCTATCACCTGTTCTGTCCTTAGGCATCCTTAGTCGCCTGTTCTGTCCTTAGTAATCCTTAGTCACCTGCTCTGTAACTGTCCCTCCCGCCAAAACTACTCACCCCACCACTCTGGCTCATACCCTTGCTCTCTTTAAAATAGCCAATCAGAATTAGCTTAGACTGTGCTGTCCAACCCTAGCCAATAGGGGAAAGACACAACAGTAGGGGCTACCTGTGTCAGGAATAAGAACCCCTTCCCCTCCATCGTCCGGTGTGCTCTCGCCATTGCTCCATCTGTGAGACGCACCCTTCTATAGAAGTAAATTGCCTTGCTGAGAGAACTTTTGCCTGAGTGCTATTTTCACTTGGCAGCACCGAGCATTTACTTCCAACAAGGCCCCACCTCCAACATTGGAGATTACAATTCGACATGAGATTTGGACTGGGACACATCCAAACTATATCACCTGTTCATCTGCCTACTATCAGCTGATTTCATAGATGCAATTATCAAGTGCCTCATAGGGTAGAGGGAAAGTCTGCCCTCTCCTACACAATCCTGGAGCATTTTCCTTCTAAGGATCTCTCCAGTGTGTTCACCACTCTGTATTCCTATAGTCTCCTTTTAGTTCAGCCATCATTTTATGCTTGGATTGCTCAGTATTTCCTAACTGTACTTCCTGAATCTCATCTTCCCCATTCCTACAAAAATCTTCTCCCCAAAATGTCCACCTTCCATACCAAGATGAGCAAGTGGTCTTTGTAACATGCCAATCTAATCTGGCAAGTTAAAAATCTTTCCTCACGCCTGTAATCCCAGCACTTTGGGAGGCTGAGGCGGGTGGATCATGAGGTCAGGAGATCAAGACCATCCTGGCTAACGTGGTGAAACCCCGTCTCTACTAAAAATACAAAAAATTAGCTGGGCGTGGCGATGGGCGCCTGTAGTCCCAGCTACTTGGGAGGCTGAAGCAGGAGAATGGCATGAACCCGGGAGGCGGAGCTTGCAGTGAGCTGAGGTCGCATGCCACTGCGCTCCAGCCTGGGTGACAGAGCGAGACTCCGTCTCAAAAAAAAAAAATCTTTCCTTGTGAAGTGTTAACTCCTTCACTTCTCTCTCTTTCTTTCTTGTTTTTGAGACAGAATCTCTCTCTGTTGCCCAGGCTGGAGTGCAGTGGTGCGATCTTGGCTCACTGCAACTTTCTCCTCCTGGGTTCAAGCAATTCTCGTGCCTCAGCCTCCCAAGTAGCTGGAATTACAGTCATGCGCTACCACGCCTGACTAATTTTCATATTTTTAGTAGAGACGGGGTTTCACCATGTTGGCCAGGCTGGTCTCGAACTCCTGAGCTCAAGTGATCTACCCACCTTGGCCTCTCAAAGTGCTGGGATTACAGGCATGAACCACCGTGCCCGGCCTCCTTTGCTTCTCTTGCATAAGTCTCTATCTGCTTCTCTCAACTCTCATCTTCCAGCTTTTTACTCCAGCCATACAAGCTGTACTCTCCCTTGTCTCTGGGATTCCATTTTCTCAGTTGCTTTTCTCTCTTCTCCAGCTCCTCTTTGGCATGGTTCATACCATGGATTTTGCTTCAGAGTTTATGACTAAAGCCTTCCCTGGTTCCTTCTGTCATCTGAGACCGGTTAGGTATTCCTACTGTGAGTCCCCAAAGTTGTCCGCACTTCCCCTAACATAGCACTTGCCATGGTGAATTGTAGGGTAGGTTTCCTTTTCTGTCTCCTGCTCTAAACTGTAAGACCCAGGAGGGCAGGTTCTAGGTCTACCTCCTGTTATACCTTCAGGGCCAGCATAGCACCTGGTCCACAGTAGATGCTCACTAAGTATTTGTTAAAAGAATCAATCAATAAATAAACTAGTGTTTTGGCACTAAAAAAAAATCTTCCTCCCCCCACCTCCTCTCCTCTACCCTCATTATTTATCTATTGTTTGTCCCTATTGTTTTATATTTCTGCTTCCATAAACCAATCTGTAAATTTTTTTTCAAAAATGGCCACAATGTCCCACTCCTTGCAGCATGACCTTATCAAGAGGTGGCACCTATTTTCCCACCTCTTGAATCATTGCTGGCACCCCCATGGATAATACGCAGCTGATTGAGTGTGTGGCCGACTGCATCTGTCCTTGCATGTTTCTGCTCCCTCCCTTGGAACTGCACTGCTGCCATGTGAACAAGCCTGAGCTAGCCTGCTGGATGGTGAGAGACACAAGGCTGAAACTCCACCATCACCCCAGCCAACAGCCTGCTGGCCTCCAGATGTGTAAGTGAGGCCATCGAAGACTAGACAGCCCCAGACAACCTGTCACTGATGTTAGATGTCTGAGTGAGCCCAGTGGAGGTCAGCTCCGCTGGACCCAGATCAGTGGACATGCCTAATTTGAGAAATAGACTTGAGAGCAATAACAAAGGCTTGTCTTAAGCCCCCACATATCAAGGTGGTTTCTTATAGTACACCTTGCTATCTTTCCTGGAAACTGACCTCAAGTGACACCATCCAACACACAGGGAGACATTTTGAAGCCTCCAGAGGGTTAGGGTCAACCTGGTCCTCTTTTTCTCCAGCAACTTGGGGCACACACCCCAAATCTGTTTTTTGTTTGTTTGTTTTGTTGTTTTTTTTTTTTCTGAGACAAGGTCTCACTCTGTTGTCCATGCTGGAGTGCAGTGGTGAGATCATAGCTCACTGCAGCCTCAAACTACTGGGCTCAAGCTATCCTCCCACCTCAGCCTCCCGAGTAGATGGGACTACAGGTGCGTGCCACCGTACCTGGCTAACTTTTAAATTTGTTTTGTAGAGATAGGGGTCTTGCTATGTTGCCCACTCTGGTCTCAAACTCTTGGGCTCAGGTGATCCTCCCACCTCAGCCTCCCAAAGTGCTGGGATTACAAGTGTGAGCCACCGCAACCAGCCCCGAATCGTTTTTTAAAGACAGAATTATAAAGTGTGCCCCAATTTTTAGATGATCAAATTCCTCTTACATCCTTCTCATCTCTGCTTTACTTCTTCTAGCCCTTTCTTCTGCCCTAAAAAGCAAAATGAAACTGAATTTAATTTCTCTTCCCTGGTCTCAGAGTGTCTGCATTTTGCTTGCATTGGGATCCTTTCAACTAGCCCAGTGACTGGCTCTGAGTTCGGTGTGGCCTGCTGCTCATAACTGGCTCCTCCATGACCTCCGGCAAATGACTTAATCTCTCTGAGCCTCAACTTTTCTCATCTGTAAAATGGGCTGAGGTGGGAGGATTGCTTGTGTCCAGGAGTTTGAGGCTGCAGTGAGCTATGATCTTGCCACTGCATTCCAGCCTGGGTGACAGAATGAGACCCCATCTTCAAAGATAAAAAGTAAACAAAATAAGAAACCGAGAGCCAGTTGCTCAGGCTAAGGTCTGACGCTTACCAGCCAAGGGATATTGGCCAGGTCATTTAGAAGTAGTCAGCTTTTAGGGCTTTTAGAGAGGTGCTTCTCAAACTTCAAAGTGCAAGATCCTTAGGGGATCTTGTTCAAATGCAAATTCTGATTCAGTGTGTAGGTGCTATGGTTTGAATGATGGTGTCCCCTCCAAAATTCTTGTTCAGAATTAATCTGGCCAGGCACAGTGGTTCATGCCTGTAATCTCAGCATTTTGGGAGGCTGAGGCAGGCGGATCACTTGAGGTCAGGAGTTTGAGACCAGCCTGGCCAACATGGCAAAACCCTGTCTCTACTAAACATACAAAAATTAGCTGAGCGTAGTGGCAGGCACCTGTAGTCCCAGCTACTTGGGAGGCTGAGGCAGGAGAATCACTTGAGCCTAGGAGGCAGAGGTTGCAGTGAGCCGAGATCATGTCATTGCACTCCAGCCTGAGTGACAGAGCGAGACTCTGTCTCAAAACATAAATAAATAAGTAAATAAACAAAATTAATCCATAATGCAAGAGTATTAAGAGGTGTAGCCTTTGGGAGGTGATTAAGTCATGAGGATGCCACTCTCATGAATGGGATTAGCACCCTTATAAAAGGGCTCAAGGTTGAAAGGGATGCTCTTTTGTCCTTCCATCCCTTGCGCCATGTGAGGACATAGCATTCCTCCTATCTGGAGAACACAGTGTTCAAGGCATCACCAGATACAAAGACCGATGGCACCTCCACCTTGGACATCCTGACCTCTAGAATTGTGAGAAGTAAGTTTCTTTTCTTTTTATTTATTTTTTTTTTCATTTTGAGATGGAGTCTTGCTCTGTCACCCAGGCTGGAGCACAGTGGATGTGATCTCGGCTCACTGCAACCTCCATTCCCCAGGTTCAACCCATTCTCGTGCCTCAGCCTCTCGAGTAGCTGGGAAACCAGTGCGTCAGGCTAATTTTTGTATTTTTAGTAGAAACAGGTTTTCCCCATGTCGGCCATGCTGGTCTTGAACTCCTGGCCTCAAGTGATCTGCCTGCTTCAGCCTCCCAAAGTGCTGGGATTAAAGGTGTGAGCCACTGCACCCAGTTAGAAGTAAGTTTCTATTGCTAGTATATTATCCAATTCGTGGTATTTTGTTACAGCAGCACAAACAGACGAAGACAGTTGGAATGCTGTGGGACCTGAGCTTCCTCATTTACACAAGCTGCCAGGTGATGCTTGTCACTGTTAGTAACTGGCTGCTGTTCAGTGACAGGAGCACCCAATGGCGTGGCTGTAACCCTGGCTGCACATTAGAATCACATAGGAAGCTCCAATCACATTCCATGTCAGGTCCCACCCCTGCAAATCTTGATTTGATTGGTTTAGGGTGGGGTTGAAGCATTGGAAGCTTAGAAACTCTCCCCTAGTGATTCTGTTGTGCAACCAGGATAGAAAACCACTGGCTTGGTCCATACTCCTCGTCATCTACGGCTTTAGGTAAGGGAACTATATAATTTATTGTCCAAGCTGGAGCACATTTTATTTTATTTTATTTATTTTTTAATTTTTATTTTCTAGATGGAGTCTTGCTCTGTTCGCCCAGGCTGGAGTGTAATAGTATGATCTCGGCTCACTGCAACCTCAGCCTCTCAGGTTCAAGTGATTCTCTTGCCTCAGCCTCCCCAGTAGCTGGGATTACAGGCGCCCGCCACCACTCCTGGCTAATTTTTGTATTTTTAGTAGAGACGGGGTTTCACCATGTTGGCCAGGCTGGTCTCAAACTCCTGGCCTCCAGTGATCCGCTCACCTTGGCCTCCCAAAGTGCTGCGATTACAGGCCTGAGCTACCACACCCAGACTGGAACACGTTTTAGAGAAAAAGAAGTCTCAGATGATAACCACACAGGTTCAGCAGGTGTAAACCAGGGTTGTCCTGGGCAAATCTGGATGCATTAACCGTAGCTTTGTGGGGTCCCAGCCTTGCCCAAGGTCACAAAGGTGATTAGTGGTAGAGCCAGGACTTGAAACCAAGTCTGGTGGCCCTCAATTAAGTTCTCATTTCACTTCCTTGTTACCTTAATTATTCAGTCTCTGAAATGGGAATAAGAATGTTTATCTTGTCAACCCAAATCTAGGGTGACTATGGCTATAAAAGGAGGCCATAATCCATGTAAATGTGCTTTAAAAAGTCAAGCAGCTCTACGGAATTGGAAGGCATTTGTATTACTGTGAGTCTGTGGTATTTCCTGTAAACTAATGATGAGCTCCAGAGGCTTGATGAGATTCAGGTTCATCATTTGTGGCAAGACTCTTATAAATGGTGCCTGTACTTGCCGTTGCATCCCATTGAGAGGTTTCTGATGTCATAATATCAGGTTGTATCTGTCACCGATATACATTGTAGTATTCAAAAGTGAAATGAGCCGGGTGCAGTGGCTCACACCTATAATTTCAGCACTTTGGGAGGCTGAGGTGGGAGGACAGCTTGAGGTCAGGAGTTCAAGACCAGCTTGGGCAACATAGCGAGACTTCTGTCTGTACAAAATAAAGAAAAATTAGCCTGGTGCAATGGCACATACTTGTAGTCCCAGCTACTCGGGAGGCTGAGGTGAGCGAATAGCTTGAACCCGGGGGTTTGAGGTTGCACTAAGTCATGATCGTGCCACTGCACTCCAGCCTGGGTGACAGAGTGAGATCCTGTCTCACAAAAAAAAAAAAAAAAAAAAAAGGAAAAGAAAAGAAATGATCACCTGTCAATAGCCATCCCCAAATGGGCTGTGAGTGATGGCACTGCGTCAATGTAGGTTCATCAGCTGTAACAAATGTGCCACTCTGGTACATGCTGATAGTTGGGGGGGCTGTGCATGGGGAGCAGGGGGTATGTGGGAACTCTCTGTACTTTATGCTCAAGTTTGCTGTGTACCTGAAGCTATTCCTACTCTAAAAAATAAAGTATATTACACAATTGCTTTTATTTTGTTTTGCTTTTTGAGATGGAGTCTTGCCCTGTCCCCCAGGCTGGAGTGCAGTGGTGCAATCTCCACTCACTGCAACCTCTTGCCTCCCAGGTTCAAGCAATTCTCCTGCCTCAACCTCCCAAGTAGCTGGGATTACAGACACCCGCCACCATGCCCAGCTAATTTTTTATGTTTTTAGTGGAGACGGGGTTTTGCCATGTTGGCCAGGCTGCTCTCAAATTCCTGACCTCAGGTGATCCGCCCACCTCAGCCTCCCAAAGTGCTGGGATTACAGGCTTGAGCCACCGTGCCCAGCCTCCAGCTAATTTTTTAAATGTATTATTAGTGGAGACAGGGTTTCACCGTGTTGGCCAGGATGGTCTCTAACTCCTGACCTCAAGTGATCTGCCAGCCAATTGCTTTTAATGATCCAAGGAGGGATGAAAAAGGGGGCTGGGGCAGAGAGAGAGAGAGAGAGAGAGAGAGAGAGATGAAATAAGAATGGCAAAATATGGTTGTTGAAGCTGGGCAATGGTACATGGGGTTCATTGTGCTATTCTCTCCTGTACATTTGAACATTTCTGTAATGAAAATTAAACGGAAGAAAACACTACTGAGGAATGCCCCTAAGAAGATGCAGCAGACACAGTTGGTTGCTTGTAACTCAATATTCACTTTCTGACACCCCTCCACCCACAGCTGGTTGGACACTTGACCAGGCTGAGCCAATCAAATCTGTTTTCACCAGAATTTTAAATAAGAGTAAAAATTCTAGACTAGCTGTTGCTGGGCACCAGAGCTACAAACTTACATGGGGTTATGATCAGTGCAAGCTAAGTAATGGGGCAGCACAAAACAGAAGTTTATGAAATGAGTAAGCTGAGGAAGAGGAGAGGAGAAAGAGAGGAAGAGCAAGAGAGAAAAGGGGAGAGGGTGAGACAAAGGAAGGAGGGAAGGGAAAAGCAGGGGGAGAGAAATGGGTCCGGAGTGGGGGAATGAAGAGTAAGTGTGTGCAGAGAAAGTGAAAGAGTTTAGTTGGTTATAGTGCTCCCCGCCAAGGTATGTTCACCCAGAACCTCGGAATAAGACCTTATTTGGTGCACACTTACTAAGAACCAGGAAGAAAAAAAAGAAAATAACAAATTTAAAAAGAAAAAGAAAAAATACCTTATTGGAGAAAAAGGTCTTGGCAGATGTAATTGAGTTAAAGATCTAGAGATGAGATAATCCTGGATTTAGGGTGGGCCCTAAATCCAATGACTGGTGTCTTCATATGGGAAAGGACGGAGACATGACACCCAGAGACACAGCGGCGGGGCCATGTAAAGATGGAGGCAGAGATTGGAGTAATGTGGCCACAAGCCAAGAAATGCCAAGGATTGCTGAAGCCACCGGAAGCTGGGGGAGGCAGGGGACGGAGGCTGCTTTCTCAGAGCCTCCAGAAGGAACCAACCCAGCCAATACCTTCATTTTGGACTTCAGGCCTCCAGAACTGTGAGAAAACAAACTTCTGTTGTTTGAAGCCACCCAGTTTGTGGTGACTTGCTATGGCAGCCCTAGGAATCTATTTCATCCTAAGAGAGAGGGAAAGGACAAGAGGAGGAGGAGGGAGGGCAAGGGAAGAAAGCAAAAGTGAAAGCAGGAAGGAAGAGGAGAGAGAAAATCGAAGCAGAGGCACAGAGAGAGGTGAGACCGTGGCCTGCTCCTCCCCACAGTACCTGCCCCTGGACTTCCTTGTTCATCTGACGACCGGGCCTTAGGTGCCTATCGTGACATTACCTCCTCACCTTCCACCCTTTTCCTTGAGTGTGTCTACTCCTCACATCCTGGTCTTAGCAAGCCCCCTAGGGAGGGATGCAGCCCTGCAGTTGAGCTCCGTCACCTAGGCAGCCCTAGGCTGGCACTGGGGACAGGGGCAGGGATGCTGACTGAGGCCAGATGGCTTCCAGTGGGGTGGCTGCTGCCAGCAGTGCATATGGGATGCATGGGGAGGGCGTGCTGGTGACAGGCGGCTCTTCACTCCTTGCATCCCTCCATCTCACTGCAGAGGTCCCCCGGGACCCTCTCCAAATGCTGATGAGCCCCACCAAGGGCTGCGTGGCCCCCTCTGAAGTTGGTACCATCAGAGTCTCCACCTCGAATGCTCCAGAACAAAGGCACATCCTTGGGGATTCTATAAAGACTAAGTCTCTTGCTCTCTACCTCTGTCATGTCACGTTATTTTTTATTCGCCACCATAGCCAATATTTTCAAAGCCCTCCTTCTGTGCCAGGTGCAGTACCAAGTGCTGTACAGGCATTGTCTTCGCGGATGCACCTGCTGCGACCTCACATTAAAAGGAGAAACGGACGCTGATCAGGGAGGAAAAGACCCTGCCCGAGGACCCTGGAAGGTGAGAGCCAGGCTCAGAATGTGACCCCAAGGGCTGCCCTTTACCCCCTGTGCTCTGCTGCCTCTCTGTGTGCATGCCTTGAATGAGGATGATCCTCGACTCCAATGTGTTTCCACATACTCAATTGTTAGTGAAATAACAGATTTTTATAAGCTGTTAGCTGGGAAAATGAGGAACTGAATGGTTCTTCCCTGGGCTTCTCAGCCCCAGGAGTTCTCTTCCGTTCATAGCAACTACACCCAGCTGTCTCCATGAGGAGCGCTAAGGAGGGGTGAAGGGAAACAGTGGGAAGGAGGAGGTTTAAATGCACTCTGATGGGAATGTCTGGGAAACAAAGCCCAGGCATGAGCTTACTTCTTTACTTCCTTTCTGCTCTTCCCCCGGACTTTTTTGGGTCTGTATTAGAGCTCATCCCAGTTGCCCTGAGTCTCCCTGCCAACCTGGGACACCCCCATCCCAGCCTTGCCCAGGCTGCCATTAGCGTCACAGATGGTGTGGGGCCCTGGGAGAGTCAACTTCCCCTCTCTGGGCCTCACTGTCCTCATCTCACAAATCAAGACAATAATAATATCTACCTTAAAATCATACCTTAAATATGTGCAGTGTACTGTATGTCAAGTACACTTTAATCAAGAGGTTTTCAAAAGCACAGCACTCTGTGGTTTAGGGGTGCCTGCTTAGGTGTCTTCAACAAAGCAAGGAAGCTATTACCAACTGGGAGGGAAGAGGTGGTGGCCTGGACAGGATGTGAGGCCCCTGGGATATGGACAACTTACCTGGACCTGGGCAGTGAGGAAGCAGATGTTAGTTGATAATACTTTGTTAAACTCTACATTTATGCTTTTGGTGTTTGTGAATACAAATTTTTTTGTTTTTTGTTTTTTGTTTTTTTGAGATGGAGTTTCACTCTTGTTGCTCAGGCTGGAGTGCAATGGCGTGATCTCGGCTCACTGCAACCTCCGCCTCCCGGGTTCAAGTGATTCTCTTGCCTCAGCCTCCCAAGTAGCTGGGATTACAGGTGCACACCACCACTCCCAGCTAATTTTTTTTTTGTATTTTTAGTAGAGATGGGGTTTCTCCATGTTGGTCAGGCTGGTCTTGAACTCCTGACCTCAGGTGGTCTGCCCACCTCGGTCTCCCAAAGTGCTAGGATTACAGGTGTGAGCCACTGCACCTGGCTGAATACAAATGTTATATTTCACAACTTTGGAAATGTTCAAAAATAATACAGTTTACCTCCCGGGGTGGTTGGTGCATTCTTTCAGACATGCATCCAGTGCCCTTGCACCTAGTAGGTGCTCAAAGAACAGGGTTGGGGTGGCTCTTCCCTGGTCGTTATTCAGCCAAGGGAGAGCTCAGTGGTTGGTAAGGCTCAGAACCCCAAGAAGAACATTAAAGAGAAGAGGGAGTGGCAGTCGGCAGTGGAGTGAGGAAGAGATAGATAAGTTATTGCCAAATTCATGGGAAAGTGAGAAATTTATTAAGAATCATCTGCATCCCAGGCCAGCGTAGTTTCAGAAAGGAGCTTTGCTAATGGTTTTTAAATTCCTTGTTTGTTCATTCATGCAAGAAATATATATTGAGCACCTGCCATGTGGCAGGCACTGCACTGGCTGAGGGAATACTGGGAGGACAGAGTCCCTTCTCTCAGGGCTTACAGACTGCCAGAGAAGTGCACATTTAATGGGGTGGACTCCATCCGCTGGGCTAAGAACAAGGCTGCAGAAATAGAGTGTGGCTGAGCCCCTAAGGGAGTCCTTCTGCCCAGTGGGTTTTTTTTTCATTTGGGGGACTGGTAATTGTCAGAGAAGTCTTTCTGAAAGAAGTCACACGTAAACTGAGCCCCAGAGTTAGTTGAATCTAGCATATTCCAGGCAGAGCAACAGTACATGCAAAAGCCCAGAGGTGAGAAAGAGAGGGTGGTGACTTTGAGGAACTGTAGAAATATTTGCATGGCTAGAGTGCAGAGAGAGAGAGAGAAGGAGAGACCAGTGAGGTAAGCCAAGGTCAGTTCACAAAGGGCCTTCTGTGCCCGGATAAGGAGTCTGGCTGCACTCCTAAAAGCAATGGAGAGCCACTGAAGGATGGCAAGCAGGGAGGGGTGCTATATTGTCCCAAGCTTCCTTTTAGAAGTACGTGGTGACTGCCATGTCTGTTAGAAATGGATGGTTACCCTGGGTGAGCAATGCCAGCCTCCCCTTCTGGAACAAGAGCTGCATGGGGGCCACTAGAACAAAATGCCTGAGGCTGAGTAATTTATAAAGAACAGAAATTTATTTCTCAGAGTTCTGGAGGCTGGAAGTCCAAGATCAAGGCAGGTTCGATGTCTGGTGAGGCCTGGCCTCTGCTTCCAAGATGGCGCCTTGTTGCTTCTTCCTCCAGAGGGAACAAAGGCTGTGTCCTCACATGAAGGGCAAAATGGGCCTAGGGAATTCTTCCCAGCCATTTTATAAGGGCATTAATCCCATTCACAAGGGCTCTACCCTCACGACTTAATCACATCCTAAAGACGCCACCTAATAATATCATCACATTGTCGATTAAGTTTTAACATATGGGCCGGGTGTGGTGGCTCACGCCTATAATCCCAGTACTTTGGAAGGCCAAGGCAGGCGGATCACTTCAGGTCAGGAGTTTGAGACCAGCCTGGCCAACATAGTGAAACCCTGTCTCTACTAAAAATACAAAAATTAGCCAGGCGTGGAGGTGGGCATCTGTAATCCCAGCTACTTGGGAGGCTGAGGGAGGAGAATCGCTTGAACCTGGGAGGCAGAGGTTGCAGTGAGCTGAGATTGTGCCATTTGCACTCCAGACTGGGCAGCAGAGTGAGACTCCACAAAAAAAAGAAACTTTCAACCCAGGAGTTTTGGAGAGCACATGCAGACCACAGCACTGCCCAACTCAGAAAAACAAGAATCCTGATTGTCAGGGAACCATGGATGAAAGCCTCACAGGGACAGGGATGCTCGGGCTTGCTGCATGGAGCTCTCTTCAGGGCCAGGGCCAGGGCCTTGCATAGAACAAGAACTCCAAGCTTGCAGATGAGCTAGCGAGGCTGCTTCTGTCTAGCTTTACTTTTCCTTAATTTCTAGGACTGTAATGGGCTGAGCAATTAAGACTTGTATTTACGGGCGGGCGTGGTGGCTCACGCCTGTAATCCCAGCACTTTGGGAGGCAGAGGCAGGCAGATCACGAGGTCAGGAGTTCAAGACCAGCCTGACCAACATGGTGAAACCCCATCTCTACTAAAAATACAAAAATTAGCCAGGTGTGGTGGCGTGCACCTATAATCCCAGCTACTCGGGAGGCTGAGGCAGAAGAATCGCTTGAACCTGGGAGGCAGAGGTTGCAGTGAGCCGAGATCGCACCACTGAACTCCAGCCTGGGCCACAGAGCAAGACCCCATCTCAAACAAACAAACAAACAAACAAACAAACAAAAACTTGTATTTACACAGAACACTCTGCCTTATGGAAACCCGAAACTCTTAAGTGTCTATTTGATTTGTGGCCAGCATTCAACTTTCAGTCTGATGAAAGGCTCACTTCTCAAACGGAATATATCTTATTTGTTTGTTTGGGTGACATTAGTGAGAATCAGGGTCCCATGGGGAAAAATGGAGATTCACAGGATCTACCTTCTCCTCTAGAAATGTTGATTCAGTATGTGTATCAGCTGGCACTTGCTTGGTTATACTGCAGTAACAAATGATTCCTCAAATCTCAGTGGCGTATAATGAAAAAAAGGTTTGTTTTCTACTGACATTTCATATTGGCTGTGTATCAGATCTGCCACACTTTCTTCATTTAAGGACTCACACAGAAGGAACAGCCCCATAGGGGACATACACTTGCATCAGAGATGTATCATCAGGCTGGGTGTGGTGGCTCACGCCTGTAATCCCAGCACTTTGGGAGGCCGAGGCAGGTAGATCACCTGAGGTGAGGAGTTCAAAACCAGCCTGGCCAATATGGTGAAATCCTGTCTCTACCAAACAAAAAAAAAAAAAATTAGCCAGGCATGGTGGTGCACGACTGTAGTCACAGCTACTTGGGAGGCTGAGGCAGGAGAATCACTTGAACCTGGGAGGTGGAGGTTGCAGTGGGCCCAGATAGTGCCACTGTACTCCAGCCTGGGTGTTAAAGTGAGACTCCTCCTCAAAAAAAACCAAAAACAAAAAAAACAAAAAAACCCCATGTATCATTGTCTTATAGGAAAGAAGGAGCAAATGACTGGGAACTGTAATACTGTTTACCATAAGAGGTCTGGGGTGGGGCCCAGGGTTATAAGGCTATGCATTTTTAAAATTTTTTTCTAAGTTTTTTTTATAGAGATGAAGTCTTGCTACATTGCCCAGGCTGGACTCGAACTCCTGGGCTCAAGCAATCCTCATGCCTCGGCCTCTCAAAATGCTGGGATTACAGGAGTGAGCCACTGCACTCAGCCAAGGGCTACACATTTTTAACAATATATGCAGGTGAGTCTGTTGCAGGAGGTCTGAGGGCCATGTGTTCAGATAAAGAAAGGCATTGGTCTGGACTGGTTTCTCCATGGGCAAATTCAGGCAGTTTTCAGCCTCTCTATTTGACACCTAAATCTTCACTTTCAATGCTCTTTCTCCTTGACGAGGTCTCCTCTCAGAAGCCTTCAGAGCCTGAGTGCTCCACAGTTGAGCCTTGAGTCCTGTATCTCTCCCCTATACCTCCAGCTCTGTTTTCCACTAGAGAACACAAATAAATCTGGTTTTTAAAAAACAATGAATGTAAATGGGCATGCATACGTTTATGTGTTTACCCTGCCTGAGTACGTATTTGCATTTTAACCAGACTGTTTTCATGACCCAGAATTCATTGCATGATGAGCATTTCAGGCACTGTAACTAGTTGTAATGGAGGGTAGTATTAGAATGTGTATTCTCCCTCCACCCTCCCAGCTGATGGGCCATCTCTCTGCTCCTTCTTGCTTATCTCTGGTACTGCACTTGCCACTTGATGTTATAATGGTCTATACATTTGTCTCCCTTATGAGGTTCTTAAGGGCGGAAGCTTTGAGTTCTTTTTTCAGTCTCCTGCATCAAACATGTTTGATGAGTGAATACGTATTTGTCATTTGGGTATTATTGCAACCCACTCTTGGACCATTTGAAAACTTGGATTTTTTTTTTTTTTTTTTTTTTTTTTGCTCATTTCCTGACACTTCTTCCTGGTTGCTTAAAACTGCTCTGGTCAATAAGGTAACCATCAGCCACATATGCCTCTGAGCAATTGAAATGTGGCTCGTCTGAACTGACATGTAAAATATTAGATGTAAAATATTGGGTTTCAGAGACTTAGAATGAAAAAAGTGTAAAATGTCTTATTGCATTTAAAATATTTCATTCATAATTTTATGTTGATTATAGGTGAAAATTATAATATTTTGGATATAGTATATGAAAATAAAATATTGTTAAAATTGAATTACTATTATTTAATATTTATTAATGGTTATTAAAATTATGAAATCCTGTTTCCTCTGACTTTTTAAATGTGCCTACAAGAAAAATTTTAATTTTTTTATGTATTTCACTTTATTTATTTATTTTTTTAGAGAGATGGGGTCTTGCTCTGTTGCCCAGGTTGGAGTGCAGCAGTGTGATCAGAGCTCACTGCAGCTTCAAACTCCTGGGCTCAAGGGATCCTCCTATTTCAGCCTCTGGAGTAGCTGGGACTTATATGTGTGCATCACCATGCCCGGCTACTTTTTTTTTTTTTTTTTTTTTCATAGAGATGGTGTCTCATTATGTTGCCCAGGCTAGTCTCAAACTCCTGGCCTCAAATGATCTTCCCATTTAGGCTTCCCAACGTGCTGGGATTACAGGCATGAGCCACCAGGCCCAGGTCACCAGAAATTTTTAAATTGCATAATGAGGCTTGTGTTATATTTCTTCTAGACAGTGCTGTTTTAGAGAATTCTAACAGTTTCTCAATCACATCTGCAGTTTTCTTCACTTCCCTGGGGAGTAATTCACTTCGGTGTGGAAATAGGGACATACTTTAAGGAACAAACGAGCACCTAACAGTAGCTTTGCCTCTCTCTGCCTTCAATTCCCTTAAATAGAGTTTTCCCCTTCCAATTTCTCTGGTGGGGAGGATGCCATCACCCAGCAAATTCCAGCAATTCAATCCTACTTGAGCCAAAACATCATTTCTATCAGAATTGGGTCTGTAGCAAAGGTTCTTTTTGGTCCTGGTTGGCTGAGCAGGTTTGGTATCTAAATCCTTAATCCTACAATCTCACAACTTTGTAAGTGAGATTGACAGGCATGAAAAAGTTAGAGGAGGAAGAGAATATCTTAAAATATGCAGCCCTGCCAGGAGTGTGGGCACCCTTGGTGGGGATGGGGGCGTGCACAGTGACTGCCAGGAGGCACAAGGGGCTTTCCAGGAGCCTGAAATATGCTGATTCTTGGTTTGGGTACTGATTATGTGGGTGCAGTCACTTTATGAAAAGTCATCAAACTGTATACATTTACGATTTGTTTGTTTTTCCGTGGGTACGTTACATTTTATTAAAAAGTTTACATACGCCTGGTGCAGTAGCTCATGCCCGTAATCCCAGCAATTTGGGGGGCTGAGGTAGGAGGATCACTTGAAGCCGGGAGTTTGAGACCAGCCTGGGCAACATAGCAAGACCCTGTCTCTGCAAAATATTTAAAAATTGGCTGGGCATGATGGTGCACACCTGTAGTCCTAGCTACTTGGGAGGCTGAAGCAGGAGGATCACTTGAGCCCAGGGATTTGAGGCTACAGCAAGCTATGATCATGCCACTGCACTGTTGCCTGAATGGAACTGCAAGACCTCATCTCTAATAAGCATAAAAGTCAATGTAAAAAAAGTGTACATAGGCCAGGTGCAGTGGCTCATGCCTGTAATCCCAGCACCTTGGGAGGTCAAGGCAGGCAGATCACCTGAGGTCAGGAGTTTGAGACCAGCATGGCCAAGATGGTGAAACCCATCTCTACTAAAAAAAAAAAAAAAAAAAAAAATTTGCCAGTCATGGTGGTGCATTCTTGTAATCCCAGCTACTTGGGAGGCTGAGGCAGGAGAATCACTTGAACCTGGGAGGCGGAGGTTGCAGTGAGCCAACATTGTGCCACTGAACTCCAGCCTGGGTGACAGAGCAAGACTCCATCTCAAAAAAAAAAAAAAAGTGTACATAGTAAAGCAAATAGGATATGAAAGATATGAGTGAGAGTCACAAAAATAAGATGAGAGAAAATTGAAGTCCTGTGAAAATAAGTCTCTAGGGCAGGATGTAAAAAAACTTTCATCATTTAGCATTTTAAATGTGTTAAATATGATCAATAAAATTATTTACAGCTTTTGTGACAGTAGCTTATGATGGCCCCCATGATCTGCCTGTGGTCATGCCCTTGTGAGGGTCCACTTTTGAGTGTGGATGGAACTGTGACCTGCTTCTAACCAATAGAATACAGCAAACGTGACAGAATGTGTGCAGTTATATGTACCTGATTACATGACATAGATGTTGGTGTGGTTTCTGCATCCCCCGCTAACTTTGAAGAAGCAAGCGTCATTTTTAGGAAACCCACACGGGAGGGACACCCCAGTGGTATCCTCTAGGAGCTGAGGGTGGCATCTGTTCAACAGTCAGTAAGTAACTGAGACCTTCAGTCCTAAACCACAAGTAACTGAATTCTGCCAGCAGCCTGAGGGGGCTGGAAAGCAGGTCCTTCCCCAGTCAAGCCTCTAATGAGACCACAGCCCCAGCTGACACCTGGGTTGCATACATGTGAAGACAGAGAGCAAGTAAGCTCTCTGGTATCTCTTCTAAGGATACCAATCCTATTCTAAGAAAGCCCCATCCTTATACCCTTATTTAGCCTTAATTGCCTCATTGTAGTCCCTATTTCCACACACAGTGACATTAGGGGTTAGGGCTTCAGCATTTGAGTAGTGGTGGGAAGGATACAATTCAATCCATAGCAATGTGTGTACAAGTTTTTAGAAATTGAAGGTAGGAGCGGCTGGGCGCGGTGGCTCACACCTGTAATCTCAGCACTTTGGGAGGCCAAGGTGGGCAGATCACGAGGTCAAGAGATCAAGACTATCCTGGCCAACATGGTGAAACCCTGTCTCTACTAAAAATACAAAAAATTAGCCAGGTGTGGTGGTGGGCTCCTGTAATCCCAGCTACTTGAGAGGCTGAGGGAGGAGAATCGCTTGAACCTGGGAGGTGGAGGTTGCAGTGAGCTGAGATCGCACCATTGCACCACTCCAGCCTGGGCAAAAAGAGCGAAACTCCGTCTCAAAAAAAAAAAAAAAAAAAAAGAAATTGAAGGTAGGATTTTATTCTCTTTTCACTGAGCAACGTATCCTGACTATATTCTCACATTATTCAATATTCTTCTACATTATTTTTATTGGCTGCATAGTGTTCCCGCATAATGCTGCAGAATGGCTGTGTGAATGAACCATTAGCCACTTAACTGATCTCATTTGGCTGTATATTTAGATGATTTCCACTTGTTTTCATTAGAAATGACATAGGTATCCATGTGCTTGTACATAGAAGTGATTGTAATATGCTTAATTTGTATATCCGGGATTACTTTCTTCTGGATAGGTATTACCTTGAAAAATTTATCAAAAAGGAGCCCCTATATTTTTGCTTTTGTTCTAAGCTATGTTATAGCAGAGAATAGAAAGACAGATATTATTAGGAAATTAGATCTGGGATGCTCCTGTAGCTTTTGGAAGCCTTGGGGCTCAAGGAAGCAGTGTTATTAGGGACTCAGGGAATTACCCGAGATGCTCTGCTTTAAGAGGCAGCTTCCAAGAGTGGCTTGTTTTGCATGTGCTTTTGCCCTGAGGCGATGCATGTGGGGCACAGCCTTCAGGCCCTTTGGAGAGATGTCATGAAGCCGCGTGCCATCTTACAAAGCAGAGAAAAGAAATTGACAAGGATAAGTAAGTCCTACAATTTATAGGAAGAAGTGAGGACATGAAATAAACCATCCCAGCAAACACATGGCCAGGCTCATGGGAAATGGTGATGCTGGAGGGTGTTAAGGAGATGGTTTTGGTCAGGACGTTGGCATACCCAAATCCTGCTTTAGAACATCTCTGCTTGAGAAAGATAAAGATGCAGAGAATGAAACTATGAAATATATTGTGGTCAGCCTTTGTTGGTTTTGCCTTCCCAGCATCCGTTCTCCATTCTTCTGGTAACAGGACCCTGACTATCCTTTGGGAGCCAGACTTCGCCCACTCTCTGTCCAGGAGTGGGCACAGAACCCAGGCCTGACCAGTCCAGCAGAGGGTGCATTGATAGGTTTGCAACCCAGGCCTGGCTGACCTAGGTCTTCCAGGACTCTGGCTTGAATCTAAGAGAATCACAGGGCTTCGTTTGTTTCTACTGGTAGAGCGTGAGCCTTGAGTAGCTGATAGTGGTGCTTACCACTCAGGAATAAAGGCAAGTTGAGGCGAGAAATGGGGAAACAGTGAGTCTTGATGTGATTGTTGAGCTGCTGGACTCAGCTGTATCAGAAGCCACTGAAGCAAAAGCACCCTCTTCCCTTCTCTCATCTTTTTAAATTTTTAAGCCAATTTGAATTGGGCTTCTTTTTGTTGGCAACCAAGAGTCCTGAATGAAATACATTTTTATTTAACTGGGGCTCCCTGTGCATGTCCAATGCAGACTGGTGAGCTCTGATATAGAACCTTTTTATCTGAGTTGATGCAACACTTGTGATCTAGAACCAAAGCAGCCCATATAGACTTCCTCATCTTACCACTGCAATGAGAGGAAAGGGCAGAACCCACCCATCAGTGAGCAGAGAGAGAGAGAGAGAGAGAGAGAGAGAGAGAGAGAGAGAGAGAGAGAGAATATGTGTGCAAAGGTAGGGTGAGGGGGGTTCTATGTGGGAGTAGAACAGGAATCTAAAGAGACAGAAATGGCTGGGGTGGTCATTGCTTTTCCTGCTCAGCCACGTAGAAGAAGGGGGCAAGGAGAGACCACCCCCATGTGTGCATAGCTTTTTGAATTCAGTGAGTGTTCTATCTGTTTTGGAGCTGATGGCCCGTCAGAGCATTTGAGTTAGACCCAAACCTCCATCCCTGCTCCATGGGGTGGAATAGAAGGAGGTAATGAGCTCTGCTTATTCAAAAAGCTTTAAGGTCAACAAGCCAGTACGGAATATGGGTGAGGCTACATCAGCAGTTCCAGCGACCTGGCCATCTTGTCACTCCCTCAGAAGGGACTGCCTACTCTAAGACTGTCCTCGCAGGGTGTGATGGCATATGCCTATTATCCTAGCTACTCAGGAGGCTGAGGCGGGATGACTTGAGCCCAAGAATTCAAATCCAGGCTAGGAGATACAATGAGACCCTATCTCTAAACTTAAATAGAGAAGTACATAAATATAAATTAAATTAAACATTAAATTTTGTTTAAAATTTAAAAATAAAAATACAGGCATCAGCCACCACCAGATGCAGTGGCTGACACCTGTAATCCCAACACTTTGGAATGCCAAACAGGGAGTATCACTTTAGCTCAGGAGTTCAAGACCAGCCTAGGCAACATTACCTTGTCTCTACAAAATAAATAAATAAAAAAAAAATCAATAAAAATGCTTATGGTAGAAAAAATACCACGATTTAAAAAAAAAAAAAAAGACTGTTGAGTGGTGACTCAGCCCCACCTACTCTTTCTGTCTTCCCTTTCTGCCACCTCGGCTTGTTTCCCTCCACTCTATGTGTCCCCCAGAGGGTAAGCCCTAACTTGGATAGTTCCCATTTGTCTACTGCAGGGCTTCTCTGTCAGTCAGAGTTTTTGCACCAGGCCTCCTCATTGGCTGCCAGGCTCCCTTATGTCTACACGTGGCAGTTTGGGGCTAGCAGATCTGACCAGACTGTGGTCAGGGTGATGGTGATGGGGGTGGTCCCATGACCCAATTTATGGCAACTCAAATGGGACAATGTCTGGCTTCTTGCCTGAGAGCAGAAAAGCCAAAGTAGGTTCCAGAACCCTTGTCTTGGTTCCTCTTTCCCAGCCCAGGTTGAAAGAATATGTATAGTATGCAGTAGTGTCTACGTGTGTCTGTGAGAGCATGTATGAACATGCAAGCATACGGAACATTTGACACTGAGCTCCTCTTTTCTTACACATGTTCATTTCCTCCCTTCCTCCTCACTGTTCTCTTTTTCAAGTAGTCTGTAATTGTATGAGCCAGACTGTGTTGCCTAGGCTACAGGTGTTTTCTATCCATTTCAGGCTCCTGTCAGCCATTGAATGTAGGACCAGGTCCCAGAATGTCGGCCACGAACCGGCAATGTCTTAGTCACACCTGCTAGGCGATGTACCTGCCAAAGGTCGCCCAACACCCAGTCCTGCCATCTGTCATGGCAGGCCACTGGAAGGGCCCCACTCAGTCTGGCCACTTGATCCCAAGTTGGAAGGATTGAAAATCATGTGCCCTTTTGAGTCGTCTTGCCTTGCTTTGTTTACAGAGCTGGTTCGCAAAGTGTGATCCCTGGAACAGCAGCATTAAGAAAGGCAGCTTGTCAGAAAGGCACCTTCTGGATTCCTAACCCAGACCCCAGAAGCTCAGGGGGTGAACCCAGCTTTCTGTGTTTTAACAAGCCCTCCAGGTGACTCTGATGCTTGGTAGAGTTTGAGAACCAGTGGGCGACAGCATGGTGTCATAGGGCTTGAGTTTGCATAGTAAAAATATCCACAGCAGCTGATGCTAACTGGGCTGATTACTGCCCGGCTCTGAGCCCGGTGCTGAGCTACGCACTTTACATGAACCATCGAGTGCAAGGTTCTCCTCCTGCCTGAACACTGGAGCCAATGAGGATCTTTTGAAACATCCTGATGCTTGGGCCCAACTCAGACAAACAGAATGCAGATGGCCTGGCGGAGATCTAGGCAAATTGGTACTTTTTAAAATCTCCCCAGGAGATTCTGATTCACAGGGAGGGTTCAGAGCACACTTTTGGTCCCATCTCTGATGCCCTTCAGCTGTGTGGCTGTGGGAACAGTGCCAAAGCTCACCCTCCCAGCCTTGCTTTCTGCATCTGTAAAATGGGGATGACGATCCTAGCCTCTCACCTCCCAAGGTTGTCACATGCAATAAATTAAATAAAAGATGTAAAATCTTATGGTAATTGCCTTTAAAATTGTAAACAAGTTGGGCTTGAACCCCGAGCTCAAGAACAGGGAAAACCCCGTGTTTCTCTCAGGAGACGGGTGGAGGCAGTGTCGGAGGGAGGGGCTCCTCTCGTCACTGCCTCTGACTTTCCTTTTAGGTTGACGTCTCCATCTTTGCCCACTGCACATGCGCATTAAATATTCAAGGGTCATTCAAACCCCACCCCAATCTCTCCTCTTTCCAAGCTTCCACCAACTCAAGACTATGGTGTGTAACAGACTTGGCTGAACGATCCTAACAACATCAAATGCTTCTAGCCCAACAGAGCCAACACCTAAAACTGTAAGAGTCCATACAGCCTTCCCACCTCCAGGGAAGTTCATCTTCCTCTTCTCCTTGTGGGCTCCAGCACCCACCCCCATCTTGCTTTCTCTTCAGCTTCCAGCCCCTAGATTTACTTGTTCATCTCCCTTGAAGAGTACTTTAGCTATCTCTTTGTCTAATTTGTAGCCCATTCCTGCCTTGCCTGGAGGGAGCGCTTTCCACAACCTAAGTATCTCATCAGGAGGTTTTGCTGAACAAAAGCACTTGCCTCCTGGAAAAGGAATTCTGCCCCAGTTTGTTTGTTTGTTTTCTTCTCCCCACTACATAAACAGACTTTAAAAACATTGGGTTTGAAAGAAGACATTCATATTGTTGAATGTCCCCTTGCTGGTAATTGACCTTAGAGGGATTATCTCATCCCTTGCTACTCCAAGTGTGATCCATGAACCAGCAACATCAGCACCAATTGGGAGTTTGTTACTAGATGCAGAATCTCAGGCCAGCCCAGACCTACTGAGTAAGGATCTGCATTTTAACAGATCCCCAGGTGAGTCGTTCGCCCACAGAAAGCTTCGAAGCAGCTTTCTAACCTCTCTGAGCCTGTTTCCTAGTGGGTAAAATGGAGATAATGCCTCACTGGGAGGCTGTGAAAATTACATGGGATAATGTATGCAAACACTAAGCTCAGTGTCTTGAAGAGAGAGCCTTCAGTAAATGGTAGCTAATATTATTATTAGCTATTAAGCTGAACAGCTCTGTGCCTGCATTGGAGATTGTTATTCTAGCCAAAAATAGAACCTCTCAGGACGCTGGGACTCTCAGGGTAGAGCGATTGCTGTGTGCTGGGGCCAGGAAGCAGGGGGTCAGCAGGCCCTGAGATTGGAGGACTTCAGAAGAGGGGAAGGGAGAGATTGGCCCCGCTGCCACTAAATCAAAAACGACATTTCATGTGGTTCGACTTAGCACACTCACGACTGCACAGTCTGGTGTGTTGGGGGAGATGCAGAGCCACTGGATCAAGGCGGTGTGTGTTCTTCATGTGACCTGCTTACTCATGGAAAGTAATTGCAGACATCATTTGCATGTTAAAAGTGGAGAGAGAGGGAGCATATAGAGTTTGGTACCACTTATAGCAAGTTGTAGAACAGACAAAACTGAACTAAGGTGATAGAAATCAGAATATTGGTTGTCTGTTGAAGGGTGAGGGGATTAACTGGAAAGAGCCATGAGGGGTCTTGGGAGGTGGATGAAAATGTTCTCGATTGGGGTGGTGGTGGCATTTGTCAAAATCCATCGAACTGTAGACAACAATGAATTAGACAATTAATTTTAATTCATTTTTAAAAGTTGGGAGCTGGGCACAGTGGCTCATGCTTGTAATCCCAGCACTTTGGGAGACTGAGGCTGGAGGATCACTTGAGGTGTGTGCTGGGGCCAGGAAGTTCGAGACTAGCCTGACCAACATGGTGAAACCCTGTCTCTACTAAAAATACAAAAATTAGCCAGAAGTCGTGGTGCGTGCCTGTAATTCCAGCTACTCGGGAGGCTGAGGCAGGAGAATCGCTTGAACCTGGGAGGCAGAGGTTGCAGTGAACTGAGATCACACACCACTGCACTCCAACCTGGGTGACAGAGCAAGACTCCCTCCATCTCAAAAAAAAAAAAAAAAAAAAGCTGGGAATAGAAGGGAGAGACCACAGACTCTCACCCCCCAACCCCTGGCCATTTTCGTCTGCCCAAAAATGCAGGCCCTAAACCCAACCTTAGCTGGTCATACTTGACTCAGGGTGGGTAGACAATGGCCAGGGCCAGAGTGAACCAACACCTGGGTGAAATTCCTTGGTCAGACCCTCCCAGGGGCCTGGGGGCAGAGTTTCTAGCCCAACTGGACTATGGAGTATACATTTCAGCAAGAAGGAGCCTTAGAAGGTATCCACTTGTACTCCATCTCCTTGTATAAAGCACCCCTGTGTCCCAGGCCACAACAGCCTGTGCCTTCTGTTTGTTCCCAGATTGCTAGGACATAGTCCACAGTGGGTTCACGGTGTGAAATTTCCTCTCCTCAGTTTCCCTGTAGATTCAGAACATTTCTCAGGGTACTGGTTTGCACTTTTGGGCACAGTCCCTCACATTTTCTTTCTCCAGGCTGCTGGCCCTGCTACATTCCTGCATTGGCCTTAGCTGATCACCACTTTCTTCGAGGTCTGCACCTTGACCGAGAGAGGAGCAGCGAATTCCCTGTCCTCCCTCACCCTGCGTCCTGAGCCATCTCCCAACTCCTCAAAGCCCCTGGAGACCATGCTTCAACCAGACGCAGGCCATTCTCCCCCATTTCCATTCTGAAACCACTCACTCCAGGCCTTTCTTCACCTTGGAGTCTTGGCCCAATAAAAACTTTTCTCTTCTTTAAATCTTTATTTCCTGTCTCAGGATTAACTTCTCCCGGAAGGATCAGCAGTGGGAATATCTGTTCTTTCAGGGGAAACTCCACTTCCACCCTCAGTGGAAAAAATCCCAAAGGGAGGGCGGATTATTCAGACTACATACAACCACAACCACACACAACCACACAAATACACACACAATCATACGCATACACACAACCACATACACACAACCACACACATACACACACAACCACACACATACACAACCACACACACACCACACACAACCACACACACAACCACAAACACACACACACACACATAAACATACAGACCACACACCACACACAACCACACATACAACCACACACACACAAAACCACACACACACACAACCCCACACACACAACCACACACAATCACACATACAACCACACATCCACACAACCACACACACATACAATCTCACACCCACACAAAACCACACACATAACACACAACCTCACACAAACACACACACAACCACACACAAACACACACACAATCACACACATAAACATACAGACCATACAGACACACTACATACAACCACACAAACACACATACAGCCACACACACAAAACCACACACACACAGCCCCACACACAACCACACATACAACCACACACCCACACAACCACACACAAACATACACAATCACACACACCCACACAAAACCACACACACTACTATACAGGCACACACACAAAGACACACACACACAGGCATATCTTCTCTTTTACACACACGCTCTCTCACACACACACACTCTCTTCACACGCACACACGCACACGAACACAGAAAAAGGAAGTGACTTCCACTCGGTGGTTAATGACAGAGCTGCCACTGGAACACAGGTCTCCTGATTGACTTTCTGGCCAATCCTGGTTCCTTTGATTGGGGCTGAAATTCATCCTCCGCTCAGGAACTTGCTCTGCCTGGGACTCCACTGCACGATTCTGGCAAGCCACTTAATGTCTCTGCAGCTCAGCGTCTTGACAGTAATTGGGGACAATAATAGTTACCTACTTCATAGGGATATTCAGCGGCTCAATTAGTAAAAGCTTCTAAAGTACTTGAGTCCCATTATTAGTTGTAATGGAGTACATCTGCTGGTGTTGGCCAAATCAGTTGGCTCTTGGTAGGAAATGGTCTTTCTAAGAAAGAGCCATAAAGACACAAGCCCTAGGGACTTGAGAAAATAGGAATAGAGCCCAGTGCTGCTAGGTATTTCAAAACCCTCGTCACTTGATTTTTAAGAGAAGATGTTGGAAATTTCTGCCTCAAGAAGTGATCCTTGAGTTTATAGCTATGGACACATCATCAAAGTGACTGCACTGAATGGATGTGCAGACACCAAATTGGGACAAGGTGATGGAGAGGGGCTACCTCAGGTAAATGGAAATAAAGCTATGCTTAGAGTTGCCCAAGTTGCCCAGGTAAAATTCACACCCAGTGATTGTAGTTAGCCCTCTGTATCAGTTGAGATACAGGGTAATCTGCTGTTACAGAGTTCTGAAGCTGCGGTGGCATATACGAGATACAAGTAATTTCTCTCTCTTGTCGTAGTCCAGAGGTAGGAATCCAGAGCTGGTTGGATCACTGTTCTCATCTCAAGGCTTCTGCTTGGGAGCCAATTTCTCACCATTTCCCTACCAGTAGGAGGGGGACAGGGAGCTTTTTAATCTGAGGACAAGATCCAGAAATTGTACCAGCGTTATTCTGTTTAGCCCATTGGCTAGGACCATTGGCTATTCTCTCTGCCCATTGGCTTGTAGTCTAATGGCTACATCCTACTGTAAGGAAAGCTGGGAATTATAGTCTTTACTGGGCAGTCTTTACACTGAAAGGAGGAGAGGATAGAGAGGAGGCAGGGGATGGGGGACAGCTAGCAGTCTGCCACAATGTGAGAGTGTCTGCAGGTGTATAAGTGAAGAGTGTCAGAATATCCAGGACTCCAGCTGGTTCACAGGGGATAATCACAGGAGTGGGTCTGGAAAGTGACTGGAACTTACTTAATAGGAATCAAAAGAGGTGGTCAGGCTTCCTGGGAGAAAAAGCGAAAATAGACACTGGTCCCATGCCATGGAGACGTTTTAACCTGTTTGAAAGACGCAGTCTTGGAAAACAATGCTCACCTACGCCCAGGAGTCTGACCCACAAGAAAAGCCTCCTTCAACCCAGAGGCTTTAGCTTCTAGGTCTTGATCCTGACACATGTTTGGAAGATGAAAAGGGAAAAGGCCAGAGAAAGCTCTCCCAGAAGGTAGCATCGGTTATTCCTCAAAAGAGGTGTTTCTCAAGCATGGGGCCAGTGGCGCAGTGGAAAGAGGAGTTTCTCTACATTTTATTAAAGGAAGAGGAGAAGGAGAAAGATGAAGATGAGGAGAAGACACTTCCCCTTGCACTTCAAAACCCCTCTAGGATGACCTGCAAATTTCTGGAAAAATGTAATGTAATTTGCACGTTTCTTGAGGAATGATAAATCTGGTTAGTGGATTTGAATACGCTGAGAAGGAAGAAAACCTCAGCAGAATGTAAGGCTTTGTAATCTGGTTGCCATTTGGGAAAAACTTGCTAAGATTTCTCATTAAACAGCCCTCGGATGTTTTCAGAGACTGGTTTTGCCTCAGAACATTCATGCCTAAGCCCCTCCACATGTCAAAATTAGAACAGAACAATGCCAATCTGGAGAATTTATTTTTAAAAAGCTCACAGTTGAGCCAGGCAAGACACTGAGACTAAATCAGAGAGATGAACTTTTTATTATGAAAATTGTAACACATGTACAATAAGCCCAGCTACAGCAATCAACCACTCATGGCCAATCTTATCTGTACTCCCCACCTACTTTGTGCCTTCACCCTGTATTATTTTGAGTAAATCTCAGTATCATACCATTCATCTGGAAATGTTTCATATGTGTCTCTAAAGGACAAAAATTCCTGGGTGCAGTGACTCACACCTGTAATCCCAGCACTTTGGGAGGCCAAGGCAGGAAGATCGCTTGAGCCCAGGAGTTCAAGACTAGCCTGGGCAACATAGTGAGAACCCATCTCTGCAAAAATAAATTAAAAAAATAAAAATTTAAACTAAAAAAGGATAAGAATTATTTATAAAAGACATGACCACTATACATAACCATACTTTAAAATCAATAATAATTTCTTAATATACCCAAATACCTAGTCAGTATTTAAATGTCTCCAATTCTCTTCCTGTCCCTCTTTCTTCCTTACAATTGATTTGTTTACATGAGAATCTAAACAAGGTCTATGCATTGCATTTGGCTGCTACATCAGATGTCCCTTCAGTTTCTTTTCATCTATAGTTCCCTTTTCACCTATTTTTTTTCCCTCTGTATTAAGTTTCCCAAGGTCTGGATTCTCTGGCTTCATCCCAGTAGTGTCATTTAACATGTTCCTCCTCCCCTGCATTTCCTCATGATTGGTTGACAGATCCTTGGGCTTGGTCTCAGGTTAGATTTGGCTTCACAGGTTTATGTTCTTACCATAGCAGGCCCCTTATGTCTGATCATCTCTCTGTGATGTTAGCAAACACTGATGATCATTTGCTAGATCCATTATTTCAGTATGGTTTGCAAAATGCCATACTCTAATTATTTTATTCCTTTTCTATTTACTAGCTGAAATACTTCTATAGACAGAAATGGTCTCTCCTCAGCCATTTATGGTGACCCTGAGGAACAATTCATATAGAAAAGACAGGATAAATGCTTGACTTTTCCCTTTTACTTACTAGTTTTAAAAAACTTAATTGTCATCTTCCAAAGGGATTGAGAGTTTGTTTATTTTTGTTTCACTGCCATTATGAAGTCATGAAATTTTACTTATGCAATACAACTCAATCCTTTGTGGTGAGTCTTATTGATGCTCAGATTATCCCACTGGTGTCCAATGAGAGCCTCTATAAGTTGACCCCTGAGTCCTTTTGACATCACCCCAGTAGTCTTTGATAGCTTTCTTATCTTATATGAGACTAGGTAGAGAGGCTTATCTTATATATGTCTTGCCTTAGATTGGAATCAGTCATTTATCTAAAGAGCCTGATTTCTCTGAGTGTAAATGGTATTTAGAGAGCACAATCTGGGCAGTTCAAACCGTGTTTAAGAAAATATTTTTTTAAAAAATTAAAAATAAAGTTTAAACATTGCAAAGATAACCTAAATCCAATAACCACATGAAAAAGTTGAACAAGAATGTTCCAGAATAGTATTGTCCAATAGAACTTTTTGCAATGATGGACATGTCCCGTATCTGAGCTTTCCAACGTGGCCACCACTAGCTACATGTGGCTATGGAGACCTTGGAGTGTGGCCAGTGCAACTGAGGAACTGATTTTTAAATTTAGTTTTAAATTAATTTTATATTTAAATAGTCACATGTGGCTACTGACTACCTTATTGGCCAGTACAGAAATTTATAATAAAATCTGTTGGTTACATTCAAAACTATGTGTTTTAAGTACCATCCATGTGCAAGACATGGTGAAGGCACTGCAAGATAGAGAACTGAGTAGTGCACTGTCATTCCTATAAGAATCTTCCAATATATTATAGTAAGGAAAATAAGATCAATCCTCTAATCATGTAATCAAAATGATTGCCAGATAAGTTGCAATGCACTGAGAATCCTGAGTAAGGAAAGACATTTTAATAATTTGGCTGGGGGGCTGGACACAGTGTACAACTCTGGACACCTGTAATCCCAACACTTTGGGAGGCCAAGGCCAGTGGATCACTTGAGGTCAGGAGTTCGAGACCAGCCTGGCTAACATGGCAAAGCCCTGTCTCTACGAAAAATTCAAAAATCAGCCAGGTGTGGTGGTGTGCACCTGTAGTCCCAGCTACTTGGGAGGCTGAGGCATGAGAATTGCTTGAACCTGGGAGGTGGAGGTTGCAGTGAGCCAAGATCGAGCCGTTGCACTCCAGCCTGGGCAATAGAGCGAGACTCTGTCTCAAAAAATAAAAGTAATAATTTGGTTGGGGTGATCAGAAGTGGATTCAGGGAGAAGATGACATCAGGAAATTCTCCCCCCTCTCAATTAGGAACTATAGCCTTGGTTTATTTTATTTGTGGAGTTTAAAAAAATATATTTATTTTTTAGAGCACTCTTAGGCTCACAGCAAGATTAAGTGAAAGTACAAAGTTCCCATATGCCGGCTGTCCTCCCCAAGCACGCACAGCCTCCCCCACTATCAACATCCCCACCAGAGTAGTGCATGTGTTACAACTGACGAACCTACATTGACACATCATTATCACCCAGAGTCCATAGTTTACAGTGGGGCTCACTCTTGGCGTGGTGCACATTCTATGGATTTGGACAAATGTATAATGACATGCAGGCACTTTTAGTATCACACAGAAGAGTTTCACTGCCCTAAAAACCCTCTGTGCTCTACCTACTCATTCTTTTCTCCCCACAACCCCTAGCTACCGCTGATCTTTACACAGTGGGCATTGTTTTACCTTTTCCAGAATGTCATATGGTTGGAACCATGTAGTATGTAGCCTTTTCAGATTGGCGTGTTCACTCGGTAGTATGTAGGTTCCTCCATGTCTTTTCATGGTCTGACAGCTTACCTCTTTTTAATGCTGAAGAGTATTGTGGATGTATACCACAGTTTATCTATTTACCTACTGAAGGATGTCTTGGTTGCTTCCAAGCTTTGGCAATTATGAATAAGGCCGTTATAAATATCCATGTACAGGTTTTTGAGTAGACGTAGGTTTACAGTTTACGACTCCTTTGGGTAAGTACCAAGGAGCCCAATTGCTGGATTATACGGTAAAAGTATGTTTATTTTGTAAGAAACTGCCAAACTGCAGAATCTGCTTTTAAAACTCATAACAGGCCAGGTGTGGTGACTCATGCCTGTAATTCCAGCAATTTGGGAGGCCGAAGCAGGCAGATCGCTTGAGTCCATGAGCTCGAGACCAGCCTGGGAATTACAGTGAAACCTGTGTCTACAAAAAAATACAAAAATTAGCCGGGTGTGGTGGTGCACGCCTGTAGTCCTAGCTGCTAAGGAGGCTGAGGTAGGGGGATCACCTCAGCCTGGGAGATCAAGGCTGCAGTGAGCCATGATCGTGCCACTGCACTCCAGCTTAGGTGACAGGGTGAGACCCTATCTCAAAAACAAACAAAACTCACATAACAATAGTAATACCTTTTATTTGTTGAGTACTTGCTCTGGGCTAAAAATTTCTTAGGATAACATACTTAATTTAATCCTAATAACCTATAAAGTAGATGTTTTTAGTTCCCACTATGCAAATGAGTAAATAGAGGCACCAACAGAGTAATGACTTGCTCAGGGCCCCACAGCTCCCAAGTAGAACTGGAATTCAAACCCAAATCCATCTCAATCCAAAGCCCTTGTTCTTCACAGCTATATCAAGTTCTCAAAGCCCAAAGGTACCACAGAAACTTTAAAAATGTGTGTCATTGCCTTTGCTTCTTGGAATCCTCTTGAATAAAGATAACTTTCCTCTTGCACCCCTGAAAGCCTGCTTCCAAAGAGGCTGGCATTGAGGAAAGCCTCCCTTCAGGGTGGAAAGGAAGAGCAAAGTGAACACGTAGGGAAGCACATTGTAAATTTCAGAGCCCGAAGGTGACGGGGACTCAACGTCCTTCCTGGTTCTCCCTGCAGCCCAGGTGAGGCTGCACATCCTCTCAGCTCCTCACTCTGGTTTCTCAGCACTTCTCTCCCAACCTCAGTATTTTACCATCCCCGTTGCTTTCTTGATCCTGGGTCTCCAGTTCTTTTCCAAAACCTTGTACCCAGTTACCTCCTTGTCCAACCCTGTGAGTTGGCCTTGGTGATTCCATCTTTTTGGCTCTCCCAGTGCTCCTTCTGGACAGTCTTTGCTGTCTTCCTTGTTGCCGACCTTGGCCCCAATCCTGGGCCTTGGAAAAGTTTCTTGGAGCTCAGTTTTGGTGGAAAGCCCCAGGCTCGTGCCCCTCCGTGGGGCCAGTTTGGAGAAGCCATATCTTCATTTATTGCTAGAATTATTTTCGGTTGGGCATTATGTTTCAAAAAAGTCTTTTAGTGACAGAAGGTGAGACTGCTAATCTCTATTCTCCTTCACCACTGCTCACTAGCTATGTGTCCCTGGATAAGTTTAACCTTTCTAAGCCTCAGTTTCCTCATCTGTAAATGGGGATATTAACAGTACTCACTAATAGATTTCTTGATAGATTTAAATGAGATAATCCTCATAAAACTCTCAGTATAGCACTTGGTATGTAACATGCACTCCGTAAATATTAGCCATTAATACTAATGATTATATAACCAGTAATAGATGACCCTTGGTTTGGGGGAAAGCTGGAACAAATAGCTTTGCAACTGGTGGTGGCATGTGCCTGTTATCCCAGCTACTTAGGAGGCTGAGGCATGAGAATTTCTTCAACTTAGGAGGTGGAGGTTGCAGTGAGCCGAGATCGTGCCACTGCGCTCCAGCCTGGGCGACAGGGTGAGACTGCATCTAAAAAATAAACAAATATTTTTGAGAGTGAAATATTTGAAATATTCCCTGAGTGCTAAGAGTTCTGAAATAAATGAGTGAACAAGTTCAAGACCTAGATCTTCATTTTATCTGATGGGTCGCTGTAGGTAAGTCATGTACTATTCTGAGCCTCAATGTCCTCATGTGTAGAGTAGGAATTGTAGCCGCTGGCCTGCCTCTGGGCCTCTGCACCACAATTTACTCTGAATGCTCCCAAGAGATCAAGCTCAAGAAGGCAAGGACTTGGCCCCCTCTCTTCACTGCTGGGTTCCCAGCTCCAGAGATGACACCTAGAACATAACAGACTCCAGACTCTCGATAAACAGTGTTGAAAGAAAAAAGAAAAGTGTAGGAAAGCCTCTTCAAAGTATACAGAACCATGGAGTCATAAGCTATTTGTGTGCGTAGGCAGTTTCTGGGCCATTTGGAAGACCCTGTGAAAAGTCTGCAAGTTGAAATCAGCAAGCTGATGCACCTAAAACGTTTAGCTTTGATGAGACGAGCATCTTTTTAGAACCATACCTTACCCTGTTGATTTGTGATGAGCTTTAAGGAACCCTGCCAAACCCAGAGGCAGACAAGGCCAAACCGTGGTAGAAATATCTCCTCGGTGCTCTGGCCAGCTCCTGTGTTGTACCTCCCTTCTGCCTGGGCCCTTCCTGCACCTGAAGTCTGGAGGAGTCTGTCTACTCCTCCCTCCCTCCCTCCCTCCCTCATGTAAAGGGTCTATAGGAAAGGCCCAGGAATGTCACGGACTTCCACCATGTGTAAAGCCCACCACCCTTCCCAGGAAGTTTGTACATTGAGGCTAATCCCCGATTTGTAATGAAAAGTTTTATCTATTCCTTAGCTGCCATTTATTTATTTATTTTTTGAGATGCAGTCTCGCCCTGTTGCCCAGGCTGGAAAGCAGTGGCACAATCTCGGCTCACTGCAACCTCCGCTTCCTGGGTTCAAGAGATTCTCATGCCTCAGCCTCCTAAGTAGCTGGGATAACAGGCACATGGCCACTACACCTAGCTAATTTTTGTATTTTTAGTAGAGATGGGGTTTCACCATGTTGACCAGGCTGGTCTCGAACTCCTGACTTCAGGTGATCTACCTGCCTTGGCCTCCTAAAGTGCTGGGATTACAGCTGTGAGCCACTGTGCTGGACCCTTAGCTGCCATTTATGAGTGACTATTTTCATCACTGACCTAGTCAATTATCCCAATAACCCTGCAAAGTGACATTTATGTCCCTCTTTACCAATGGGGAAACTGAGGCTCTCGTAGCTTGGTAACTTTCCATGGGTCACGCACTTGGCAAAGACCTCAAAGCCACACTCGTTCCTTCGCCTACAGCACCTTCTGTGAGCTGAACCCAGCAGCCGAAGCAGAGGCTCAGAAGGAAGGGGATTGGGAGCAACCACACAGTCCTTTGCTTTGGCTGCTGTTTCTCGCAGTAAGGGGATATGTTTCCAAAATGCTGCTGGCAAATAATTTCGAGGGTTTGGCCAGCCTGAAATAACCCATCTATTTAGAGGTTTCAAGACCAGGCAGCAGAGGCTAAATAAGGTAAAGTGTCTGTCAAGAGCGGAGGCCCAGGAAGAGAATAGAATATTAAAAGACTCATGGCTTATGTCATGTTTTCTTTGTCCAAGCATCTTTCGTTTTTATTTTTATTTAGTTATTTATTTTTGAGGTGGGGTCTTGCTCTGTTCCCCAGGCTGGAGTGCAGTGGTGCGATCTCATCTCACTGCAACCTCTGCCTCCTGGGTTCAAGAGATCTTCCCACCGCAGCCTCCTGAGTCGCTGGGACTGCAGGTATGTGCCATTACGCCCAACTAATTTTTTGTATTTTTTGTATTTGAGATGGGGTTTCACCATGTTGTCCAGGCTGGTCTTGAACTCCTGAGCTCAAGCAATCTGCCTGCCTCAGCCTGCCAAAATGTTGGGATTACAGGCATGAGCCACAGCACCTGGCCCAAGCCTCTTTTAAAATTGTGTATCCATACAAAGTATCATTGTCTTACATTAGAATATAGAAATTCTCAGCCGGGCGCGGTGGCTCATGCCTGTAATCCCACCACTTTGGGAGACCGAGGTTGGGTGGTGGGGAGCACCTGAGGTCAGGAGTTCAAGACCAGCCTGGCCAACACGGTGAAACCCCGTCTCTACTAGAAATATAAAAATTAGCCAGGCGTGGTGGCACACACCTGTAGTCCCAGCTACTTGGTTGGCTGAGTCAGGAGAATTGCTTGAACCTGGGAGGTGGAGGTTGCAGTGAGCCAGGCTGGGATCACGCCACTGCACTCCAGCCTGGACGACAGAGCAAGACTCCACCTCAAAAAAAAAAAAAAAAAAAAAAAGAATATAGAAATTATGATACCATGCCAGTTAAAATACACACACATACACACACACATACTATACACACATAGGGTTTTTTGTTTATGATATACACCTTATATATATGTGTATTTGATTTATGATATACAACTACACATCTTTGAAAAAAGCTGGTTTATTATACATAATTTAGGTAAAATATAGAGCTCTTAGCCAAAATTTCATGTCCAGGTTTTAGGTATACGGATTTAGGGATTGTTCCTATCGAATGTTAAATTTTTAGCAATAATAGTAACTGTGACCTACTTACCACCTATTATATACCAGGAACTGGGCTAGTTCCTTCCCATCCTTTTTTATACTTACTCTTCACAACTCTATTTCTATTTTCCTGTTTTATTGATGAAGAGGTAGAGGTTCAGAGAGATTCAGCAATTCACCCAAGGCCACATAGGTGTTCAGTGGCAGGGCCAGGTTTTGAGCTCAATCTAGAGACTGTAAGTTCACAAGGTTGGGAACACATCTATTGTGTTTACCAGCATGTTACCTGATGCCCAGAATGAACCCAACGATTGTAAGAGCTCAATAAACACTGGAATGGAGAATGAATGAACCAGTGCTTGAATGCTTGCATGCATGAATGAATGAGTGCTTACATGAATGCATGAACGAATGGCTCTAACTCCTGTGTTCCCAGCCACTGTGCTGAACCTCCTCCTCACTTACTTTGCTCCACATGCTGCCAGCATCAAGCCGCCTGTATCTGAATGACATGGGGTGATGGGATGGAGCAGTCTTTGCATCTAAAGTAGAATAAATCAGACCTCGGTGTATTTTCACTGTCTTTTATGGATCTGTGATGAGACTTGGCGGGGAGGGTGGTGGGGGGTTTGCCGGATACTGAGTGTTTGCATATCTGTCTAATGTGGTCAGGGTGGAGAGTGTGGATAAATAGGGCAGGTCCACACTGGGTGTGTCTGCCAGCAAGTTCTCAGACATGCCTCCACTGCCCCTCTGCTTGAGAGGGAAGCAATGGCTCTGGCACCACGCTATCTGCTAACTCTCAGGGAGGGAAAGAGGAAGTGACATGGGACAGCTTCTACTGCCAGAAAGGAAAGCAGAAATTCAGTAAGAAACAGAAGTTCCCTTGCAGTGCCTCGTTTTAGTTCCTCAAACTTACACCAAAAGTTAACAGGGTGACCTACAAATCTCACGGAACTGGAAATCAGGCCCTGTTTTGTCAGGGGCTTGGATAAGTCATTTTTCTGCTTTGGGCTTCAATTTCGTTATCTGCAAAATAAACAAATGAGGCTAAACCCTGCCTTGGGACATTTAGAACTGTGGATGTGTCGGGAGGCATCTTCTTGGTGATCATAATGATTGATGAGTGATGCTTATGTGTGTTGGGGGCTGGGTGGGAAGCAGGATAATAAATGTGTTCATGTACTTAGGACCACACAATTGGAAATCGTCCCTCTTGGAATTTGAAATGATGATTAAGAACCTCTTCATTGCTAAAATACCGTGATTCTATCCTAACCATGCTGATTTGAATCACCCAAGTCACATAATGAAAAGAAACCAGACTCTACCTAAAAGAAATCAAGGGTAAGGGACATAATAGATTTTAAAATACCTCTCAGTGTGCCTTATTTCTGTGCATGTCAATACAGTTTCTTTCCCTCCCTCCCTTCTCCCGGGATTGCTCCAGGAAACGGGAGGACATCAGCGCATAGAGAGGAAACATCACAGGCAGTTGCTGTCAGACAAAAGGGGTAAGCAGAAAGCCCTTTTGGCACAGGGGAGGCACATCCCCTCCTTTACAAGGCCCAGATGGGAGTGGCTGCTAGGCCAGGGTAGCAGAAATGGCTGAGAGAGACGTCCAGGTCAACAGGCCCTTAGGACCCCAAGGGTTTCCAAGCTGGAGGAGGGTAGTGGCTGAAAGGCTAAGAGGACTGGTGAACCAGAGGTCTGGAGTTGAGCTCAGGAGCTCATCGCAGGAGGTTAAAGCAAAGGAGATGTGAGCAGGGGAACCAGACACTCCTCAGCAGGTGCCGTCAGAGGACAAGCCGACCACTTGGAAAGACCTCTCCAGGAAGGCCAGTGGATTTCCACAGATGAGCGGTTCCTCCTCCAGCACCCAAAGCTGTTTAAGCTCTTGCCTGTATCCAGAAGCTGTCTTTGTGGTGGGGACTGCTTTACTGAGATGCAACACACAGTGAAGTACACAAATGCTAAAAATACAGCTCAATGCGTGCGCACCTATGTGTACACCTACGTACCTACCACCCAAATCAGGATATAGGCCAGGCCAGCACCCTAGAAGGCTCTTTTGTGCCTTCTTCCAGTCAATACCCTCTGCCAAAGATAACCATTTTGTAACTCGATCATGATAGGTGAGTTTTTGAACTTTATAGAAGAGGAATCCTACAGTGTGTAGTCTTTGTTGTCTGATTTTGTTCACTCAACATTATACCTCTGAGATTCATCCATGCCATTGTGGGTAGCAGTTCCATTTCCCTGTGATGCTGGGGAGTATTCCGTTGTGTGATTATGCCACAGTTTATTTATCTGCTCTACTATTGATGGATATTTGGGTTGTTCACAGATGCCATCTTGAGAAATAATATGAAGGATGAAAACATCTCTTTTTTTTTTTTTCTGTTGCCCAGGCTGGAGTATAGTGGTGCGATCTGGGCTCACTGCAACCTCCGCCTCTGGGGTTCAAGTGATTCTTGTGGCTCCCTAGTAGCTGGGATTACAGATGTGCACCACCATGCTAGGCTAATTTTCGTATTTTTAGCAGAGGCGGGGTTTCACCATATTGGCCAGGCTGGTCTGGAACTCCCAAATTCAAGTGATCCACCTGCCTTAGCCTTCCAAAGTGCTGGGATTACAGGGATGAGTACAGCGCCCAACCTAGAAACTTCTTAAGATGAGAGAAACAGACCCCTTAGGGAATTTGAACTGGAATTGGCCACGTGAAAATGACCATTTTAAGTCAGAAGAAGCAGAATGATGTCCAATTGTCAAGTTTACATTTTCCCCACCATTAGCAGGAATGGGGACTCCAGAGCTAAATGAGGCCAGTTAATGGAACATTTTTCTTTTAATGATATTTTTTGCACATCTGAGGTGAGGAGTGTAACTTTTGGCCTTGCTACACAGGCAATGAGCTGGTGTGACTTTCTCATAAGAAAAATGGTGCACAGAGCTGGTTTTAGGCTTATTCAGGCAATAAAACAGTTGTTGTCTTACTGGTTAAAACACCAAAAATTTGGAAGACACACATTCAAGAAGTGGTACATCAAAAACAGGATGACTTCTCGGGGGAAATATTCAGAAGATGTGGAAAATCTGAGTGAATACTTCTAATGGGGCAGCACAGCTGGGACACCGAGATCTCGGACAGAATTTGAGTAGGCAGTGCAATGATTGTCAAAGAAAACACCAGCCTCATTCAGAAAGGTGCACAATTACTCACCCACCGGGGTCGAGGTCTGTTCTAACTACTCTGACTAATTTCAACTTGTTTACCTTAAGAGAAATGGGAGGCACCAGGAGAGGTTCTCAAATAACGTTGATGACTTAAGAGATGAAAAATGAGTCCAGGGTGAAAAAGTTAATGGTGTTACAGCTGTTTTTGCCTTAAGAAAAAACTCTACTACCCTTAGAATGGGCATTTCAATCCAGGAAGAAAGTGATCATCTGCTTTCACAGTAATGGTTGCATGGATTTCTCTGAGTGCCTTTATGTACAGGATCAGACTGATATGATGAGGACATAGATGGTAGCTGTTTATCATTGCCTCTGTGTTATGCATGAGGATGTCCACAAATACTTCGGCTCTCTCTCCTTCTGGGTACACGGTAGGATTGTGCTTTCCTGCCCACTTGAAGATAGTGACTAGCCTAGAGCAGAAGCTTTCAGAGTTAATGTGGCTTCTCTCCAGAGACTCGTTTGCCCCTGCCAGGGTTCCAGGTAGGAGCTGCTTCAGCAGCCTGGGTTCTGGAGGAGCGAGACCCTCAGCCCTTCCTGATAGATGTGCACATGAATGAGAAATAAACTGCTGTTGCTTCAGGCCACTGAGATTTCAGGTAACTGTTAGCACAGCATAACCCAGCCCTTCCTCGAGGATTGATTCAGCTGCTCACCAGGGCTTCTGAAATGGTCACTTGGTATACTATGACCTTTAGCCCTCATCCCCCATTGTAGGCCAAGGGATGGACACTTCACCTCTGACCAAAGGTCAGCTTATCGATTCTTCCTCAAGGATTTGAACTCTAAGAAACACAGAGACGATTGGCACTTCATGGTGGAAGCTTTGCTAAGAGGTCAGGAAGGATGGTCAGGACTGTGAGCCATGCAGGGCCAGGGATGAAAAAAAAGAAAGCAAAGCAGACATTCACTGGGAGGGAATGGCAAATGGAGGGCCTGGGAGAGAGGAAGGAGGTCCCAAATAGCCCTGATTTTGACTTTCCTGTTTTCCTGTATAGGGCTAGTTGCTCTCTGCTTCCTGTTTTTAGCTTCTGTGCGTCCCTGTAGACTAACACCAACTCCCCAACACACTTTTCACTTGAGCTTGTCCAGGGTGCTTCTGTACTTGCACTCACGAGGACTCACAAAGAACAGAACATAAGCAGGAGCAAAAAGTTAATGGTATTGCTAACACTTGGCTACACTTATTATGTGGCAGACATTGTTCTAAGTGCTTCATGGGTTTTAAGGCATTTAATTCTCACAGCAACGTTATGAGCCACATACTTTTAACATCCTCACTTTTACAGATAAGAAAACTGAGGTCAGGGAGGTTGAGTGCCTTCTCCCATACCCCATCACTACTAAGTGGTGGCACCATATTTCAAGAGCAGGATGTCTGGCTTGAGAAACCACTACCCTGTAATGGAGGCATAGGTGATGTTGTGTTAATTAAGGAGTTTGTGAAATTCTGCTCATAACACATTTTAAATTAAAATTATTGTTATTTAGGTGTGACAATGATATGTATGTGTGTGTGTGTGTGTGTGTGTGTGTGTATTTATTTATTTATTTATTTATTTTGAAACGGGGTCTCACTGTGTCACCCAGGCTGGAGTGCAGTGGTGCAATCACACCTCACTGCAGCCTCGACCTCCCAGGCTCAAGTGATCCTCCTACCTCAGCCTCCTGAGTAGCTGGGACTACTGGCATGCACCACTACGGCCAGCTAATTTTTTAATACTTTTTGTAAAGACAGGGCTTCACTATATTGCCCAGGCTGGTCTCAAACTTCTGAAATCAAGCTGTCCTCCTTCCTTGGCCTCCCAAAGTGCTGGGATTACAGGCGTGTATGCCACTGCACTCAGCTGATAACAATGTTTTAAAATGAAGTACAGTTGATCCTTGGAACAACACAAGGATAGGGACCCCAACACCCCACACAGTCAAAACTCTATGTATCACTTTTAATGCCCCGAAAACTTACCTAGTAGTAGCCTACTGTTGACTGGAAGTCTTACTGATAACAAAGAGTTGGCTAACACGTATTTTGTATGTTACACGTATTATATGCTGTATTCATGCAATAAAGTAAGGTAGATAAAAGAAAGTGTTATTAGGAAAGAGAAAATATATTTACTATTCATTAGGTAGAAGTGGATCATCATAAAGGTTTTCATCCTCATCACCTTCATGTTGAGTAGGCTGATGAGGAAGAGAAAGAGGATGAGTTTGTCTTGCTCTCCAGGGTGACAGAGGCAGAACTAAATCCACAGATAAATGGACTCATGCAGTTTGAACCTATGTTGTTTGAGGGTCAACTGTGTTACCTTTAAAACTGTCTATAGAAGTATTTATGGATAAATGTCATAAATGGACACCTTTACTATGGATAAATTAAATATGATTTATGGATAAACATGATACACATGGATAACTATGGATAAATACGATGTCTGGATAAATAAACTGTGAATAAAGGGTAGTGGGTGAGCGAGTGGGGCTATAGATGTCACATGATTAGTCTTTTTTTTTCTTTGAGACAGAGTCTCACTCTGTCGCTCAGGCTGGAGTGCAGTGGTGTGATCTCGGCTCACTGCAACCTCTGCCTCCCCAGTTCGAGTGATTCTCCTGCCTCAGGCTCCCGAGTAGCTGGGACTACAGGCACATGCCACCACGCCTGGCTAATTTTTGTATTTTTAGTAGAGATGGGATTTCACTATGTTGGCCAGGCTAGTCTTGAACTCCTGACCTCGTGATCTGCCTGCCTTGGCCTCCCAAAGTGCTGGGATAACAGGCATGAGCCACTGCGCCTGGCCGAGTTAGTCATTGTTGAAACAGGGTCATGGATACCTGGAGGATTATTACATTATTCTCTCTGCTTTTGTATATGTCTGAAATTTTCCACAAGTTTAAAGGGGACTGTTTATCTTATCTCTGGTATTTTATTATTTTAGAGCAGGGCCTGGCAAACTATGATCAGTGGGCCAAATCTGGCCTGCTGCCTGTTTTGTGTAACCTACAAATTGTGAATGATTTTTACTACTGATTGAGAAAGTGTACATTACATGAAATTCAAATTTTAGCATCAATAAATAAAATTTTACTGGAAGCCAGCCACACCCATTTGTGTGTGTATTGCCTCTGGCTGCTTGTGCGCTACAAAGACAAAGTTGAGTAGTTGTAACAGAGACCATATGGCCTGCAAAGCCTGCAATATTTACTATCTGGCTCTTTACAGAAAAAGTTTGCTGACCTCTCATTTAAAAGGAAATGTATTCGCTATGACTTTGTTTTTAAAGCCAACAAAAAGAAAACCTATATTGCTTTCTTCTTAAATCAGGAAAGTGAAACAAGACCATTGTTGACAAGACAGAATATATCAACAAGTATAAAATAGAAAATTATGTTTCTCCACTGGCTATCCATTTCTAGACTCTTCCCTTTTATCTCTTATCATCAAACTGTTGACCAAATGAAACTTTCTCCGGGGTTAGGTAAAAGTTAAGGATTGCCTTTCTCGTACTGATGAGACGAGACTTGTAAGCAAACATTGGCTCTGACAGGGAAACAACGTGGACAGGTTTGAAAGTGAAGCTTATTAAGGAATGATTGTGTGGCTATATTAGCTGAGCAGGCATGATATAAAGGTCAGAGTCTGTGGCTCAATGTGGAAAAGCCCGGGAGCTTCCTCTTGGGTTGGGCTGCTATCATCCCTGGCATCACAAATACCAAGTTACACCTTGGTCATAAATTGGGGTGGAAAAGATCTTCCTGGATAGTGGTAAAGCATAGCCCCAGCCACTCCTCATGTGAAGCTCTGTGACCAGATGCTGATTGGGTTGACCAAAAGTGATTCCTGGCTAGACTAGCCTCCAATCAAAGCATCCGATGACAACTAGACATGCTATGTAAGGCTAATATCCATTCTGATTGATCCAGTGATCATCAGATCACTGCCAGGTCAATGCCCAGTTGGGCCAATTGTTAAATATTTTAAAAATCACCCTGGCTGGGAATCCCCTCAAATCATCGTTTACTGGCAGCCTCCAGTATCAGAGAGACACCATACTGGGCCAAATTTTCTGATAACTTTGCTTTCAAAAAGTAGAGTGACCATGTAAACAACATTTAATTCCCTTATATTTGGGGCCTTCAAGGTGTGTTTTGCATTGGATTTGTTTAAAACACCAAAAAGATATGATCACTAGGAATGGAGAATAGATAACCAGGGCCACAGAAATAGTAAAAGCTAATATTTATTGAGTCTCCACTGTTTATTGGTCACTTAGTGTATATTTTTTCTAATTGTCACATGAAGAGTTAGGTCTGTTTCTTATTTTATTCATGAGGGAAGCCAAACCTTAGAGAAGCAAAGTGGCAAAGCCAACATTCAAACACAGCACTACAGTATTTGATCCCACACATGGGAAATCCAGGTCTAAGCTTAGCTGATGTGGTGGATCTTTGTGGTTTTTACCCATGAACATCCATTCCAGTCACCTTTCTTCAGCCAACAGTACCCTGATTTTTCTCTGGGGTACCGTCTTCTCCCCAGCTCTCATTCCAGGTATTTTGCAGAGGGGTCATGTGACTGAAGCCTGGCCAGTAGTGCATGCTATTTTCCTGGCCTCGGTGACTCACTCACTCATTCATTCATTCAACAAATATTTATTGAGAAGAGCTGGGATATACAGCAAGGATCAAGCCAGATGAGGATGCTGCTCTGGTGAAGCTTATTTTCCAGTGGGAAACAGACAGACAATAAACAAGTAACAAATACTTAGCATAATTTCAATAGGCAGTAAGTGTTTTGAAGAAAATAAAACAGAGTAATGGGAAATAGGAGTAACAAGGGACAGGGGATCGGCTCCTTCAGAAAGGGTGGCCTGAGACAATAAGACACAGTGAGACTTGCGCTGGGGCTCTTCATATTTCCCCTGGACTTGAACTTGAAAGGGCATGGGCCCTGCAACCACTGGCATTGGACCTGGAGAAGGAAGCCAACGTGGGGAAAGAAGGGAGGAGGGGGAGACAGAGACACACAGGATTTAGATGATGTCACTGGGCCCTTGCATCATACTGTACTTTAAATTGGACCTGCCCCATCACTTTTGTGTAAGGAAAGCCTGTACATTTTTTTTCACTTTTGCTTAAGATGGTTTGAATCATGTTTTATGTTACTTGCACCAAGAAGAATCCTCTATCATACAGTTGAGTGTTCAATCAAATGGCTGCCTGGCATATATGCCTCCTTCATTTCTGGCAGGTACGTGCATATTTCAGATGGTTAAGCAGATGACTGAATAGACCAATGACAGTAATAGAGAACAAATAAAAGTTACTGTTTACTCATGCCTGGAGAAAAGGATTGGAAAGATACACATCCAACTCTTAACAGTTAACAAAGGGATGCCACTTTTTAATCATCACCTTCTGTAATGTTCACATTTAAAAACAAACATGAATCCCGTGTAGTATTTTTTTTTTTAATGATGAAGCTGGAAGGGTGTGGACCCAAAGGCCTGTGGGATGATAGTGGACTGTGTCCCCAACAGTGTCTCTACACCACATTCAATTAGGTGTCGGAGGATGGTTACTCAAAGTTACTCACAGCTGCCAAGAAAATGGTACGAAGGAGAGGCTCTCTTGTTCTTTTTCCTGCAGAGCTTCCCAAGTTTTTCATGAAAGGACAGCTGGAAGATGATAATGTCTGTATGGCTCACTGGGGTACAGAAACAGCACCACAGGAAGCCAGAAGTTTTTTTTCCTGGGCTCTCTGTCAGCCCCAGATGCTGCCCAGCGTCCCACGGGCTAAGGGGATCAATTTCTTTAAGCAGAAACTATTCTCCAACAAACAACAGGCCAAGATTACAGGTCAGAGGCTCTCTCTACTGAGAAAGCATGATTTTTAAGTGTCATTCTGCTTCATACCAAGGGAATTGTGTCCACCTCGACATCAGAAACTTAACTAGCATCATTACAGGTTTTTAATTTTATTTTAAAACATTCAAGGAAGTCATAATTATACTTCTATTGTGCCTGAATTTTGCTTGCTTGCTTTATTAAAAAGATTTTCTGTTTTATTTTATTTTATTATTTTATTTTATTTTATTTTATTTTATTTTATTTTATTTTATTTGAGATGGAGTCTCGCTCTGTTGCTCAGGCTGGAGTGCTGTGGCACCATCTTGGCTCACCGCAACCTCTGCCTCCCCGGTTCAAACGATTCTCCTGCTTCAACCTCCCAAGTAACTGGGACCACAGGCGCATGCCACCATGCTCGGCTAAGTTTTGTATTTTTAGTAGAGACAGGGTTTCACTATGTTGGCCAGGCTGGTCTCAAACTCCAGACCTCATGATCCACCTGCCTCAGCCTCCCAAAGTGCTGGGATTAAAGGCGTGAGCCACCACACCCGGTCAGATTTTCTGTTTTAGAGGACCATTTTGGCGATCATTTTGGGATCTCCTTTCTCTTTGATAATTCTATTTGATCACTGATTGTTCCCGAATCATAATCCTAGATGAATGCTGTCTTTTCAAATCAAAAGTCACACATACATTCCAGCTTTGCTATTGTTTAAAGTAAGAGACAAAATTGTATGGGGATCTTGTTTGAAAATTTAAAGACCCTATGATAAAATCAGTCTTCCTCTTTGCTCCTTTCAGCTTACAGAAAAAAAAAAAGAAATTACTTCTATTACTTCTGTGTAGCAGGTTCCACTTGGGCCCCAATAAATTGGATACTAAAACCTTTTAAAACTGTACTCCTGAAATATTCCTCTTGTAATTTGTCTTTTTTTTTTTTTTTTTTTAAATTTAATTGCTTTGCCCAGAGAAAATGAAAAGCAAACTCCAACCCAGGTAAGGCTGAATAATCGCAAATTCCGATTTTAAGGAATCTGAATTCATGAGATTTCATGAAATTTTAGCCAGGAAAGAATTACCACCCTCTTCCCATGGGACTGCAATGCTTATAACTTTACTTACAGGCACACAATATCAATCTCTAGAGAAGAAATTATGGTCACACTTTAATTTGGATCAAGAGATAAAATTAGAAAATCTCTTGAGGGAAATGTTATTCATTATTTACAAGTGTATATAATTAAAGGAAGAAGGTGCATACAGAAGAAAGACCATAGCGTCTGTTGAGCAAAAGCTTGAATCTCAGGTGAACTCCCTGGGATCTCACCAGGCACATGCCCCAAACACATATTTAAAGTCTACAGCTTGGAAAAAAATAGCTTGAGGGATATACATCAAATGATTATCTGCTTTTCTCTGTGGATTGGGGAAAGAAGTGGTATTGAGGGATAAGTTTAATTTGATATAAAAGATTGCTATGATGTTTGGCTATTTATTTGTTTATTTGAGACAGCATCTCACTCGCACAGGCGGGAGTGCAGTGGCACAATCACATCTCACTGCAACCTTGACCTTGCAGGCTCAGGTAATCCTCCTGCCTCAGCCCCCTGAGTAGCTGGGTCCACAGGCATGTGCCACCATGCCCAGGTAATTTTTTGTAGAGATGGGGTTTTACCATATTGCCTAGGCTGGTCTTGAACTCCTGGGCTCAAGCCATCTGCTCACCTCAGCCTCCCAAAATGCTGGGATCACAGGCCTGAGCCACTGCATCCTGCCAGTTTGACTATTAACATAACAAGTATAGTGGATATTAGCTAGGCTTTGTGGCCACCTAGCAACTAGGACACCTTTCCAATATCTGTAGAATTTCTCTTCTTATGGGTCTGAACGTGCTTAAGCCAGAAACTCACTTAATGAGCTTCCCTTGTAACTAGGTGTATTAATCAGAGTTCTCCAGAGAAACAGAACCAATAGGATGTGTAGATAGAGAGAGGGAGAAATTTGTTTTAAGAAATTGGCCCACGCAATTACGGAGATCAGGAAGGAGAAAATGTTACGGTTCAAGTCCAAAGGCAGTCTTCTGGCAGAATTCCCTCTTGCTTGGAGGAGATCAGGTTTTGTTCAGTTATGGCCTCCAATTGGTTGGATGAGGCCTACCCACATTAGGGAGGGCAGTCTGCTTTACTCAAAGTACACTGATTTAAATGTTGATCTCCTTCAAAAACACCCTCACAAAAACATCCAGAATAATGGTTGACCAAATACCTGGGCACAATGACGCAGCCAAGTTGACACATAAAATGAACCATTGTACCAGGGAACAGATATATGACCAAATTCTTGTACAGGCTTTGGTTTAGAAGTAAGTGCCATGCGGAGTTCATTCTTTACAAGTGGTGGTGGTGGAGACATCCAGCTCACGGAAGCAAAATGGCAGCACTCTGTCACTAGAATATAGGGGGTCTGTGCCCAGCAATGGCAGCAGAAGGGTCTCCACTGGAAGAGTCATGGCTTTGTAGCTCCAAGCCTCATCCTTTAGTTCTCCCAGGAACTCAGTGAACTACGTAGATCCTTTAACACATTCCTTGTCTACTTAAACTAACTAGGGCAGATTCCGTTATTTGCAGCTAAGAACACTGAAATTCAATTAGCACTTTGTATTATCTATCATTGCATAACAAATGACCCCAGAACTTAATGACTTAAAATAATAATAAATATTTATCATGTCATTTTCTGTAAGTCAAGAATTTGGGATGAGCTTAGCTGGGTGGCCCGGCTCAGGGTCTCTCATGAGGTTGCACTCAGGGCTGCAATCATCTCAATGCTTGCCTGGGGCTGAAAGATCCCCCCCACACCCTGCTTTTTTTTTTTTTTTTTTTTTGAGATGGAGTCTCAGTTTGTCGCCCAGGCTGGACTGCAGTGGCGAGATCTCAGTTCACCGCAACCTCTGCCTCCCAGGTTCAAGCGATTCCCCTGCCTCAGCCTCCTGAGTAGCTGAGATTACAAGCGCCACTACACCTGGCTAATTTTTGTATTTTTAGTAGGGACAGGGTCTCGCCATGTTGGCCAAGCTTGTCTCGAGCTCCTGACCTCAAATGATCTATCCACCTCCGCTTCCCAAAGTGCTGGGACTACCAGGCATGAGCCACTGTGCCTGGCCAGTTGGAGAATCCACTTTTAAGATGTTTTATTTATGACCAGCTAGCTGGTAAGGCAGGAGGCCTCAGTTCCTCTCATATGGGCTTCTCCATAGGGCTGCCTGAGTGTCTTAACAACACGGACACTGTCTTCCCCCAGAAAGAGTGATTCAAGAGAGAAAAATGGATGTCGCGATGCTTCTTATGACCTTATCTGTGCAAAATCACTTCCACTTCATTCCTGTTGTAACAAGAAAGTCACTGAGTCTAGCTCTTATTCAAAGGGAAGGAAATTCGTTTTCTACTTTTTGCAGGGAGGAATGTCAAGGGATTTGTGGCCCTTAAGTGATCCCCAAGATGGCCCCTAGTGGTCCCCTTCTCCTGATAGACACACCTTTGTTTATTTCCCCCCTGTGCTGTATCACAGTTGGTCTGTGTGGCCAATGGCCTATAGAGAAGTGATGGTATGCCCCTCCAAAATTAAGTCATAAAAAGCTGCAACTTCTCTCTCTCTTTCCTGTCTCTGACCCTGTCCATCTGTGTGTCTGTCTGTTGGTCAGTCTATCTGTTTCTCCTCTCTGAGGGAAGCAAGCAACCATGTATAAGTACCTTATATAGTAGCTCATGCGGGAAGGAACTAAAGCTTCAGGCTAAGAGCCAGCAGGAAACTGAGGCCAGCCAATAAACACATGAGTGGTTTTGGAGGCAGCTCCTCCAGCCCCAGTTGAACGTTGCTAAGGCTGCAGCCTTGGCGGACAGTTTGGCTGCACCCTCATGAGAGCTCAGGAGACCTTACCACGCAGGTAAACTGCACCTGCATTCATGACCGTCAGAGCCTGTTTGAGATAATCAACATTTGTTACTTTGCATTGCTAAGTTTTGGGGTAAACTGTTACACAGAAATAGATAAATAATATAGCACCACACAGGTATTCCTTTTTTTTTTTTTTTTTTTTTCAGAAGAAATCAAGCTGTGTGTATGCGCATGTGTGTGTATGTGAGTGTGTGTGTGTGCCCTGAGAAGGGAATGAGAGAATAAGATACAGATCTACCTAAGTCACCAACGGGAGACATGACCATCTTTCAGTTGTCATGGAGCAGTACTTTGCAGCTTTATGAATTTTCACTAAGTATCTAGAAATCCTCAACCAAATCTTAAATTGAAATTGTTCTTTTTTAAGGCTCCATGCTGCTGCCTACCAAGTTGTAAACTGCTACCATCTAGAAGGTGTCAAGCAAGGCCTGGAAAACCCCATAGGCAGGAGGGCTGGTTTGGGCATTAGGCTCTCGTGTCTGTTTAGGGACACTGTGTTTCAAAACTAGTAATGATTTGGTTTTTTGAATTCCTGTTAGCCTTATTACTTTAGAATGTCTGTAGTTGCAGACTATAGCTTGTGGGTTATTCAATCATGTTTTTAGCTGTAATTGCAAAAACAATTGTGCAAATCTATATTTTATCAGTTACCCAAAATAGCACAACATCCCTTTGCACAGTAAATGTTTGCTGAGCACCTACTGGGTGCCAGCACTGTCCTAGGCACTGGCACACTGGCTTTGAATGTCCCCAGCACTGCGAGAAGACAGCAGACACTATTATTGCAGTAGAAATGCAATTACAGGAAAACTAAAGCCCTCCTTCTCCATCTGGGGAAAAGCCAGCTGTCTGTCTCCTGAGGAGACCTGCTTGTGCATTCACCCAGGTCCAGGCTCTGGCCATAAACTTTTCAGGCTTAAGAATCCTGATTTGACAGCACACCAGGAACAGGTCTATGCCTGAGGGAAAATCCATTAACCATGCTCACGAGACTGTTGTATAAATCAGAAGGTCAGTTTCCTAAATTACAATGAAAATTCTATCCCAGCGACCTGAACACTCATGTTTGTATGACCAACCCCAACCTTCCTCCCTCCCATCCTCCATTGTCCCCAGCCTCTCCTCTTTATTTTCTTCCTTCCATTCTTGCTGCAACAAATACTTAGTAAGCATGTCTTATGAGCTTGGCACAGGGCTGAGTGCCGGAGGAACAATGGTGTCTGAGACAGAGTTCCTGCCCTCAGTTGGAGGGTGGAAGGAAGCCCTAATTAAAACATTCACACAGATAAATGCTGGGTCTCTTTTCTAAACTTTCATTGTCTCTGAGACTCTAACAAACATGGGGGACCTCGTCCTTAATAATGTGCATTCTCACATATACCCAACATTGCACACACAATTTCAGGAGTTCTCAGTCACCCTAAAACCCGTCCAGGCATATGGGGTATTGGCAGACCTACACGGGAAGGAGCCAAGTCATAACCAGAAGGTTGCTTCGAGATCGTGGAGTTGCAACAAGGGCATTGTGTAGGTGATTGACTGTTCAAGGACAATAGGCTAAGAGCTCCTTCAACATAGAAGGCCTTGTAGAAATGGTCTTCCCACTTGAGATATTCCATCCACTGGAGGCCTCCCCTCACCTGGACCAGTGCCCGAATGGAGTCGTGCCAACAATAACCTCTGCTCTGTCTCAGTGAACAAGGCTGACCAAACCCCATTTTGTTGACTAGTCAGTCTCTCTTGAGATAGGCCATCACCTTGATCCACTGAGAGTCACATGCGTCTCACCTTGGAGTGATGCAGTGACCTTCAGAGGACTTTGCATGTCTCAGCTCTGAGCCATCACAAATAGACGTAAAGCTTAACTTTGGTGGAGAGCCGTAGCTTCCTTACTTAAAGTTCTTGTAAGGTGTCTCATTCTGGCCCCTAGCAACTCTTAGCTGGATTTTCCTAGAGCATCCAGAAAACAATAAAAGACAGACAGACACCCAGCTGATCACAAACCCTCTCCAGCCCACATTTCTCCTCTCCACAACCTAGAGCAAGGGTTGGCAAACCGATTCTGTAAAGGACCACATAGTAAATATTTTAGCTGTCTTTTGAAACTACTTAACTCTGTTGTTATAGTGCAGAAAGCAGCATAGGTAATAAATACATACATGAATGAGTGTGGCTGTGTTCCAATAAAACCTTATTTACCAAACACAGTGGACTGGGCCGGAATGGGGCTGGGGACTGTGGTTTGCCAACCTTGGTCTGGAAGATTCTCCTCCTCCTGATGGATTCTCCCCAGTCCCCTGTTCTTCTCTGCTCTCCCTCGGTGATCTTTTTGAAGGATTCATTTCCACTGTATTTCTGAGGATTTAGACAGTCCTTCTTCTGAGGAACCAGCAAATGGAAGATTGCTTTAAGCTGGAAAAGATTAGATGTCCTGGGTGTTCAATCCTTCTTCCTGGTTTGCACAGTGTGGAGAAATGGATAGGAAAGAGACATCATCTAAACATGGGAAAACTTTTTCACAAGGTTAAGAGCACTTACTCTTAAGTCAGATAATAATAACAGTATTCTGAGCCAGATGGATGGTAAAAGAAAATAATAATAATAATAACAGCAATAACAGCAACAACATAAATAACATTTATCGAACATTCGCCATGTGCTAAGCATTCTCCTGTTTTTGTATACTTTGTATTAGATGCTGGGTTTGTTTTCCTCTGCCACTATCTAGCTATGGGATGTCATCTAACCCCTCTAAGCCTCAGTTTCTCCTTCTGTTAGACAAGGGGTGTGGGGTCACTTGTAAAAAGCTCTTTTTTTGAGACGGAGTCTCGCCCTGTCGCCCAGGCTGGAGTGCGGTGGCTCCATCTTGGCTCACTGCAAGCTCCGCCTCCCGGGTTCACGCCATTCTCCTGCCTCAGCCTCCTGAGTAGCTGGGACTACAGGCGCCCGCCACCATGCCCGGCTATTTTTAGTAGAGACGGGGTTTCACCGTGTTAGCCAGGATGGTCTTGATCTCCTGACCTCGTGATCTGCCGGCCTTGGCCTCCCAAAGTGCTGGGATTACAGGCCTGAGCCACCGCGTCTGGCCAACCTGGCTCCTTCTAAGTGCTTAATATGGGTTAAATCTTAATATTCCAATCTGTGAAGGGACCAGCCGTGTTCTTCGTACCTCAGAACTTAGAAAGGAAGTCAGTAGGTGGGACTCTCAGGAGGAGTGATTGCCGCCCCAGAAAAACTTTGTGACACAGCATTTCTAAGATGTACAGGGGGTTGGTAGATAATTTTTCTTTCTTTCTTTCTTTTTTTTTTTTTTTTTTGAGACAGGGTCCTGTTCTGTCACCCAGGATGGAGTGCAGTGGCCTGTGATCATAGCTCACTGTAACCTCCTGAGGTGGGATCCTCCCACCTCAGCCTCCTGAGTAGCTGGGACTACAGGTGCGCACCACCATGCCTGGCTAATTTTTTGTAAGAGTGCGTGTGTGTGTGTGTGTAGACGGGATTTCACCATATTGCCCAGACTGGTCTTGAACTCCTAAGCTCAAGCAATTCATTCGCCTCAGCCTCCAAAAGTCCTGGGATTATAGGTGTGAGCCACTGCGCCCAGCTTGTTGGTAGATGATTCTTGAAGAAAGGACTCTGTAATCAAATAAATTTAGGAATTCTCAGCTGAGCAAAGTTAAACAGGTTTCTCAATTGCTATATTTCTCATAACTCAGAATATACTGTTGTGGAATAAATCTCTAGGAAGATATTATCACAAGCAGTTTTTTCCAAATGTGTTTATCCACCAATCTTTTTCTTTCTTCACCCCTAGGGCATCTTTGGAAATTAGTTTGCCAGAGAAAACCCTTTGAAACAGTACAATTGGAGTTGTCTGAAAATAGATGGGGCTACTGGAGGTAGTGGGCTCCTCATTAAGGGCAGGATGCAAACAGAGGCTGGATGCCCAAGGGGCAGGAATGTGGAGAGAACCCTGTGGGGGATCAAAAGGGAATGAGGGAAATGAAGAAGAAAGTGAAAGGCTCGTGTCAGTCCAGGGGGGGCTGGGCTTTGTCCTTTCAGGCTCTGGAAGTTGTGCTAGTTTTCTGTTCCAGGCCTGGACTTTGGGATTTGACTTAAAATGACACCAGGAAAGACCAGGCGCAGTGGCTCATGCCTGTAATCCCAGCACTTTGGGAGACTGAGGCAGGTGGATCACCTGAGATCGGGAGTTTGAGACCAGTCTGACCAACATGGAGAAAACCCGTCTCTACTAAAAATACAAAATTAGCCGGGCATGGTGGCACATGCCTGTAATCCCAGCTACTCGGGAGGCTGAGGCAGGAGAATCACCTGACCTCAGGAGCGGAGGTTGCAGTGAGCCGAAATCACATCATTGCACTCAAGCCTGGGCAATAAGAGCAAAACTCCATCTCAAAAAAAAAAAAAAAAAAAAAAAATACACCAGGAAAGAAGCCTTTTGGGGTGAAGGGTGATGCTGGACAGCTCAAGTTAAGAAGCCTTGAGGAGCCAAGCTGACTGTGCTCTCCTCCCCTTTAGGGTCCTCTCAGGTTGACAGAGATGAAGATTTGGGGCACTGAGGGGGTAACAAGTGACACATTGTAGGCGGCCAGGAAATGTTCCTCTTCGAGCTTCATCCTAACCCAACTGTTCTGAGCTAGGAGCACACAGAGCTCTCTGAGGTCTGATTCTCCCACGCCTGGTTAAATGGGATAGAACTTCCCATGTCCACGAAGAGCTGCAGGAGCTACCTGGTTAACAAAACCTTCAAATCCTTTTTTTAAAGAAGTGTGGACCAAATAAAGGACGTAGTGGGCTAAACCCGGGCTGTTCTCTCTTGACTTCCAGAACAGGGACCAACCGTGTTCCACCTGCACTCTCTCCTTCTTGCTCAAATTTCCCCACTTGCCAAGAGAAAGTACCAACTCCAAGGCTGACTTTGTTGACAAGGGCAAGAGGTCGTGACCAAGGTGGGAACACTGAACACAAGCAGGGGGCAGTTTTCCAGATCAGAGTCGATGTGGGCTGAACAGACATTTAGCAATAATGGGAGCACGTGGATGCTTGTTTTGTGAGCAGCTGTTGTGATGGGCACACAGGACATACTCTCTGCCTCTGACGCCTTCTGCCACGGTGACAAGTTCTGTGCCTTCAGCACAATTAGCAGAGACTTCTTAGTCATTACTCTGAAGCACCTCCCAACCTTTTAATCATCTACCAGGTTTGGGAAGTGTCTTCATTAAAAAACCCCATTCATCATCACACTCCCTGATTTCCAGACCACTGGGGCACTTTACAAACCAAAGGTTGTTAGGGCTCTTTTGGGAAGCCCCCCTTTCCCTCTCCGTCCTTTCTGTGTCCTCTAAAGTATGGTATGAAGTGATGCCGTTGGCAACATCTGCTCAGTGGCTGCCCTGCCCCACATCTCTGCCCCTCCCATGCCTTGTTGAGCATATTACTGGTTAATTAGAAGAGCTTTCCAGTAATAGAAAGTGACCTACAAATGAATAAAAGTTATCTCTTGATCTAGTTCAGAAGATAATAAAGACAGAGAATTGTCATTTAAAGTAAAGCAAAGAAATGGTTTCATAATTTCAAAGATGAACTAAGGTACAGTGGGAGGAGCCTAGACCTCAGACGTAGAAAACTTGGGCTTAAACCACTGCAACAGTTACTTGCTGTGTGTCATGGGTAAGGTGTTTAACTTCTCTGGGCCTCAATTTATTGTTATAAATGGGGCAAATTATACTATGCAGATTTTTTTTCTTTTTGTCTGCCCAGAAAATTTCCATCTTCTGGTAATAGCATCTCCTATTTCCTGTGGTTCTGGTGGGGGCACCCATCACAGTAATATCCATTACCCACCCTGTCCCTGCCATGCCCTCAACAGGGCCCAGGCCTGGCTAATAAAGCATGGGCATGTGAATGGGCAAGGTGCTTCCTTAAGATGTTAGACACAAATGCTGGAAGAGAGACCTTCTTTTGTTCTTTTGCTGGACCAATGACGACAGCCTGTAGCTCTGGGTAGCAGTGACAGCCGGCTCCCCTTCCATCTCCTGCTGCCTTCCTCCTTCTCCTTTGTCCTGATGTGGGGCGAAAATAAAGCCAATACACAAAGACAGAAGTGGACCTGGGAGAGGAGGAGAGAGTCCCACCAGCATTATTTCCATTTCTTTTGAATTCTCTTCTGTCACTATTGTTACTTTTGATTTTGATTTTGGTTTTGTTATTGCTTTAGAACAAGAAGGGGCCTTAAAAGTCATTGAGTCAAGTTTTATTGTCTTCCAGATGAATAAAATGGGGTCAGGAGAAGCAGCCCCCTCTCCAAAGCCATGCAGCTTCTAAGTCACAACAGCCACCCCAGGCTTCAGGCTCCAAGACCAGCACTCTTGCTCCTGCTCCACAGCCACCAAGGTGCATCAGTGTTCCATCACCACTTGGGTGATTCGCGGGCTGTCTTGCATGTATAATACCTGAGTCCGAATGCTGCCTCCCCACACTTACTGCTCCCGAATTCTCCTTACTTTGGCCCTGTCTCTCATGAGCCAACAGTGTCTGAAATACCACCGTGGTATTGATTCCTTTGGATTATCCTCGTTTTCTTTTTTCTTTCTTTCTTTCTTTTTTTTTTTTTTTTTTGAGATGGGGTCTCACTCTGTTGCCCAGGCTGGAGTGCATGGCATGATCCCAGCTCACTGCAATCTCCACCTCCTAGGCTCAAGCGATCCTCCCACCTCAGCCTCATGAGTACCTGGGGACCAGAGATGCACACCACTTCAGCCAGCGAATTTTTTTTTTTTTTTTTGTATTTTCAGTAGAGACAGCGTTTTGCCATGTTGCCCAGGCTGGTCTTGAACTTCTGAGCTCAGGCAATCCACCTACCTCAGCCTCCTAAAGTGCTGGGATTGTAGGTGTGAGCCACCGTGCCCAGCCTGGATTCTCCTCTTTATGCTTCTTATGGGAGTAGTAATACAGACAACTAATTTAAACTATCAGATCAATTGCTTTTAAGATCCTCTTTACCTCCTGAAGGAGAAGATGCAGAGAAGAAAGGTCTTCAGGTATCCTAGGAGAATGGATTGGAGAAGGGAAGGAACGTGACAATGGTTCTAAAAGAGGGAAAATGGTACTGAAAGAGGAGCTCAATGCTCCTGAAGACAAACTACTCCAATATTGGAATCTTTCTGTCTCTCTGTCACCATATTCCCCTTCTAAGGGTTCCTACACAGAATCAGGGCTGATGACCCAGCAGCCATTTCTTTCCTTCTTCTCCCCGGCTTTCAGATTCCATCTCCACTTTAGAGGCTGAAAACGTCAGCAACTCACTTTCGCAGCCTGCCTTGTAGCTAGAGTACATGGCCTGTTCTTGGTCAGTTGGACACGAAGGAAAGTCTGGTGGAGTTGCTTCTGGGAAAGGCTTTCCTCCTTGATAAAAGAGAGACTCATAGGGGAAAGCCTTCTTTATGTCTGCCTTTGAATGAGGTAATATAACAATGTTATGGCTGGAGCTGCTGCAGCCATCTTGCCACCATGAGGGAACAAATCTAAGATAAAAGCCAACACACGGAGGACTGTGGCATGGAAAGAGGCAAAGGATCCTAGATGACACCACAGAAACCTAGATTTCACCACAGAAATAATCCTAAAACAGCCCAAAGACTAGATTCTTGTTATACAAGATAGTAAATCATCTTCATCATTTAAGACACATGTAGTGGGGTGCTTGTTTTCTTGCAGCCAAAAATCATCTTAATAGGTATGCCTTGCACTTGTTTCCAAGAAATTTCCATGATGGAATTTAATTTTGCCTCTAAAATAAAGTTTTTTTGATTTTGTATTGTTTCTGGAAGTTCTACTTGAGTCTTTTTCAAATCTGCTGGGTGGCTTTTGATCATTTCCTGTTCCATGTATATATTCCTGACCTTGTCTTTTATTTCTGCAAACATATTACCAACACTTAGTTTCTAATCTGTGCCTGATAACTCCAATATCTAAAGTCTTAGTAGGACTATTTCTGCGGGCTGCTATTTCTTGCTTGTTCTTGTTCATGGTGCCTTATTTCTTTTAATCCCTGGTTATCTTTGATTGTATGCTGCTCATTATACCTGAAAAAATAACTTGCAGGAGTAATCTGAGGTCTAGGGAAAAGGTACCTTCCTCCAGAGATGATCTGTGTCTGCATTTGTCAGGTGTCTGGGGACCACCTTAAACCAGGTTCAAAGTTTGAAGTTGCCTGGACAATCAAACACTGAATCTGGGCCACAAATCTGATACACCTAGTTCACTTTTTTTTTTTTGTTTTGAGATGGGGTCTTGCTATATTGCCCAGGCTGGTCTTGGACTGTAAGCTCAAGGAATTCTCCTGCCTTAGCCTCCAGAGTAGCTGGGTCCTTTTTTAGAGACAGGAGGCTCTCTGTGTTGTCCCAGGCTGGTCTTGAACTCCTGGCCTCAAAAATTTTCCCACCTCAGCCTCCAGAGTAGCTGGATTATAGGTGTGCATCACTGAGCCTGGCTAGGTCTAGTTTATTTTTGGTTCACCTTTTTCCTGAGAGTGTAGGGCTTTGGGGTCTCTGTTATTATGGAGAGGGTCTCCAATTAGACTGCACTTTTGATTTCTGCCTCTCTTATCCCACAAGGCCATCAAAACAAAAGTTCAAATTACTGGATTCAGCCAATGCCCTTGGTTCCAAAGTGACTTCCCAGCTCTGCTTATCTCTTTGGGTTCCTGTTTTCCTTTTAGTTTTGGCCTGGTAATATCCTACTATATGATTAACTCTTACGTGCTTCTAAGATGTTCAATTCATCCAGCATGTTTAGTTGTTTCTCGAAGGAGGGTTGGTCCAAACAGCCTAACCCACCACTAGTGGAAGTGGAAGTCTTTCTTCATCTCATCATGAATTTCTCTGCTACTGCCTAAACCTTGTCTCTGGGATCCTCACACTTGCTTTTTCTTTCTTTCTTTCTTTCTTTCTTTCTTTTTTTTTTTTTTTCTTTTGAGACAGAGTCTCGCTCTGTTGCCCAGGCTAGAGTGCAGTGGTGCAATCTCAGCTCACTGCAACCTCCGCCTCCCAGGTTCAAGGGATCCTCCTGCCTTAGCTTCCCCAGTAGCTGGGATTACAAGCATGCGCCACCACGCCTGGCTAATTTTGTGTGTGTTTTTAATGGAGACAGGGTTTCACCATGTTGGCCAGGCTGGTCTGGAACTCCTGACCTCAAGTGACCTGCCTGCCTTGGCCTCCCAAAATGCTGGGATTATAGGCGTGAGCCACTGTGCCCAGCCTGCTTTTTCTTGTCCATGGGTCTGTAGCCCACTTGCCTGTGCCTTCTGACTCCCTCATCCTATTCTTGATCTTGCTGCCTTCCTGATTTCAACCTGTCAGCCTGATTTCCACTTGCCTGGACCCTGGCACTTGCTAACCCTGCAACTTCTACTGGGTCGCCTGTGCTGGCTGACTTGGGTATAACAGGGTGCCAACTGCTCACCCTCTTGACCCCCCAGCTGAGCCTCGGTCCAGGACCTTATGATATTTGCCAGCATTGTCCCCTCCTCTGCCTCTCCCACCTACAAGCCTCCTGGCTCCCCATCTGGCCTTAACTTTTCTGATGAATTCTCCTTCCCCTTTCACTAACTGCCTTGGCATCTCCTACCCAGTTCACGGCACCATCTTGGCCTGCCCTTGACTGAGTGTTTTAAGTAGATGGGTTTGAGGCTGTGTCTATTTAGCTATCTTTACCAAATACAGGATCACACTGTGGGGAACCTCATGAATGTTTTATAATGATGAGCAACTCTTAGATTTTATTTACTTATTTTGAGACAGAGACTTGCTCTCTTGTCCATACTGGAGTGCAGTGGTGTGATCTCAGCTTACTGCAGCCTATGCCTCCTGGGATCAAGTGATTCTCCTGCCTCAGCCTCCCAAGTAGCTGAGATTACAGGAGCCTACCACCACGACCAGCTAATTTTTGTATTTCTTGCAGAGACAATGTTTTGCCATGTTGGCCAGGTGGTCTCAAACTCCCAGCCTCAAGTTATCCACCTGCCTTGGCCTCCCAAAATGCTGAGATTACAGGCGTGAGCCATTGTGCCCAGCCATCTCTTAGATTTTAAGTCATTCTTTAAAATGTAGAGGATGACCAAAGTTTATGATTAAAAAAAGAAATTGAAAATGACAATAAAATCAGACCTACTCGTAAGACTTTTATTTGGGTTCTGAGAGACTACTTGGTCACATACAAGAATTAGGCAGTTGTGTGTAGTGGTAGAAGACACAGTCTTATAAATTCAGTGGGCCCAGGTTTAATCCCATTTCTCCTCTCTGTTAACTGCATGAACTTGTGCAACTCATTCTACTCAACTTAGCCTCGATTTTCTTATCCATAAAATGGTGCTAATATTACCTTCTCATGAGGTTGTTATGGGGACCGAAGAGATAAAAGGCATACTTAGCACAGTGCTTGCAAACCATAAGCTCTCAAAGGCATTATCATCATCATTATCATTATTGATAGCATTAAAGTCCACCTTCCCCCCAAATATTTCACCAACTGTGTTGTCATGTGCCTATTCATCTTCCATCTCATCCTGAAATCTTCATCATCTGAAGCTTGACTTCATTAAGCAACTGTGTCAGGCTGATTGTGCCCAAATGGCCCTGGGTAAAACACACATGTTCCTCTGCATTCATAGGTGGTCGGGATTTGTTTAATGAAGTGGCGGGTTGAATCAAGTCCCGCTTGATGAAATTTGGGGGTTAGGACAATATGAGACAAGTTATATTTACAGATGAAAAACATCGTTGTTCCTCATGAACAAGAGTCATTTTTCAGAAGACAGCAAAGGCAAAGATAATTAGACTCTTACAAGGACACCAACATACATGGCCTTAAGTATCTTTGGTATAAACACCTGTAGGATTTTAAGGCTGAATGGATCAGATCCAACCTCCTCATTTGGCAGATGAGACAACCAAGACTCAGAGATATGGACTGACATGCCAGGTCCACCCAGACCATTGGTGGCAAAGTCAGGACAAGAATTCAGATCCTGGTTCTGCAGTTAACCAGCCATGTGACATGCTAAGTGTGGCAGTTTAAAACTATGTTTGCAAATATGTCCACAAATACCTTGACATTTCTCCCTTCAAAAGCAGAGTGTACTTCCCCCTTCAATATAGGCTACTCTTAGTGACTTACTTCTCATAAATAGAATGTGAGAAAACGATGTTATGTGACTTCTGAAGTTGGATTATAAAAAGAATACAACTTTTGCCTAGTGTTCTTTCTCTCTTATTCTCTCTCTTGCTCTCTGAATCTAGCTGCCATGTTTTGAGGACATTCAAGAGGTCTTCTGGGTGGCCTGAAGGCCACCTGAAGGCCTGAAGTGTGGGAGGAACTGAAGCTTCTCACAAACAATCAATACCAACCTGCCAGCCATATGAGTGAGCCACTTTGGAAGCTGATTTTCTAGTCCTAGTCAAGCCTTCAGATAACTGTGGCCCCAGCTGACACCTTGACTGAAATCTCATGAGAGGATATGGGCCAGAACTACCTAGCTAAGTTGCTATCAAATCTCTGACTCACAGAAATTGTGAGAGATAATACATGCTTATTGTTACCATGTTAAGCAACTAAGTTTTGGGGTAATTGTTAAACAGTGACAGATAACAAATACACTAAGATAACTAATACCCGATTTATTCAGGACTCTGACTTGGAAGTGATAAAAATCTAATTCACCTAGTGAAAAAAAAAAAAGATATATTGCTCCCATACTTGGGGATACCAGAGATGGAGCTAGCCTCAGGGATACCAAGTATTTAAATGATGTCATCAGGATTCTTTCTCTTTCTTCATCTCTCTGTTGGCTCTGTAGTGGTTTTTCTCTTTCCTAGTGGCTTCATTCTTTCCTACTACAGAGATACTTTCTTGATACAGCATGGGTTGGCTAGAAGCAATGCAAGATTTCTTCATCCCCACTTAATGGTCCTGAAGGATATGCAGGTTTTCTCTCCCCTGACATTTACATATAATTCCAGAGAAGACTCTAATTGGCCAATTGGCTCTTATGCCTGTGCCTGAACCAATCACTGTGGCTAGGGAAATGGGGCACTGTGATTGGCTACCAGTTCCTTGGCCACTACTAGCTTGTTTTTCAAAGTGTGGTCCATGGACCAGTAGCACCTCAGGGCTTGTTTAAAATGTCCAATCTTAGGCTTCTCTTCAAACTCTAAATCAGAATTTGTATTTTAGCAAGTTCCCCAGATGATTTTATATGCACATTAAAATTTGAGAAGCATTTATTATGTTATAATTTATTTCCAGGAAGAAGTAATCTCTTCTCTTCGTCTTCTATGTCAGTTAACTCCTCTCTTCTTGTTTGGTAGAGTACTTTTTTCTTTTAACCCTATTTATCTTTTGTCTGCATATCTTATCTCTCCTATCATGCTTGGGTCCTTAAAGGCAAAATCCAATGTCTGAAGAACAGCATTCTCTTCTGTAAAATGGGGATAATGCTATTTACCTTTTGCTGTGATTTGAATGTTTTTGCTCCCTCAGAATGTATATGTTGGAAGCTTAATTCCCAATGCAACAGTCTTGGGAAGTGGGGCCTAATGGGAGATGCTTGGATCATGAGGGTTCTGCCTTCATGAATGGAATAATGCTGCTAATTAATTTCCTTTATGAATTGTAAAAAGCTTGTGGGAATGGATTCTCTCTATTTCAGTCTTCTGCCATGTGAGGATACAGTGTTCCTCCCTTCTGGAGGATGCAGTTTTCAAGGTGCCTTCTTGAAAGTGAAGACCAGGCCGGGCGCAGTGGCTCACGCCTGTAATCCCAGCACTTTGGGAGGCCAAGGCGGGTGGATCATGAAGTCAGGAGATCGAGACCATCCTGGCTAACACGGTGAAACCCCGTCTCTACTAAAAATACAAAAAAAAATAGCCAGGCGTGGTGGCAGGCACCTGCAGTCCCAGCTACTCAGGAGGCTGAGGCAGGAGAATGGCGTGAACCCGGGAGGTGGAGCTTGCAGTGAGCTGAGATCGCGCCACGGCACTCCAGCCTGGGCAACAGAGCGAGACTCCATCTCAAGAAAAAAAAAAAAGAAAGAAAGAAAGTGAAGACCAGGCCCTCAGTACCTTGACCTTGGACTTCCCAGCCTCCAGAACTATAAGAAATAAATTTCCGTTTTTTATGAGTTACCCAGTTGCAGGTGGGTAACTCATAAATATCTTAGCACAAGAGATATCTTAGCGCAGAGATATCTTAGCACAAAACAAGCTAAGATGTCTCTAGAGATTTCATAAGAATTGGGTGGAATAACACACATGGGTGCATAGCACAGCGCTTATCATATTGTAGATACAGATGATGATTAGCTAGTCCTAATTCCCAAAACTGATGGACGTTTATTGAGTGTTTACTCTGCATCAGGTACTACGCAAAGCCCTTTTTTATGCTTTCTCATGGAATCCTTTCAACCGTATTATAAAGAAAATAAGTATTCTCCCTCATTTAGAAATCAGGAAATTGAGTAATGTCACATAGTTAGTAAGTGACAGAGTCAAGATTTGAGTCCAGAACTGTTGACTCTACTTCCTGGCTCTGAGACGGAGTTTCACTCTTGTTGCCCAAGCTGGAGTGCAATGGCGCCATCTCAGCTCACTGTAACCTCCACCTCCTGGGTTCAAGCAATTCTCCTGCCTCAGCCTCCCGTGTAGCTGGGATCACAGGTGTGCACCACCATGCCCGGCTAATTTTTGTATTTTTAGTAGAGATGGGGTTTCTCCATGTTGGCCAGGCTGGTCTCAAACTACTGACCTCAGGTGATCCACCCACCTCGGCCTCCCAAAGTGCTGGATAACAGGCATTAGCCACTGCACCCGGCCTTACAGCCTGGTTCTTAATAGCTCTGCTGGAACACATGGCACAGTGAAGTCCCTCAACCAATATTTGTTAAATTTGTATAAGGAATAAAAGCTTTTGGCTCCTTGAACCAAGGATCATAAGCTCCAAGCCAACTCCAGTCAGGCAGATGACTGAGGGTCAAAGGCGAAGCCAAGGAAACAATCTCCTCCCTCCTTAATGTAAATTGGTCAAGTAAGTGTGATGATAAATGGCAGGTGACCTTCACCTCAGTGTCAAGAAGAAAAAAGGACAGATGGAGACCTTGGGAGTTGGAGAGCACATGGCCCATCTGAAGGGGCAGAGGTCCCAAACTCCAGCCAGGATACACGGACTTGTCCACCCTGGTGGTTCCTGCCTGACATCTGTTCTGATTGGACAATGCCAGGCCATACGCAGTGTTAAAGATTTGGAGTCAGACCTCTGGGAAGGTTGAACCAGTGTTATCAGATCTGATTTTTCTAATAAAACCAGAGATCTAGACTTTTATGTGAAACCCTTGATTTTTAAACACTGGCAAATAATTTATATATTTTTAAAAGAGATGCGAGCCAGGCATGGAGGTGGGGAGGAGGCAGTAACTAGATTATAACTGCTGTCCTAAACTGTGGAAGGAAATCTTGACTGTTTTTTGCTTTTTGCTTGTTTGCTAAGTGAATACAGAAACAAAGAGGAAGGAAAAAGGAAGAAGGAAAGGAAGGAAGGAAAGAATGAAGGGAGGAAGGGAGGGAGGAAGGAAGGAGGCTACTGACCATTTGAGTCTTAAGTAGTAGCTAAGGTGGCAGACAGATAGCTTTCAACTGGGGAGGGAAGAGAAGAGAGAGGAGAGGCCCTTGGTGACTAACTGTCCCAAGGGCCAGGGCCTCCAATGGGAAGTCCCTTTAACCTCCCAATTCCTCCAAGGGCCAACCCAGCTAATCAACTTTTTATGATACTTTATTTTTTTAAATCACCTTGGAGGCCCTTTCTGTCTTTGTTCAGCTGTAATCTTTCTTAATTAGATAATTGAAATAATCATCCAATTAAGTTGGTTCCCATTGCCCCCCCCCCTCACTTGAGTACTTGCAGAATCCAGCTGGCTTCTCATTTCCGCTGACTTCGTTCTGTGCCTCATGCAGGGTCTGAAACAGGTTTCAAGCTGTTTTCTTTCCTCTTTTTCAGTTTGCCGTTGCAGTTCATAGGAGCTACAACTAAATTTCAGTTCTGGCTAATGTCAAAATAGACTCCATAGGCAACTAAAAGCCAAAAGTTGTAACTGGCACTAACACAGTGGTAGTTGAGAGTTTCAGATCCACAGGATTTCAATCCCAGTTCTGTTGCTTACTAACTGGGGTGATCTTGAATGCACCACACTGACTTGGAGCTGCAGTTTCCTCATCTGTGAAATGGGGATTAAAAAGAAGACCTACCCTAGGTGTGTTGGGAGATAAATATGTTAACAGAGATAAAATATGTGAGGCCATCAGCCCCAGGCCTGGCATATAGAGAGCACTCACTCTCTGAGCTTTGTAAATGTGGAAAGGATGTATTTCTAAGAGCTCAAATAGTTGATATCATTTATTTGTTATACACATGGGGAAAGAGAGGTAAATTATACAGATATCTAAGATGTAAACGGTTCTAGACCTTTTGGCCATTTGTTGCATTTATTTGCTGTTTATCTCTTTAACTAGTATCTCTATCCAGTCTTCCTTCTAGTTAGTTCACTCTAGTGCCGCCTGAAAGTCTTAGAGATAGCGGGCTCACCTTGGGGTGGATTCTCTGTAGATGAAATTTCAGTATTCCTTTCTTTGCCCACCAGAATGGAAGGTCCCTGTGGGCAGGGCTGTATCTGCCATGTGTCTCACAGTATCCGTTGGAATTTAACAAGGAATAATTGTTAAATAAAATGTCATACATGGAGGAACTGCTCTCTAAAAGGACATCCGAGGCAGTTTTAAGTGATAACACTACAATACTTAAGACAAGGATACAACACATTGTTAACACATTAGCTAAGGGTGGAGAAAAATCCAGAAAAGGGCTACTATTCCCAGGATCACAGAGTAAAACAAAGATCGGTTGTGACTCCAAAACCCAAGTGTCCCAGATCTTACCTGAACCTGCTTAAAATGCTGATCTCACCAGGAGCCAGGCAGCCAGGAACCGCAGTGGATGCTGTCGGCCCAACCTTAGCTGCATTTCATTCCTCAGCAGGACCACAGACTCCCAGAAACTCAGCCTCATCTTCATTTGTTTCAGAAGAGTCAGGTATTAGAGGAGAATGACAGCAACTCGGTGCAGGGTGTATTTTTCCTTAATGCTTTTTCATCCTATAAAACTTACATAAGCCATACATCATTTTTTAAAATGAGAAAAATGCCTTCAAGTCGAAAGTGAAAATGAATTTAAAATGATTGTTTTTTAATGGTATTTTTTTTCTGGAGTAGACTTTTTAAAAGTGGTAATCTTAATCTCCCAGATAAGGCAACAATGTGCTTCCTATACAGTCCATTTCTCATGCTGGCAGAAACAAAATGTTTCCTCACACTTTGCTCTAGAGTTCAGCAATGGAAAGAACTTGTAAATGCTCATTTTGCCAAATGTGCCAGTGGGTCACTGTTCTCCAAGACTGGATGACTGGACTTAGGCTAGAGAGGACTGGCTGGGGCTGAGGATGGAGGGAAGTCACTAAACATTCCAGACGAACTGCTCAATCACTTGTTCTCTGAGCACATGCTCCCTATATCTGCCTCTGTGCCTTAGCGACACCCAGTGTGGGAGCCAGCCTCCGTGATGGTCCCCAACAAGCCCCACCTCTTTCTATTCACAGTTTGTATAGGGCTGACTTATGTAATAAATGGAATGTTATAGAAACAATGGAGTGTGCCTTCCAAAGCTAAGTCATGAAAGTCATTGCAGCTTCCACCCTGCTCTCCCTTGAATCCCTTGCTCTGGGGGAGGCCAGCTGCCATGTTGTGAGGAAGCTCAAGCAGCCTGCAGAGAGGTCCATGTGGTGAGAGGCTCTGCCACCAGCCACCCCAGTGAGCCAGCATGAAAGCAGATCTAGCCCCAGACAAGCCTTAGCTCAGCACAGCTCCGGCCAACAGCGTGACCACAATCTCGTGAGCAACCCTGAGCCAGAGCCATCCAGCCAAGCCACTTTCAAATTCGCTATCTGTAGAAACTGTGGGGGGTCATATTTATTTTTGTTTTAAGCTCCTAAGTTTTGCAGTAATTTGTTATGCAGCAATTGGAAATTAATACATACACTCTCCTGTCTACAAAAGCTTACTCTTTTCTTCTCCAAATCATTCTCCCTCAAAATTCACATCAAATTCATCCTTAAGCTTGGATTCTCCAGCCCAGAGGGATCACTCTTCTTTCTAAGCTTCATCACCGTGCTTATACTTTTTTTTTTTTTTTTTGAGATGGAGTATCTCTCTGTCACCCAGGTTGGAGTGCAGTGGTGCGATCTTGGCTCACTGCAACCTCAGCCTCCCTGGTTCAAACAATTCTCCCACCTCAGCCTCCCAGGTAGCTGAGATTACAGGTGCCTGGCTAATTTGTGTATTTTTGGTAGAGATAGGGTTTGACCATGTTGGCCAGGCTGATCTCGAACTCCTGACCTCAAATGATCTGCCCACCTTGGCATCCCAAAGTGCTGGGATTACAGGTGTGTGCCACCACGCCCAGCCATTGCCCTTCTTCCTTGGTGTTAACCTGAGCTAGAAGGAAGGGCTGTGCAGGCAGACCTAACATCTGATGTATCATTATTAATAGGTGACCATATTATCCGTACTGAGGCATTTCTGAAAGCTGGTGGGGGGGGGTTGCTATTAATAATAATCCTGAAAATCAGCAAAATCTAGGACAGTTCCAGGACAAACAACAGCATTCAGCCACCCATTCTATCTGTAAGAGGTACCTACACCTCCCAAAAAATGTAAGAAGAGGGAGAAAATTGTTTAGCAGGGATGTGGCTTTATTTGCCCAATGCTTATATATGCAAAGAAAATGTAGCTTCTGGCTGGGCACAGTGGCTCATGCCTGTAATCCCAGCACTTTGGGAGGCCAAGGCGGGTGGATCATTTGAGGTCAGGAGTTCAAGACCAGGCTGGCCAACATGGTGAGACCCTGTCTCTACTAAAAATACAAAAATTAGCCAGACATGGTGGCGCACACCTGTAATCCCAGCTACTTGGGAGGCTGAGGTAGAGAATCACTTGAACCTGGGAGATGGAGCTTGCAGTGAGCTGAGATCTTGCCACTGCACTCCAGCCTGGGAGGCAGAATGAGACTCCATCTCGAAAAAAAAAAAAGAAAAAACGAAAGAAAATGTAGCTTATTTTCTAATTATTTTTATTATTATTTTTAGACAGGGCCTCACTCTGTCACCCAGGCTGGAGTGCAGTGGCCCAACTACAGCTCACTGCAGCCTCGACCTCCTGGACTCAAGCGATCCTCCTGCCTCAGCCTTCCAAGTAGTCAGTGCACACCACCACACCTGGCTAATCTTATCCAATCTCTGAGATCACTCAGTCATTAGGTGACTGAGGAGGGGGAGAAGTGCAGTCAGAGCTCTGAATCCCACCTCCCAATTCTCATCTCCTCCCAACACCCCCCCTCATCCTTTTATGATGGTACTTAGGAATGTGCGAATTTGGGGTAAAACTGGGAAGTGGAAGGGGAAACAGAATCCGCCCAGGCTGTGAGGAATGGCTGTTCTGAGAGACTCCCTGGACTGGCTGGGGACTATCATTCCACCCAGATTTTTGTAGTGATGTCCTGGAATGAGTGTCATGTCTAAGTGCTGTGGGAGTTACGCCCTCCATGAGGGTGTCCACAGAAGAGCTGAAATCTAGCCAGTGCTTTGCTAGCCAAGCCACAAGCCCATGGGGCTGTGTGAGTCAGAAGAGCAAGCCTTTTTCTAATTTGCACAAAGGCATCCCATGGGCTGGGGCAGGCCCTGGCCAGCAACCAGATTCCAGGTCATTTGCTTCTGGCCTTGCATTCCCTGCCTGTGTCAGCCTGTTCATCCTGATCACAGGCCAGCGTTCTTTTGGCATCTCCCTGGACCCAGCCCAGGCCCCTGGGAAATTTGGTGTCCCCCACAGTCCATGCACAGGCCATGGAGGGCCAAGCCATCTTTCTCAGATTCCTCTATCCACATTCTTGCCACCACCTGTGTGCCATTGCTTTGGGCCTGGGGATACATGGTGCTTAACCAGAGGTGAGGTCCCCCATGGCTGGCAGACTTCCTCACGCAGTGCCCTGTGATGTGATCCACTTACCTTGATGTTCTCAAATTTTCCCCGTCACTTCTTGGATGATTCTAAATCTCCCCACTCCCTAAAGACATCTGACCTTATGAGTGGCCCTTGAGATTTTCCTTCTTTCCACCATCCTCCCAGGGCAGCATGAGCATGTTTGGGGCATTTCTGCAAATGGCAAAACTCAAGGATCTAGGTCAGTTCTTTGACACCTTTTTCTTTTCTTTTTTCTTTTTTTCTTTTTTGAGATAGAGTCTCGCTCTGTTGCCCAAGCTGGAGTGCAGTGACGGGATCTCGGCTCACTGCAACCTCCACCTCCTGAGTTCAAGCAATTCTCCTGCCTCAGCCTCCCGAGTAGCCGGGATTACAGGCATGTGCCACCATGCTCAGATAATTTTTGCATGTTTAGTAGAGATAGGGTTTTGCCATGTTTGCCAGACTGGCCTCAAACTCCTGACCTCAAGTGATCCACTCGCCTCGGCCTCCCAAAGTGCTGGGATTACAGGCATGAGCCACTGTGCCTGGCCAACACCTTTTTCATGGAGTGGCACACATATAAAATAATAAGGGCATGATGTGCTGCATGGCCAAGAGGGGATCTGGAACCTCAGTGGAGGCTATACCAGAAGACTAATGAGATCCCCACCTGCCCAGATCGTGCCAGGCTGCTCCAAGGGCAGAGGTTATCAAATCTCTCAGGGGGTGGTGAGACACTCTGATTGGGAAGATCTCCTTAGAGCTGTCAGCTTGACTTTGCTAGAAGGGATCTGAGGAGTTGAGAAATACCTTTTCTCCTCCATAAAGCCTTGCTTTCAAGGCCCTTGTCCCTCCGCAGAGGTCAAGAATGTCAGCCTGGAGACGCTAATGCTGATCAATGGCCTCTTTATTCTCTGCTTGTTCTCCTTCCCTTAGGCAATAAGCCTGCTGGCTCAGCCCTAGAGCTGGGACATGGCAAAGAGGTACGGTTTAAAGTGGGAAGCAAAATTACTGTAGGCATAAGGTTGGTGAAATGGGATCCCCATACAATTGTAATGATGAGAACTCCTCTGGAAGTGGAGGTAAGTATGGTTTTGGGGTTGGGGGGTGAGACCCCAAGGGAGCAGCACGCTTGAGTGCCAATAAATTGTGGCTTAACTGCCTTCTAGAAACACAGGTTCCTGTCACTTCCAAGGGCGTTTGTTTTGCTGAGTAGTTTATGCAAATGTGGAGCCCTCTGGGTGGCGAGCTGGGTGATGAAGTCAAGAGGGAACTGGCAGTCCTTCTCAAGCCACCCCAGAGGGCTCCCTGGTGCCTCTTCCCAGTCAGTCCTGGTCACCAGATTAATTTTGCCTGTTTTTTCTTTTTTTTGTTTTTTGAGACAGAGTCTCACTTTGTTGTCCAGCTTGGAGTGCAGTGGTGCCATCTCAGCTCACTGCAACCTCCGCCTCCCGGTTCAAGCGATTCTCCTCCCTCAGCCTCCTGAGTCGCTGGGACTACAGGCACACGCCACCGTGCCCGGCCAAGTTTTGTGTTTTTTAGTAGAGACAGGGTTTCGCCTTGTTGAGCAGGCTGGTCTCGAACTCCTGACCTCAAATAATCTGCCCACCTTGGCCTCCCAAAGTGCTGGGATTACAGGCGTGATCCACCGTGCCTGGCTGTTGTGTGTTTTTTGTTTGTTTGTTTGTTTGTTTTTAGAAAACATTATTGCTAAAATAAGTATTGTTTATTTCCGATAAAAGTAATGCATGTTCATTTAGTAAAAGGAACATCCAAAAGTGCAAAGCTTTTAACAAATCATCATCAATACATTCAGTTTTGTACTTGGCTTTTTTACTGAAAATATCGTGAGCATTTTTTCATCCTAGTCCATATGGAAGGAGGCTTATCCTCTTTTTAATTCCTTTTGGCCCCGTTCCTTGTATAGGCTGTCAGCTAATATTTGCAATGATTCTGAGGTTTTACCCAGGAGAGACCTGGAGACAGCTGGTCACCTACCCCATCCGCCACAACCTCCCAGACAGATGCGGGCTGTCTAATATGAGAAAGCGCTGGGTCGAGAGGGCAGGGGCCTCCCTCCTTCACACACTGAACTATCACAAATGGACCTAACAGAGTGGAAGGACAGGTTGCAAATTGAGAAGAGAATGAGGAGTGCGGCAGTGAAATTGGAAAACAGAGTGATAGTCAAGAGGAGGCAAGCAATGAGTTTAGAAAGCAGTGTCGCTACAGCCACTACAAGCGTCTAGGACAGCTCCCCACTGCGCATGAGCTGTTGCAATGTGTCAGTTCAGTAGGATCCACAGATTAATGTTATACAAAAACAGAAAATTACAGAACAGAGATAGAACGAATGGCTTCTCTTTTCCTCCTACTCTTAGTTCATTCCAAATATTGGCAAACTTGGCCAGGTGTGGTGGTTCATGCCTGTAATCCCAGCACTTTGGGAAGCCAAGGTGGGTGGATCACTTGTGGTCAGGAGTTTGAGACCAGCCTGGCCAATATAGTGAAACCCTGTCTCTACTAAAAATACAAAAATTAGTTGGGTGTGGGTGGTGCACGCCTGTAATCCCAGCTACTTGGGAGGCAGAGGCAGAGAATCAACCCAGGAGGTGGAGGATGCGGTGAGCTGAGATCAGGCCACTGCACTCCAGCCTGGGTGACAGGGAGACTCTGTCTCGAAAAAATAAAAAATTAAAAATATATATATTGGCAAACTTTTCTCAATCTTTTGCCAACACTCATTTTTGCTGATTATATTTGCTTATAAACCTAAGTATCTTGAAGTACCTCTCTGTACTTCTGTGTCTTCATCTGGAAAATGGGGTGAATAATAATCCCTATCTCTGAGAGCAGGACTTCTCAACCTGGACACTATTGCAGTAGGGCCTGGATAATTCTTTGCTGTGGGGCCGTCCCAAGAACCATAGGTTGTTTAAGCAGCATCCCCGGCCTCTACGCACTTAATGCCAATAGCATCCCCCCTAGTTGTACCACACAAAAATGTCTCCAGACATTGCCAAATATCCCCTGCGTAAGGGGCAAAATAACCCCTAATTGAAAATCTCTGGTCTAGCACAGTGGCTCATGCCTATAATCCCAGTGACTTGGGAGGCCGAGGTGGGAGGATCACTTGAGGCCAGACTGGGCAACATAGGGAGATCTTGTCTCTACATGAAAATTAAAAATTAGCCAGGCACGGGGGCTTACATCTGTAGTCCTAGCTACTTGGGAGGCTGAGGCAAGAGAATCACTTGAGTCCAAGAATTTGAGGTTACAGTGAGTCACGACCACGCCACTGGACTCCAGCCTGGGTGACAGAGCGAGCAACCCTGTCTCTTAAAAAAAAAAGAAAGGAAAATCACTGGTCTAGAGTTCTAGAGTTCCTGTAAGTATCACATGAGATGATTCAGGTAAGGTGCTTAGAAGAGTACCTGACACCAAATAAATGCTCAGTAAACTTACGCCATCAGCATAGATGAAGAGGCCCTAGAATAGTAGGGACCATGGCCTGAGCTACTTCACAAACCGATTTGTTTGTTTATCATTATGGTTTTGTGCCTCTTAGGTTCTACCTTCCTAAAGTGCCATGGTTTAAAAAGCTCTTTTATGAGAGGTGCCTTTCTTTGTAGGTACAGAAATAAAGCTTCGAAGTACTGGCATTTGCAAGTGGCTTTTGAAACTGGAGAATGTCAAAGAAATGTAAATCATACTCTTTCAAGAGCACAAGAATGTATCTTTCTCTAAAAGCTTTCACAACTGTTAACTCAGTGGCTACTGAGACAAAGTGTTCTAGTAGGGGTGGTGGGAAGGCACCTAAACTGAACTCTGAGTTTTGCTGTTTGTGGAAGGACCAAGCTGGTGAAACCACAGCATCGGTTCGCACAGGCATTTTGTTTGTTTCTGGCTGATGAAGAGAGGAGACTATTCTGTGAACAGCAAGGACTGAGAAAGATGGAAAATGAGGAAGAGGGTGAGATGGTGTTGTCCCTTCAAGCACGGATTTGAATGATGCGGGTGGGGTTGGTTAGGGCCACCTTGCAGGAAAATGTTGGGTAGGACCAGAGGAGTTGGGGACAGCATCCTCATGTCAAGCCCCTCTGCCACAGACGCTGTGAGCTCCAGGAACCTAGGAGCTGGGTGCGTGTGGTTGCAGGTCACCCTCATGCCAGACCCCACTGCCACCAGCAGCCACAAAACACCAAAGTGTGTGATAGGGACCTCTTCCCTCATCTTTTTCAGGTTCCTCAGGGTCCATGGCCCAAGTAGGTACAACCTGTCACTGCCTTTAGCTCAGTTTCCCCCGACTCTGCCAAAAGTTCTACCTGCGTTGAGGGACCAGGAGCACAAATCTTTGAATGATGCCATGTGGTCACTGAGATGAGGCCAGTCAGCAGCTCCTCCTTTTGTTATGGCTACTGCTGTGAGGCTGGCGGCCACAGCCATGGCCACAGCCCCACCCCCAGCTACAGACACAGCCACAGCTTCATAGCACAGCAGTCCCAGCTACAGTCACGCCCACACAGCCACTCCCGTGACTGTGGCCACCACCGCCCCCCACCCCCCTCCACGGACATTCCTCCTCACAGCTGCCTTCAGCCAAGTGTCTGCCACCAAGTTCCTGAGAAATGACTCACAGGAGCTTGCTAACTTTGGGGGAAATCTCGTGCTTGATTTGTTTGTATGTTGCAAAGACCAATATGATGACGGACCAACAGATTAATACCTGGATTCCAGACCGTTCGGAACTCTACATTCAACGTTTTTCATTTTACTGGCTCCCAAGCCCCCTCTGGGTGAGTCCCTGGGCCTGGTTCCTTCTTTGCTCTCTTGGAGGAGGAGACAGACCAACCCTGAGTACCCTGGCACTGTTGTCTAGCATTGCATTTCAGAGAGGACTCAAAGGACCACAGGACTTCCAAACTGATCTGTGCAGCCCAATGAAACTTAATTTACCATTCCGTCCCTCTGTCCCCAGGATCCTCCCCTAGAGCAAGCGGTTCTAGAGTCAGTTTAGCCCTGAGAACCATGCCATGCTGCCTTGGAAGACCTCAATATCCATTTGGACCGGCTGACCAGCTTTTCCCTCCAGAACCTGAGCTCGCTGAGGTCACAGACTGTGTCTGCTTTACCCTTGTTTACAAGACAATTATGAGCCTGCAAATGTTCACATTTCTTCTATCACCCCACCAGAGGCAACCTTGTCATTGATAGCCCATCTCTTTCCTCTTGCTACAGAGGAAGGATTTGTTTAGGCTGGTGAGAGACTAGATTGATCTGTATAATTAAGGAATGGAAGGCCGGCACGGTGGCTCTACACTTGTAGTCCCAGCACTTTGGGAGGACTAAGCAGGCAAATCACTTGAGCCCAGGAGTTTGAGACCAGCCTGGGCAACATGGCAAAACCCTATTTCTACAAGAAAGATAAAAATTAGCTAGGTATGGTGGCGCGTGCCTGTGGTCCCAGCTATTCAGGAGGCTGAGGTGGGAGGATCACCGGAGCCCAGGGAGGTCAAGGCTGCAGTGAGCCATGATTGCACCACTGCACTACAGCTGGGGCAAAGGAGTGAGACCCTGTCTCAAAGAAAAAAAAAAAAAAAAAGAAATGGAGAGAGGAAGAGAGTGTATCCATGAGTGATTCTTAAACTTCACGTGCATCAGAGCCACCTGGGATATTGTTAAAATGCAGATTCTGATTTGGTAGGTCTAGGGTGAGGTTTGAGATTCTACATTTCTAGCAAGCTCCCAACTTGCTAGATTAAGTCAATTAAACCTCTTTCCTCTATAAATTACCCAGTCTCAGGTATGTCTTTGTTAGCAGTGTAAGGAGTGGACTAATACATTATGATACTACTTCACCATGTTGAAGCTGAACCCATGGGCACGCTGGCTTTATACAGATTACATTTGGAGATTATAAATGCTGCTGGTTCTCTGAATACATTTTGCACAGCCGGGGTATAAAAGAGTGGATGTTGGGTGAGGTTTGCGTATAACTGTAGGGAGAAATCCTGTGGAGCAGCTTCAGCGTGTGAGAGAAATGGATAGAAGAGAAAGGGGGATTTTTTTTATAAGTGTTGTCACAGCCTCAGTGGTTGGCTGTCATCATTCTCAAGAAATGCAAAGACCTTCGTTGTTTGTCATCTGCCCAGCTGCTGGTCCATCTTCCAAATTGTCTAGTGGAATGGTTAGCCAGGCCAGCCCTTCCTCCCCAGTGCATGACTGCCAGCAAGGCCAATGGGGACTCCCTCCCTGAAATCTCAATCATGGATTCAGGCCCAAAGCAGAGAACACTTGGAGTGTTCTCATTCCAGCCACAGCAGCTCAGTGAGATTGTTGAGCATTTTCTGCTGCCAAGAACCTCCTGGAGAGGCTGGGTGCCTAATGGCTCCAAGCCTGACTTTTTAGCCATTCCTTTGCTCTAGTGTGCTCTCTAATATCCTTCCAAGAAATTCCCGTTCTGCCTAGATCAGTAGAGGCAGTTTCTGTTGCTTACAATCAAAGCATCCTGACAGATAGAGCCAGTATAATATTTTGAGCTGTTTTGAAATAATGTTTCACTTCCAGATACACGGTGTGTGTGGTATGTATGTGTGTGTGAATTATGTGATATGGTTTGGCTGTATCTCTGTATCCCCGTGTATCAAGGATGGGGCCAGGTAGTGATAATTGAATCATGGGGGTGGTTCCCCTATACTGTTCTTGAGGTAGTTAGTAAGTATCACGAGATCTGATGGTTTTTTTTTTTTTTTTTTTTGAGACAGGGTTTCACTCTGTCACCCAGGCTGGAGTGCAGTGACGTGATCTTGGCTCACTGTAACCTCCTGGGTTCAAGTGATTTTCATGCCTCAGCCTCCTGAGTAGCTAGGATTATAGGCATGTGCCACCACGTCTGGCTTATTTTTTGTATCTTTGGTAGAGACAGGGTTTCACCATGTTGGCCAGGCCAGTCTTGAACTCCTGACCTCAAATGATCCACCCGTTTCAGCCTCCCAAAGTGCTGGGATTACAGGCGTGAGCCACTGCACCCAGCCTGATCTGATGGTTTTATAAAGGGAAGTTTCCCTACACAAGCCCTCTTGCTTGCCACCATGTAAGGCGTGACTTTGCTGCTCATCCACCTTCCGCCATGACTGTGAGGCCTCCCCAGCCATGTGGAACTGTGAGTCAATTAAACCTCTTTCCTTTATAAATTACCCAGTCTCAGGTATGTCTTTATGAGCATACTTTATGAGAATGACTAATACATTATGATATCACTTCAACACTTTGAAGCCGACCCCATGGGCATGCTGGTTTTATACAGATTACATTTGGAGTACATGCTGAGCACTGTGCCTGAGAGACACACGGTAGGTAGTCAATGAATGGCCACAGAAAGAATGAGCAGTCACTTTACAGCATCTGTGCTGAGCCCCAGCACCTCTCAGCTCCCCCATGCCCAGGGACACTTTAGATGTCCATCAAGCACTAAAATAGCAACACTTATAGGAAGGCATGGGCAAACTCGTAGTAGCACTGGCAAGTACGCTTATGACCTTTTCCTCCAGTTTCCTTTCTCCCTATATATTCTTTAAAGCAAAGGGTTGCAGAAGGTCAGAATGGAGCATGATCTTTGTTCCACGAGTATGTTGTGCTTTGATTAAAATATTCCCAGTTACAGGCTCGGTGAGGTGGCTCGTGCCTGTAATCCCAGCACTTTGGGAGGCTGAGGTGGGTGAATCACTTGAGGTCAGGAGTTCGAGACCAGCCTGGCCAACATGGTGCAACCCCGTTTCTACCAAAAAATACAAAAATTAGCCAGGTGTGATGGTGTGTGCCTGTAGTCCCAGCTACTCAGGAGGCTGAGGCATGAGAATCGCTTGAACTTGGGAAGTGGAGATTACAGTGAGCCGAGATTGTACCGCTGCACTCCAGCCTGGGCGACAGAGTGAGACCCTGTCTCAAAAAAAAAAAAAAAAATTCTTAGTTACATGAGAAGCAGGCCAGTGTTGCCTTCATGGCATTCCCAATTGAAGCACTTATCCCTATGGAGTGACAAACTCTATACATACTATAAAGGTTAATAGCTGGCCAGGTGTGGTGGCTCACACTTGTAGTCTCAGCACTTTCGGAGGCCAAGTTGGGGGGATTGCTTGAGCCCAGGAGTTCGAGACCAGCCTGGGCAACACAGTGAGACCCTGTCTCTATGAAAAGTAAATAAATAAATAAATAAATAAATAAATAAATAAATAAATAAAAAGTTTAAGAGCCCAGCCTGTGGAAGCAAGATGACTTTAATTAAAATTAATCCCAGCTGCTTTATGAACCAGCTGTTCTTGGGACGTCTCAGAGCCTCAGCTTCCTCACCTGTAAAATGGGCATGATAGTAATATCTTTCTCAGGGGCTGTTGTGAGGATTTTGAAAAGCAATGAACATAAATGGCTGACATTCCACCAATACACACTGAGTAAAGTGCCTAGAACATTTTCAGCCCTCAATAAATATAACCTATTAAAACACATGTTCTACTGAAGCCAGAATCTATGATTCTTCCCTCTCACTCTTAAATAGATTTTTAAAAAAGCATTTGATCTAATTATGTTAAAGATATATATACAAGGGGAAGACAGAAAGAAAACATACTATGATCTTTCCTGTTTGTCTACGTGTGTGATGCTATATATAATTTTTATTTTCTTCTTTCAGGCCACTTGTGTTCCAGATTCTTTTGCAGTGAGCATATATATTAGTTTTACGACCAGAAGATAAGCCTTGACAAATGCTATCTTTAAAAGAGAAGAAAATATCGAGGCAAACTGCAGCATGATTTTATAGAAACTGAGTGAAAAAAAAAAAATCCCAGCTAGATGGAGAATTAGATGTTTTCTGGTCAAGAGCTTATTGGGAGGGAAATGACATCAATTTGGGTTCGCATCAGCTTGAGTGAAAAATCATAATGCAAAATGAAAGTACACGGGGCGGGTGCGGGGAGGGGCGCTGAACCCACGCTGGGATTTTGCCGTGTGAATCATCAAGCTAGAAATGACCTCAGGAGGGCATGTGGCCCCGCCCCCACCCCTCACCTCGGGAAGGTTGCCCAGCGACTTTTCAGGACAAATGAGCAATGGTCCTATTTATAAGCCCTCTAGGAACTAAATCTACACACATTTCCTTCCTCCTAAGCTTCAGGCAGTCTTGATTTAGCTTTTGCAGGTGCCCTCAACTAGCATTCTCCAACCTACTTCTCCTTCTGCCTGGAAGAGGCCTGGGAGTTGTCCCAGATCTTTCCTACCTACCCCTGAAGGACCCTGGGTCCTTGAGCAAAACCAAATCCCCCGGAAGTCAGTTTTGTCAGCTGTAAAATAGGGATAGGAAGGATTTGAAGAATGCCTAGCTGGGAGTGAAAAGGAGGCCTTCCAGTGCCAGAGGCCGTGTCTTTAACCATGTCTATACCTCCCTGGTGGGAAAAGGCAAGACACAAACAGAGGTAGCTTGTTTACAACAAATTGACAGGAATTTGAAGTTGCGGGTGGCAAGCTTGTTAAGAAGAAGCCAAGGCCACAGAGATGGGAAGCAGGAAGGGATTGAGAGGAGAGGGTCCAGAGAAAAACAGAGGCAGCTCAGGAGAGCAGTGATTAGCAAGGACATCTCTAGAGCAAGAGAAGCCCCCGGTGTAGGGACAGTCCAGAAAACTCAAGAACCAGGATGCTATATTGCTTTTTTTATTTTTATTTATTTTTTACTTTTTAAAATATTTTGAGATAGAGCCTCGCTCTGTCACCCTGGCTGGAGTGCAGCAGCGCCATCCTGGCTCACTGCAACCTCCACCTCCCAGGTTCAAGTGATCCTCCTGCCTTAGCCTCCCAAGTGCCTGGGATTATAGGTGTGCACCACCACACCCGGCTAATTTTTTGTATTTTTAGTAGAGACAGGGTTTCACCGTGTTGGCCAGGCTGGTCTCAAACTCCTAACCTAAAGTGATCCACCTGCCTCCCAAAGTGCTGGGATTACAGATGTGAGCCGCTGCACCCAGCCAAGAACCAGGATGCTGTGTTCCTGTAATTGACCAGATATGCAGGACTGCAATACCCCTTCCGTTATCCACAAACACTTTTGGGAACCAGCTTTGTGTTCATGATGCTATGAGGCATGGCAGATGTGAGGTGGTCCAGGGGTAACAGAGATGGGGAGAGAGAATGGCAGCTTCAGGAACAGAGGATGATGGCTAAGGACCAGATGACAGTGGTGACCGAGGGCGTAACCCCCACTGACCAGGAGAAGGTATGTCTTTCTGGAAATCTGTGGAGTTTTTGAAGATGTGTCAGAGTGCTGCAGTGGGGCTGAAACCATTTTCTTTGTTTGTTAAAGAGTGATTACTGAGTTCTGAAGAACCTGGGGCTCTCCAGGAGGGAGGTTTTCTGGGTGACAAGTATTAGCAGTGTAAAATGAGTATTAGTGAAGTGCATTGCTAGCAGCATTTTTTTTTTTTTTAAAGGCAGAATCTTGCTCTATCACCCAGGCCGGAGGGCAGTGGCAGGATCTCGGCTCACTACAACCTCTGCCTCCTGGGTTCAAGCGATTCTTGTGCCTCAGACTCCCAAGATTACTCAGGGTTACAGGCACACACCACCATGCCTGGCTATATTTTCAGTAGAGACAGTGTTTCACCATGTTGGCCAGGCTGGTCTCAAACTCCTGGCCTCAAGAGATCTGCCTGCCTTGACCTCCCAAAGTGCTGGGATTACAGGTGTGAACCCCATGCCCAGCCTGCTAGCAGTTTTGATGTTGGTATTGTATTAGTATTAGTATCTGTCTTAGTCTGTTTGTGCTGCTATAACAAAATACCACAAATTGGGTAATTTATCAATTTATTTCTCACAGTTCTGGATTCTGATAAGTCCAACATCAAGGAACTGGCAGGTTTTGTGTCTGGTGAGGGCCCGGTCTCTGCTTCTAAGATGGTGTCTTGAATGCTGTGCCCTCCCACGCAGAAGGCAGAAGGAAAGGCAAAAAAAGAACCAAACTGCCTCCATCAGGCCCTTTTGTGATAGCATTGATCCATTCGTGAAGGCAGAGCCCTCCTGATCTAAACACCTCCCCAAAGGTTCCACCTCCCAACACTATTGCATTAAGGATCAAGTTTCCAACACATGAATTTTGGGGGACACATTCAGATCACAGAAATATCCATATTCCTTCCCCTCCCTCAAGTCCTGGATGAGCTCCTACGTGTATTCTCCTAGGGCCAAATCAATGAACCACTGCCCAGACCCTGCCTCCCTGCATGTTGATGAGAGTGGCATGTGGTATTGAATTAAAAGCCCTCCAGAGGGGAGGAGATACACTTATTGCTCCCTTATCCGCATGCCAGGTCACTTCATCATGAGAGGAAATTAAATTGGCTTGGAATGAATTGCTCCTCCCAAAGCCATGCTGGTCCCTAAACCTTCCTAGATGGCTCCAAAGCTGAAGGGTTGATTATCTATTGCAGCATAACAGATTTCTGCTCAGTTAAATAGCCCAAAGTGACAATACACTCACAGTTTATTCTCTCACACAGTTTATGGTAGGCAGGAAAGAGGGAGTGGCTCATTGCATGGTTGTGGCTTGGGGTTGCAGTCAGGAGGTCACCTGGGCCTGTGGTCATCTGAAGATCTGGGCTGGAGAATCTGCTTCCAAGATGGCTCACACCTGCTGGCAGGTTGACAGGGAGGCCTCTGGTCCTTACTTGCAGGACCCCTCCATAGGGCCACTGGAGTGTCCTCATGACATGGCAGCTGGCTTCCTCTAGAATGAATAACCCAAGAGAATATAAGGCAGAGTCACAACGTATTTGTATTAGTCAGTTTTCACACTGCTATAAAGAACTGCCTGAGACTGGGTAATTTATAAAGAAAAGAGGTTTAATTGACTCAGTTCCACATGGGTAGGGAGGCCTCAGGAAACTTACAATCATGGCAGAAGGTAAAGGGGAAGCAAGGCAAGTCTTACATGGCAGCAGGAGAAAGAGAGAGAGGGGGGAATTGCCAAATGCTTTTAAACCATCAGATCTCATGAGAATTCACTCACTATCATGAGAACAGCATGGGGGAAATCACCCCCATGATCCAATCCCTTCCCACCAGATCCCTCCCTCAACAATTACAATTCGAGATGAGATTTAGGTGGTGACACAGAGCCAAACCATATTTCTCAGCCTCAGAAGTCACGTGCTCTAATTTCTGCAACATCCTATTGGTTACATGGGTCAGCCTTCCTCACCATGGGAGGACACTATCAAGGGCATGAATACCAGGAGGTGGGAATCATTTGGGGCCATCTGACAAGGGCCACTTCCTCTATGCTATAATTCTCAGAACCATTGTTTTTTCTTCTTTGTACATGAGTATAACATTGGCCAATTTTCAGTTATGTAAATAATTATACTAATATTCCCACTTGACATTTGTGCACCAATTTCATCTCCTCAGAGTAATTACTGCCCCATGCTGCAGATGAGAAAATGAAGGCTTGAAGAAGTTAAGTGACGTCTCCGAAGTCCCAAAGTTAAAAAGGTCTGCAGGGCTGGGAACTGTGTTGTGGTTCCTAGTTTAGTGTCCTTTCCATCATACCTCACAGCTGCCATGAAGCCACAAAGACACCTTATGCCTGCTTGTCTTCCAGGGCAAATGGGAATTAAAAAGCAGCTGTAGTGTAGCAAGATAAATCTTATTTTTCTTTAAATTTTTGTATTTCACAGGTGACCCACACTCTTTATGGAAAAGCTATAAAATAGAAATAATTGGGAGTTAAAAAAAATTAAGAAAAGCCATTCCCCCATACTTCTCCCACCCAGATCTACCACTGTTAATATCTTAGTATGTTCCCCTAAGAACAAAGGACATGGTTTTAAAATACGTTACATTAACAGCATTTCCAGGGCAAACTCTGAAGGAAACCTCATCCACTCAGCTTCGCCTGTGGGGAGGAAGTATGTGAAATATGACCTTGAGCATGCAGTAGGCTGTGCATCTGTGTGCGTGTGCAGGTGTGCACACATGTGTAAACGCCTGGTGCTTCTCTGTCCAGGTGGAGAGAGGCTCTGCATATCAGCAGTTAGCCAAGTTGAAGGGGAATTTATTGCAACCTCAGTAGAGAGTGTTTCTTCAAATGAGAGGCAGGGCAGCTCTGGCTTCAGGTGGCAGAAATGGCTTGCCCTCTCGTTTGGTTTAAGTTCCTCTAGGCAGGGAAAGGTTGATTAAGTTTAATTCAATCCATTTGGTCTTCTGAGCTGCCTGCTGAGGTTGGGTCCTTGTGTGCTCCCTTTCATCATATGCCTTACACATGAAATGTCTTGTTTGTGACCAGCTCCCCTGCCCCGCCATGCCCCAACCAGAAGATCAGCCCCAGAGAGGGGGCCTCATCTGCCTTGTTCACCTGTATCTGCCTCTCAGCACCTGCCTCAGGGTCTGGCAGCTTGTATTTCTCAAAATGTGTTTGATTGAATTGAGTGCACGGTTTGGGGGATTGTCCACAAGAAAGTTGCTAGGGGCATCCACAATTTGTATCCAGAAGGAACTAGACCCCACTCAAGGGGCAGAATCAGGGTCCCAGGCACCTTCTCTGTGTCATCTATTTGTAACTCGGGAACCCCAAGGTCAGGTTGCCACCACCTGGAGACAGAAGAGCTAGGGCCACGTTACAAAAAAAAAAAAAAATAATAATTACAAGAACTGCAAGGACTATTCCAAAGTGTTGGGCATCTGTTTTGTCCTGAACTAGAGAGATGAAATGAAATTCACTCTGTTTCATCAATCTTACTCAATTTCAGCTTCTGTGGATTCTTTCCAAGTGCTGGGTTGGGAGGCAGTGAGGTAATATTAAATGTGATGAGCATCAGATTTGGAGTCAAATGCCAGGTCATCTACATTTGAGCTGCATGAGCTGGGGGAGTTTATCTCTCTGAGCCTCAGTTTCCTCATCTATAAAAAAGGAATAATAACACTAAATTTGCAGCATTTTGGTGCTTGAATGAGATAAAAGTGAGAGTCGTTAGCATGATGCCTTGACACAGTGTGCCTAAGAATATGTATTTTTTTCTCTGGGAATATCTCCCTAAACCTTGAAAATCTGAAAGCAGTGCCAGCCACGTGACTCTCAAGGTTTCTGCCCATGAACGGCCTCCCATGAGATTAGGAGATGGTGGAGCATGACTCCAGGCAGTGGGGCACAGGAGCCCACTGGGAAGTCCCAGGAGCACAGCCCCAGCATCGGTCAGGCCTGGATAGGATACCTGGGCCCTGAAGGGAGAATGTGGGTAGGAGGCAGCTCCGGGCTCTGCCCATAGCAGGGTCTCCTTTCTTCTCCTGCTTGGGTGGTGGCAGGTGGTCTTTCTCTAGTAGGAATCCAGGTTTTGGGGTCTGAAGCTCACATCACAGGAAAACCAAGGTTTCAGATGATGACCCAAGGACTCGTACATTATCAAATGGGTTGAGTCTGTCCCCTGTGGGTCCCCTGCCAATCTCCTGCTAGACTCCTTCCTTCCCTTTTGGCATCTTTCTTATCAAAGTGGCTCTTGGTGCTTCAGGCTCTCTTATTGTGGCAACTTCTTTCCCCATCAAAATGCATCCACTAGCACTTTGAGAATGTCCAACTCTCTTGAAACCTAATTGCTTTGACAATCAGATCCAGGGTCACAGTTTGCAGTATGTGACAATTTACAATTAACTGGAATGCTTTCTGAAGATACAGCCTGCATTTTTTGGGCTGGAGGACCAGAAATTACTACAATCCTGCCTCCAGGCTCTTCTGTCTTCCCACAGCATCTGAGAGAGCAGTGACAAGGATTAGGTATTTGTCATCTCTGATCTAGACCAATCCCACGGCCCTATTTTTGGATGAGAAATCTAGGGTTCTGAGGGGTGAAGTAACTTATCCAAAGTCTCTTGGTGACTTTGAGGCAGAACCTGTGGAAAAGAAAACCACAGATCTCCTGACTTCTTTCCTACTGCCTGTCCCTCATTCCAGAACTTTCCATCTCAAAATGTGCTCTCTAGACCAGCAGCATTGATGTCACCTGGGAGCTTATTAAAAATGCTGATGCTAAAATCCAACCCCAGCCTGACTGAAACAAAATCTGCATTTTAATACAAGATCCCCAGTTGATTCACATGCACTTCAGAATTTGAAAACCACTGGGCTAGAACTTAAATTTTTCCCTCTTGTTTCATTTCTTATCAGTACTTCAACCCCAAGGGTCTATGAATCTCCCAGGCTGAAATTAACCCAATCTCAACATATAATGATGTTCAAGGAGTCCTGGTATTATTAAATATAGTACAGTTTTCCATGAGAAAACATTTCTGCCCTGTTTTCTGACATTTTTTTTCATTTTCCTTAATTTAAAATTCTAAAAAGAAAAGCCTCATTAATGGAGTCATTTTTAGAATGGGCAGGAGAATCCAGCACTTTGAACTTAAACAGAAAAGGTTTCATAGAAACTTAATAAACAATCAGACCTGGGTGGTGAAATGTACATGAAAGTGTGTGGTAAATTATAAAGTGGTGCGCAAATGTTACTTATAATTTCCAGGCTGTATGATCACAGAATGATATCCTTCATAAGCCCATTCTGGGTTAAAATGTTTCTCAGGAATATGATGTGAAATTTAAAGTTTTCTAATTATTCTCATTTTATTAGATATCTAAGGAGCTACAGTAGTGGTTATCAACTCTGGTTATGCATGAGAATAACTTGGGGGAGCTTGGTTTAAAAACACATGAGCCTGGGCCCTGGCCCTAGATTTTATTTCTTGAGGTCCTGCAGGTCAGAATTGGTCAAGGGTATGGTTTTAAACACTCCCAGGTGATTCTAATACAGAGTGAGATTGGAGAGCCACTGAGCTGGAAAGTCATTATTTTCCAGGTTTACGGTAAATATATGTGGGTGAGAATTTTATCCATATTTATGATATATCTGATGACCAAAATTTCTAGTTTCTAAATTTTAACAATAATAAGACCATTGGGAGATATCACCTGAATTGAAATACTAATGGTTGCTGATTCTAAATAGTATTGATATGGCAATGACAATTTTGTTAATCATTCACTCTTTCAAAATTTGACATTGCCCCGCTACTATCGATGGTATCAAAGACTGACCTACATCTAACAGTCCATTTGTGTACAGGCTTACACCCTGGTGTCAACAACTGAATTCTTAGGTTCCATATAGTATTTATTCTAATGATTAGAACTTTTTGACAACACAGGCTTGAAAGAGTATTCATGAGGACCTAAAAGCCCTAAGTTCTAGGTAGTGCTCTTTCCCTGAGTTGGCTGATGTTGATTCAATTTCCTGCTCTGAAAAATGACAGTGTTGGCCCAGAGGAGCTCAAATCTGGCTGACCATCACATTCACCTGGAGAGCTTTTCAAAGCCGCAGATTTCAAGGTCCCAGACTTTGAAGGGGAAGGGGGAATGTTGGAAATCCGGATTTTCAAAAGAATCTTTGGAAGATCAGCTGTGTTTGGGAGCCACTGGACAAGATAAGCTTCCAAGTCCTTTTCTGCTCTAAGAGTCTACGGCATTAGATCCACTTAGTTAAATTCTTATATAAGAAAAAGCTGATCTGGGAGCAGGCCTGCCCAGCGGGCAGGGCCTACAGAGAGAGAGAACAGAAAACCGAAAAAACAGTAAAAGGCCTCATCTTTGACTCCCTCCTCTGTATGTCTCAAGGTTTTGTGTTCATGTGGTTTCTGTTCATATCTTTTCATCATAGTCATATTGCTAAATGTTGAACTGTCATTTCATCACATTACCTTTAAAAACTGTTGGAAACAATGTTCTCGGAAGGAATAATCACTTTTCCTGCTACCCATTTCACCTCACTTCTGCTCCAAGACTAAGTTTCAGTAGGCAGAAGAATCTCCCTGGGAAGACTGTTCAAAATACAGATTGCTTCCTGGCATGGTGCCTCATGCGTGTGATCCCAGCATTTTGAGAGGCCAAGGCAGGCAGATCACTTGAGCTCAGGGGTTCGAGACCAGCATGGGCAATATGGCAAAACCCCATGTCTATTAAAAATACAAAAAATTAGCTGGGCATGGTGGCACGAGCCTGTGGTCTCAGTTACTCAGGAGGCTAAGGTGGGAGGATTGCTTGAGCCTGTGAGGCGGAGATTGCAGTCAGCCTAGATCACACCACTGCATCCGGCCTGTGAGACACAGCCAGACCCTGTCTTTAAAAAAAAAAAAAAAAAAAAAAAAAGATTTCTGGGCTTCCCCTTGATTCTAACTCAAGAGATTTGGAGTTTGGTCCAGAGACCTGCATTTTTACAAGCATCCTGGGTATCCTATCTGCTTTTGATCTCCCTGTACAATTTAGTATGTAGCCTTTCCCCAGGTTTCCTTTACGGTAAGAATCTCATGGACTCATCGACAAGTAAACTAAGAAATAAAACATGCTATATCCATACAATGGAATATTATTCAGTCGTAAAAAGGAATGAAGTATTGATATACAGGACAATGGTAGATGAACCTTGAAAACATTATGCTAAGTAAAATAAGCCAGACGCAAGAGGCCACATATCACATGGTTCCATTTATATGAAATATCCTGAGTAGGCAAATCGATAGAGACAGAAAGTAGATCAGCGGTCGTCAGGGGCTTGGAGGGAGAGAGGAATCGGGGGTGACTGCTAATGGGTGTGGGTTTCTTTATGGGGTGATGAAATATTCTCAGATGGTGGTGGTAGTTGCACAACTTTGTGAATATAATAAAAACCACTGAATTGTATAAAAGGGTGAATTATATGGTATGTGAATTATACCTTAATTTTTTAAAAAGGCAAAAAAAAAAAAAAAAAAAAAAAAGAATGCCCTGGGCAATTGTTTAGAAAAACAGATTCCCAGGGCCCACTGAAGCCGACTGATTTACCACTTCCAGTGGAGGAATACAAGAATCTGTTTTTTAATATCCACCCCCCATCAAGTGAATCAAAAGGGAAGTTTAGGAAACCTTATCAAAAGGGAAGTTTGGCACACTGGAGGCCTGAGCCATCTTTCTGCACGGACCCTTCAGTCCCATCGGTGCCTACTGATGGATGAATGGATTTTTAAAATGTGACATGTACACATGTCTTAGCCCATTTTGTGCTGCTATAACAGAATGCCATAGACTGGGTAATGTATAAAGACATTTATTTCTCACAGTTGTGGAAGCTGGGGAGTTTAAGAGCAAGGTGCCGGCAGGCTTGGTGTCTGGTAAGAGCCCTATCTCCACTTCCAAGATGGCACCTTGAACGCTGTCTCCTCTGGAAGGGAGGGACACTGTGTTCCTCACATGGCAGAAAAGCAGAAGGACACAGACAGAGAACCCACTCCCCAAAGCCCTTTCTAAAAGGCACTAAACCCACCCATAAGAGTGGAGCCCTCATGTCTTAATCACCTCTTCAGGGTCCTACTTCTTCATATGGTTCCAATGGCAATTACATTTCAACATGAGTGTTGGAGGGGACAAACATCCAAACCACAGCAACATACAATGAGCTATTATTCAGTCTTAAAGAGGAAGGAAATTTGGACACATGCTACAACATGGATGAACCTTGAGGACATTATGCTAAATGAAAAAACCAAACACAAAAAGACGAAGACTGTATGCTTTTATGTGTATGAGGTACCTAGTATAGTCAAATTCATAGATACAGAAAGTAGAATGGTGGTTTCCAGAAGCTGGGGGGAAACAGAAATGAGGGTTGTTGTTTAATGAGTACAGTTTCAGTTTTTCAAGATGAAAATTCTGGAGGTCCGTTGCACAACAATGTGAATATATTTAACACTATGAAAGTGCACACTTAAAAATGGTAAAGATAGTTTTCTTTCTTTATTTTTGAGACGGAGTCTCGCTCTGTCACCCAGGCTGGAGTGCAGTGGTGTGATCCCAGCTCACTGTAGCCTCTGCCTGCCAGTTCAAGCAACTCTCCTGCCTCAGCCTCCCAAATAGCTGGGATTATAGGTGCCTGCCACCATGCCTGGATTAATCCCAGCACTTTGGGAGGCCAAGGCGGGTGGATCACCTGAGGTCAGGAGTTTGAGTCCAGCTTGGCCAACAGGGTGAAACCCCATCTCTACTAAAACTACAAAAAGTAGCTGGGCGTGGCGCCACACGCCTGTAATCCCAGCTACTTAGGAGGCTGAGGCAGGAGAATCTCTTGAACCCGGAAGTGGAGGTTGCAGTGAGCTGAGATCTTGACACTGTACTCCTGGCCTGGGTGACAGAGCGAGACTCCGTCTCAAAAAAAAAAAAAAAAAATAGTTTTTTTTTTTAAAAAAAGACTGTGGCTTCCATTTCGAGCTCCCTCACTCTGTCTTGCTGTGCTTACTCTGTTGTTCACTGGCTCTCTCTTTCAGATCACCAGCTGCCATGTTGGGAGGACACTCAGGCAGCCTGTGGAGGAACTCCCATGGTGAGGAGTCTGCCAACAATCGGATGAGTGAACTTGGACATGTATCTTCCCAGGCCTGCCAACATGTGAATAGGCTGGGAAGCGGATCTTTGACCCCTATGTTGAGCCTTCAAATGAAACCACAGCCCTGGTGAACAGCTTGTTGCAACCTTATGAGATACCTCAGAGCAGCAGTCCCCAACCTTTTTGGCACCTGGGACCAGTTTCGTGGAAGGCAATTTTCCCACAGACCGGGGTTGGGGGGTGGGGATGGTTTTGGGATGAAACTCTTCCACCTCAGGTCATTAGCCATTAGAGTCTCATAAAGAACACACAACCTAGATCCCTCTTAACACTCCTATGAGAATCTAATGCTGCTGCTGATCTGGCAGGAGGCGAAGCTCAGGCAGTAATGCTCACTCGCCCACCGCTCACCTCCTGCTGTGTGGCCTGATCCTAACAGGCCATAGACCAGTACCAGTCTATGACCTGGGGGTTGGGAACCCCTGTCTTGGAGTACAGGTACCCAGCTGAGCTGTGGAAGATTCTCAACACAGGGAATGTGTAGAATAATGAAGATTTATTGTTTTAAGCCACTAAGTTTTGGAGTAATTTGTTATGCAGCAATAGGTAACTAATACACCATCAAATGCATTTTGCTCAGTCAGATTGCAAGGCAGAACCTACTAGAGCTCCAGCTGCAACCCTGTTTTTCAGGATATAAAAGTATATATATTGTGGTAGACCAAATAATGAGCCTCCCAAAATGTCCACGTTCCTAATTTCCTGGAACATATTGTGAGTGTGTTACACTACAAGACAAAAGGGACTTTGCAGATGTAATTAAAGTTACAAACTTTAAAATACATTATCTTAGATGAGCTGAGTGGGTCCAATCTAATTACCTGAGCCCTTAAAAACAGAACTTTGGCTGGAGGCAGGAGAGATTTGCCAGAAGTGGAAGTTGGAAAGATTCAAAGTGTGAGAGGACCTCACTGTTGCTGGAAAAGGCAACGTGTAAAGCATGAAAATGAAGATGGGCCGCCTCTAGGAGCTAAGACTCCACCCCAGTTGATAGCCAGCAAGAAGACGGGGATCTGGGCTCTGCAACTGTCAGGAACTGAACAACCTGAAAAACCCTGAAAGCAATTCAGTGCTGGAGTCTCCAGAAAGGAATGCAGCCCTGCTAACACCTTGATTTTGGCCCTGTGAAAGCCAGGGAAGAAAAACCAGTAGCGCCAACTGGGACTTCAGACCTACAGACGTCTAAGATAAATAAATTTGTATTATTTTCAGTTCACTAAGTTTGGGGTAATTTGTTATGGCAGCAATAGAAAACATATCTATATATATGATATTTATTGGTTTTCAGTACTTTCCTACCAAGTGTCATTGCTATGCAGACGCTGCACAATGCTGTTTATCGTTTTCCACTTACTCTGCTGAAGCAGTCATTCACTCTCTCAGTGTCTCTGTGTATTGCAGGGTTGAATGTTCCATGCATTGTTTTTAAGGCTCTCTTGGAAAGACACTCCTTCTTTGGGAGGCTGGCGTCTGGCTGGAGAAAGACTGAATGCCTGCTGGTTGTTTCTGAGGCTACTAATCAATATTTACCATTAGGATGACAGCTCCATGCATCACTAAACTTTGACCTTTGTGCCCCAGAGCAGTCCCAAGATGCCAATTGATGTACGGGCAATATACATATTCCATGAACACAATACCCCTTTCATAGACTTTCCTGAATTAAGTTTTAGAGGTGCTGGCAATAGCAAAATAATGTTGCTAGTGTACCAGCGAGCTCAGGATATTTAGAAAGAGTGCTTGGATTGAAGTAACAGTGTTTATGATTTTTTAAAAGATCTTTTGGATGGATACTGTGTATGGACTGCTGACTAGATGTCCCTGTCTTCAGCATAACTGGGTGATGTTGGCATCAAGGGTCCGTTAAGCCAGCCTTGAAAACAAGCACATGCCTATAGGCCCAAGACCTGTGGTATTCCCAGTAAAAGGTGTTGATACTTCAAATGACATCAATTGCCAAACAGCTGTTTGGACTAAAACCAAATGATTAATTAGGCTTTCAAGAGGCAGTTATTTTGATTAAAGGGACCATATATGAATGGCCTTTGGCAATTTCTTATATCTAATCAGAGAGGTCCACACACTCAGCCCTTGTGTGGAACCAGTGGGTGATGAACAGCTCAAGTCAAAAAGGGTTTATCAGAAGAGAAGATGCATGGAGCCCCATTAAAGAAAGGGTAGCCGAGACTCATAGGAGCTGAAAAACCATTAGGAACCAAGGAAGGCTATTCCTTCCATCTCTTTCCCTCTCTCTTCGTAGCTACTTAGCCTCTCATCATTGCTTTCCCCTGGAATTCTCTGCTTGTTAATGCCCAGGGCCAAAAATTCCATCAGCTTTGATTTTATATCACTTTCAACTCTGTGGAACTGATTCTGAGTCTGAATTCATTTATTTATTTATTTTTGAGATGGAGTCTTGCTCTGCTGCCCAGGCTGGAGTGCAGTGGTGCGATTTTGGCTCACTGCAACTTCTGCCTCCCCAGTTCAAGTGATTCTCCTGCCTCAGCCTCCAAAGTAGCTCCACCGTGCCTGGCCTGAGTCTGAATTCAAATTCACCCAATTTTAAATTCCCAGGACAGAATCTGATTGGCTTAGTGTGATCTGGTGTCTAGCTGTGGTCCAATCAGCTGTACCCAGGATGAATCAGGGGACATATGACATGGTGGGAGCTGGCTCTTCCAAGTGACAGATGAGGCAGGGAAGAGATGACAGAACACCTCCAGAATATTTTCTGAACTGATAATAGCAGATGCCTCTTTGCTACTTCTTTTTTTCACCCATCTGCAAACCTGTTAAAGGGAAAGGACATTTTTTTCATTTTTGTCTTCACTACCATACTTAGCTAAGTGCCTCAGCCAGAGAAGATGCCTAATAAATTTTTAAAAAGATATAAAGGTGGTCATGTTTTTTCCAATCATACATACTTTTTTTTTCTTTTTTATTTCTTTTCTTTTTTTTTTTGGAGTCAGGGTTTCACTCCGTCACCCAGGCTGGAGTGCAGTGGTGCGATCTCGGCTCACTACAGCCTCAACCTCCGGGGCTCAAGTGATCCTCCTGCTTCAGCCTCCCTAGTAGCTGGGAGTACAGGTGCATGCCATCACACCTGGCAAATTTTTTTTTTTTTTGTAAGTTTTTTAGAGACAGGGTTTCGCCATGTTGTCCAGGCTGGTCTCAAACTCTTGGACTACAGTGATCTGCCCACCTCGGCCTCCCAAAGTGATGGGATTACAGGTGTGAGCCACCACACCCAGCCCAATCATACATGCTTCTAATAGTGCTAATCATAATCCAACTTGGTATTGAGGCAAAAAAAAAAAAAAAAGAAAAAGAAAAGAAAGGGGGTCATATATTCTGATCACTCCTGAGTTCTTTCTTCCAGCACTGCTTAGGTTAATAATGGCTATTATTTACTGTTCATTTTCCATGGGGCAAGAATTGCATAAAGTGCTTTATACGTTATTATCCCATTTATCCACTATAATAATCCTTTAAGGAAACCAGAGCTCACAGAAGTGAGCTCAACTTGCCTAACTACACACAGTTCCAAAGTACTATGGCCAATTGTAAACCTAAATCATAGCCCAGTCCTCTTAAGAACTGTATTGTCTTTCCTCCAGTGCTATGAGGAATTGTGAATGAGGCTGAGAGATGAGGCTAAAAGGAGAGGTATTGGCTGGGTCAATGCCAATTTTGTGGAACTAAACAAAATGGTTCCATTCTAACAGTTTTTGAAAGCATTTTGAACATGGCCTTGGGCCTTTCATGGTTCTGAGGATTTCCTACAACACCTCTTAATTGAGTCTTTCCAGGCTGAGCTGCAGGATTTAAGTAATTCAACAACCAAAAAGTTCTCAGAATTTCCCTCCTTTTCCTTTTAGCTGAGTGAGAATGTGTCCCCCAGCTTTCTGCTTTTAACAACTGAAAAATAATCTGGAAATCTGAGTCAAGACCTGGGTCAAACCTGCCATTTTTTATCGTACCTTGCACAGTGAGGGCCAAATTCAGCCTGGCCTCCACTCACCAAATCATGTACTCTGGCACAAGGCTGTACTGCCCAGAGGAAGAGATGCTGTGTTCCAATTCACATCCTAAACCACGCTGTGGGTGGCTTGTGGGCTAGGGGCAGCCTTGGATGGATATAACATTGTTTCAGATATCCCCTGCTTTAGATTTTGATTATGACTTGTGATCATTGTATTTCTGGATAGTATCTCTAATCTCTATTTTGGAGAGAGGAATCCAAATTCTAGAAGTCATTCTCAAGGGAAAGAGGGGCTGATATTGGTACCTAGAACTGGGTTTCTGCATGTTCACTGGAGGGTTTTCTTTTGTCACCTTCTGGCTTGTCTCCCACACACCCCTAGTCCCATCCACAGAGGGCAATCTGGGCAGCTTTGGGACTTGGTTTAGCAAAACAACTGAGTGAAGATACAAACTAAGGAAATCCAGTGTTATTCCTGAGAAAGCCTGGCTTGTCTTAGAGGTTTTTTATTGTAGTTTTTTTTTGTTTTTGTTTTTGTTTCTGTTTTTTTTGAGACAGAGCCTTGCTCTGTAGCCCAGTCTGGAGTGTAGTGGCACAATCTTGGCTCACTGCAACCTCCACCTCCTGGGTTCAAGCAATTTTCCTGCCTCAACCTCCCAAGTAGCTGGGACTATAAGCGTATATCACCATGGCTGGCTAATTTGCGTATTTTTCGTAGAGACAGCGTGTCACTATGTTGGCCAGGCTGGTCTCAAACTCCTGACCTCGGCTGATCTGCTCACCTCAGCCTCCCAAAGTGCTGGGATTACAGGCGTGAGCCACCGCACCTGGCTGTCTTTGATTTCTTTCTAAGGAAGGTGAAAATCCTCTCTCCAACCCACAAGACACTATGGGCACAGCTAAAGTGTTACACAGTATTTTGTTTCTAGGCACTGTTAAAATGCCTTTCCAACATGCTGCCATGATTTTAATTGTGTATGTGTGTTCATCCTGAAGTATATACATTTTAGAATATATGTGGAATGGAATTTGGATTTTAAGGGGACAGAAAGACTGTGAATTTTAAGATCTCCTTCCTTCTGCCCCAGGTGTTCATTTGATACCTAGAGATATTTATGCATGGCAGTACCTAGGGAGTACCTAGGCAGTAAAGTGTAGGAGGTAAAAATGATCAGTCTGGAGGGACAGATCTGGGTGGGTTCAAATCTCATCTCTGCCACTCACTAGCTGTACCTCCTTAAACAAATTCATTAAACACTCTAAGCCTCATTTTCCTCAACAAAGATGGTAAAAGCTTCTTCTTCATAACTTCATTGTGAGGTTCAGTGAGCTGATGCATGTATAATAGAATGCTTAGCATAGAGCCAAGAACATAACACCCAGAAATGCCAGCTCTTCTTCTCAGAAATCAAGATGCAAACCTCAATTCTGGTTGGAAACATGTTGAACATCCAAGACAGCTTTTGTACTCTTTTGTTGGGGGCCCCCTGTTTCCTCAGTGTGAATCCCCTCAGAATTTGTTCACTGTCCCCCAAATCTCATCTGTGTGGCTGCTCCAACCAAGGAGAACCTCTGGTTGCCATGGCATACATTTATCCGGTGAGCATGCTTAATGATCTCGTTCTCCAGGTCCCTGGAGTACAATGTAAGACTAGTGAGCTTGTTAACAAGGGTGCAAAGCTGGTAAGAATGGGCTGTCCGATGTATTTGCTTTAGTTACAAAGTTGTGTGGGAAAATGGAATTGCTGAAAACTCAGGACACTCCTAGAGAATGCTCATGGCAGCAGATTTTCCATTCTCACATGCAATTGCTTCCACCTCCAGGGTATAACAAAACCTTCCAGCGACTTCTTTTTATGTAAGGAGATAGTAGAATGCAGTCAGCTGGGCTGAGGTTGGGCTGAGAGAGCTGTGGGTTGGATGCTGCTAGCTGAGAGACTGGGCAAATTATTGGACCTCCATATACCTCAGTTTTCTCCTCTGCAAAATGGAAATATTAATAGCATCCATCTCACTTGTATTTTGAGGATTAATTGAGATAATGAATATAAAGTGCCTGGCACATAGTAAGCAATCAATAAGAACACTTTATCATCAGCACCATCTTCATAATTACTACCTAGCTCTTGGTATTACGGGGTGTAGAATATAAGCTCTGCAAAGCAATCAGCCTTCTGCCCAACATTGGTATGCTATTAATGGTGGATATTAAAATGTTTCTGCTGTGAATATCAACTACAGAAGCGAATTACTCTTTTTGAAGCTCTCCAAGGGCTTGCCTCATTCTGTAAGGCCTCTGGTTTGCCCTCTATAGCTTGCCCTCACCCTGTGAAAGGATGATTTCCTGCAGCAGACACCATTGGTGGCCACCCCCATTGCGAGTCCCCCTTCTCCCTTGTGAACAGAACACAAATTTTGCTTAGGCAGCCACGTGCCTAGCCCCAGGGTAAAAAGCCTGATTAATGCAAGCCATTTATGGCAGTCTCATTTGGCTTTACCTTAGTTGGTCTAGGTGAGGGCATGTGAATGCATTCTGGCCAATGAGACATAAGGGGAAGTGTCATAATAAAAGGAGAGAGGAACATGAGGTGAGCCTCATCTTGGTCCCTGCCCTCTTCCTCCCTGCTTTAGCTACCGTCATGGGATGCTTGGAGCTGCAAGCTGCTATTTTGGGACCATGAGGGAGATACAAGCATGAGGACAAAAGCCAACACTGTTAAGATGGCAGAGCAGAAAAATAGGAAGAGTCCAGATTCTTAATGACATTGCTAAGCTGCCAAATCAACTTGGAGGCTGCTGCTCTCCAGACTTCTTTCTTAGTATACAATAACTGTTCTTATGATTTGGGCTACTGTTAATCTGGTTTTCTGCTAATTAATCAGTATACTCCTTTTCTGTTTGCCAAGCCTGGAAAATGACTGCTATTCAAATTCTGCTGAGATATAAAGACATTCTGTTCTTATTTTCTTCCTCTACATTTGGGTAGTCAAGTGTCTTTAAATAAATTCCACCCTCACTATTAAAGTGAAACTGTTGTTGAAAAGGTCATCAATGACCTCCTGATTGACATGTCCAATAGCTCCATCTGATTTTGCATTCTGCTGAACCTCTGTTCCATTAAACAGCTTGACCATGTTCTCATTCCTAAAGTGAATCCTTCCCTCAGTGGGCCTCACTGCTCTTTCTTTCTACTTCTCTGGCCCCTCCTCTGTGGTCCCTTCTTTCTGCCTCCTTACCTACCTACGAACCCTGACATTCTGCCCTTTGCCTTCTCTTCTCTCACTCAGCACTTTCCTGGCATGCTGCTTTCACTTCTAAGATTTTGGTTACCATCTGTGGGTGCTAGCAATGGTCCCATTCATATCTCATAGACAGATCTTTTTGCAGCACCAGATGTGAGCAGAACATGCCCAACTGGATGTCCTCATAGGACCGTCAACATCGCATTTCCTAAACTGAACTGTGTCCCTTTACAAGCTTCTCTATAACACACTTCACCACTCATACTAGCCCACAGCTAGAAACCCCAGAGTCATCCTAAGCAATTCGTTCTCTCCCAATATCCAATTCATCACCAAGTATGAAAATTTCTCTATTCTCAGGAGTCTATTGCAGCTTCCCCATGTTCACTGCAACAGCCTCCATTTATCATTTCTATAGTGCATAAGGTTTCACCTGCCTCCAATCTCTTCCCTCTCCAATCATCTGCATTGCTGGTAGAGTGGGTTTTCTAAAAGCAAACTGAATCATCTCACTGGCTTTAAAAATGTCCAAGAGGGTATGTGTGTATGTGAGCGGGGGTATGATGTGGAGACTGTATTAGCCATCATGCCCTCCAAATAAAGTCCACATTTCATAGCACGGCATAGAAGGCCCTCTAGTCTCTCTGAGTACACACTGATTTTTGCATTTCGTCTCCTACGACCTCCCCTCACTGTCTCTGTATCCTGAGCTCAAGCTCCTGTGAATTCCTCTTTCCTTCCACTATTTCCTCTGATTAGATGGTGGACATCAATTCTCAGCACTCTGAACTCCTGGCATCATTCAGTTCTCAAGTCAAACTGCACTTCTTCCCAAAAGCATTACTTGACCCAAGGACCACACCTGAGTTTCTCAACCTCAGCACTACTGGCCTTTAGAGTTGGATAATTCTTTTTGTGCGGGGGCTGACCTGTGCCTTGTAGATGTCTAGCAACATCTCTGGCTTCTGCTCACTAGATGCCAGTAGCAACCCCGCCAACCCATGTGACAATCAAAAATGTCTTCAGACACTGTAAATGTCACCTGTGGAGAGTAACTTCCCCCAGTAGAGAACTATGAAACTAGACCAGGTCTCCTTCTTATCATCCATAGCTTCCTGGTCTTCCTTGATCACCACACTCACGGCACATTTTTATTTTATTTTTTGAGACACAGTCTCACTCTGTCACCAGGCTGGAGTGCAGCGGTGATACCTTGGCTTACTGCAACATCTGCCTCCCAGGTTCAAGCAATTCTCCTGCCTCAGCCTCCTGAGTAGCGGGGATTACGGGCACCCACCACCATGCCTTGCTAATTTTTGTATTTTTAGTAGAGGCAGGGTTTCACCATGTTGGCTAGGCTGGTAATAAACTCCTGACCTCAAGCAATTTGTCCACCTTGGCCTCCCAAAGAGCTGGGATTACATGCGTGAGCCACCACGCCCAGCTCGTGACACATTTTTGAAGTGACTTGTCTGATTGTCTCATCTGCTTCCAAAGGCTGTTATCTAGGAGGGCATGGCACCCAGTAGGCATGCAGTCTAGCTTCATGGAAGAGTGGGCTCTGTGATGGGAGCAACTTCATCTGTCATCTTCATCATTATAGCTTTAGTAACCAGCGTGGTGTTGGCACATAATAGGTGCTCAGTAAGTATGTGTCGAATGAAGGAATGATTGAATGCTCCCATTCAATCACTTCTTTCTCTCTAACCGAAGAATCCTAGTTGGGGTTTTGAGCCTTGTCTTCTCTTCCCTCATAATATTATCACAAATGGCCCTGTTCCCTAGTACTTAGTACACTGGATAACAATGACAATCAAGACAATAGGTGAAATCATGTTTGTGGGAAAAATGATGCTCTATTTTGAGGGCTCTTTCTAAAAACAGAAAAACCAAGTCCAGTGCTGTGCCCAGCAACCTCATGGTCTAACTTGTCCCTCTACTGCCACGCCTGCTGTGCCCCTGGCAGCTCTCAACCACACCCATCACACACACACTGGCCCTAAGTGGAGGAATCACTCAGGGCTGCTGAGATTTGAAAGCTCACTTCCACTCCAAAGCATCATCGTGCCTCGCTCCTCGCTGACTGTAACCCCAGCCCCCTGCACTGCATTCTGCCAGTGAGTGATTACACGGAGCTCACTCGCAAGCCTCTCCTGGGCATGGGAACAGTCCTCTCTGCAGCGTGCTCTCCACCTGATGACCTGAAATGAAGAGGCCAGTGAGGGCTCCACAGCAGAAGGGAGTCTCGATACTATTCAGGCAAACAAACATTAAAAAACGGTTGGTAGAAAGGAAATCTGCCTGCTAGGGAGAAGAGTCTGGTACTCAGAGTAGAGGTGGGTAGCTCTTCATGCACAGTAGATGGTGAATATGCATCCTTTATATGCATCCTTTAATCACAAAGCCTGTGGAGAGAAGATGCTGTAGTTATTATTTATACTTGGCATCCAATCTTCCACATAAATAACAGCACCGAGGTCTGGTGTTTGGTTTAAGTCAGCTCCGTTTAAACAGCCTGGCCAGGTGCAGACACACACTCTGGACCTTTGAACTCTGTGTGTTGTAATCCAGATGTTTGGTCAAGGTGATGAACTTGGGTCACTGACGGTGAGAGAGTGTGCGCTGCCCTCTTCTAGCATCTTCCACTGGGAGCCCTGGACAGTAGGCCTGGCCCCAAGCCCACTTTCTTCGCCAGAGTCAAGAAACAGTAGCAGCTGCAGTTGTTGCTAGGGATGAGGGATCATCCACTTGGGAGTTGAGATAGCTGGGAGGGGGAGGTGGGTAGCAGGAAGGAGGTCATGAAATTGACCGTGCTTAGCTGCTGCCCACGTTTGGATTACTCGGAGACAGTCTGCAATGGGGGAAATATTAGGCTTTTAATGACAGCCCTGACAAACATGATCCGTATGACCAAATGAATCTTAAATGCAACTGCTATCATTTGTTAAAGGAGGATTTGCCAAGTGGCACGGTTCTCCTAGAGTTTTCCTAGTCCCACACTTTGCCTCAAACACGTACACAGAGCGAGGGGTTTGAACTTTCTGAGTTTCATGCAAAGCACATATGTTGTTTGGGTTTTGTTTTGTTTGTTTTTATTTTTGCAAAATATGTTATATAAGAAAGAAGAATATATCAATGAAATGGTAAATACAAACCCTCCAAAAGGATATAACATATTTCTAATGAAAGGAAACAACCACCTTTGCTTTATCCACACAAAAAAATTTAAAAAGATGAAGAGGGGCCATTTTCATTCACAGATTGTGGAATCCTACTGTTTAGTGCTCTCCAAATGAGTATTTTTGAGGCATGACTTCAATGGGAATTCTCAAAAGGAAGCAGCTCCTGGCATAGCAAAGAGAACACTGACGTTGGCAGCCAGGCAGCTTGGATTCCGGGCTTGACCGCTGACCCCTGCTTCCTGGCTTCCAGCCCCAGCACTCCACTCAAAGTGTTCTTGTCAAGGGTACCAGTGACCTTCTAATTGCTAAATCCAAAGGGCATTTTTCAGCCCTCTTCTGACCTGACCTCTCTTCAGCCAGATGACATAATTGCCAACTCTTTCCTCCTTGAAGTTCTCTTACCCTGTGGCTTCAATGACACCATCCCATCCTGGCTATCCTCTAGCTTTCTCCATCACTCCTTCTAAGACCCTCTTCTAGGCTGCTCTCTTTTTCCTCAACAGCTATGGGGTAGCAACTGTGGACTGAAGGCTTTGTGTTTAGGCTTTGTATGCCTCTTCGTATCAACAATTCATAGCATTCCTGGGCTTATTGGTTCCATTTTAAAGATAAGAAAACATCAGTGATGGCTCATGACTATAATCCCAGCACTTTGGGAGGCCGAGGCGGGCAGATCACTTGAGGTCAGGAGTTCCAGACCAGCCTGGCCAACATGGTGACACCCCATCTCTACTAAAAATACAAAAATTAGCTGGGCATGGTGGCACACGCCTGTAATCACAGCTACTTGGGAGGCTGAGGCCCAAGAATCATTTGAACCAGGGAGGCAGAGGTTGCAGTGAGCCGAGATCATGTCACTGCACTCCAGCCTGGGTGACAGAGCGAGACTCCATCTCAGAAAAAATTAAATTAAATTAAATTTAAAAAAAAAGATAAGAAAACTGAGGCTCTGAGTGATTAAGGGATCCTCACCCAAGGCGGCATAGCTAATAAGTAGCAGGAATGGGAATCCCAACCTAGGTCTGTTTGAATCCAGAGTCAAGTTCTCAGCTATTAAACTCTAATGGTGCCTTCTCAAGTAGCCCCTCCCTTAAATAGAGGTGTTCTCCAGAGTTCTGTGTTTGGCTCCTTTTTCTCCTCTCTGCCCCTGTCTCAGCTGGGGCTTCTTCTCAGCCTTTCCTGTAGTTAACTCCTCTATGATATCTTCAGCCAAAATCTGTCTTCTGATGCTGGTTTCCAACTGTTTTCATGCTATCTCCATTTGCATGTGACACAGCCTCCTTGTAGAGGTGGGGTGGTGTACTCCCCAACTGCCATTTCATTCCTGATGGTTGGCTAAAGCCAGTGATTATTTTAGGAGTGGGCTCATGACCCAATTCTGCCAGTAAGACACGAAGGGGAAGATTGCTGGGGACGTCTGGGAAAGGTTTTTCTCCCTCCTAAGAAGACACATGAAAAAATGGTCCCTCTTCTTCCTTTCGATGCTGCACCTTGTAATATTGGAGTGGTGACAACTGTCTGCAGCCATGAGGAGAACCAATGTCAGGTTGAAGCTAGTAAGAAAAGGATGGAATCTGTGTGCTTACGAACAAGTTGATTGTACCTCATCTGGGACTGGAGCTTTCAACTATGTTGAATATTAATAATACATTTCCTCACGGTTTGTATGGGTTTGTTGTTGCTGTGGTGGTTGCTACTTGCAGACACAAGCGTCCCAAATAACACACTGTATTCATCATATCTGTAACTTAGGTCAATATTTCCTCCTCTAAACAGCCTCTCCTCCTGTGACTCTATCTCTGTGAATAGCACCACGATCCACTCAGTCACCCAAGTCAGAAACCTGGGTATTATTCTTGACTCCTCCCTCTGCCTTATCCAGAGTGTCCAATCATGAATTAAGTCCAGCAGCTTTTACTGTTGGAAATCTCTTCATTTTTTCCCAGAAACCCTCTCCGTGTCTTTTTTAGTTATTTGTTATTTTTACTGGTCTTCTGTTCCCTTTCTCACTCTGATCCAAGCTACTACTATCTGCATTGTTCCTAAAGACATTTAAAAAATTTCAATGTAAATTCTATAAATTTCCCAATTATAGTCTGTGAATAGGCCGTCATTCTCTTCAAGATAAAATCTAACCATCATCAGTGAATAGCCCACCGTTGTCTTCAAGATAAAATCCAACCAATCAGCATGGTTCGTAAGATGCTTCAAGGCAGAGCTTACCTCTCTGGATGCTCACATCCACCAATCCACATGCACTCCAAGTTCCAGCACACTGGTTGCCTTGCAGTCCACAAGGCTCTTCTCCTTAGTGTCACCACATGTGCTGTTCCCTGACCTTGGATACCCTTCCTGACTTGTTTCCCTGAACCATACTGCTTGGCCAGTATGCTCCCATACACTTTGATGTGTGTCTCTCATAACATAGCAGGTAGGAATTTCAGACATGCCAGAAATGTCTTTCCTTATTGTTCTCTCTCTGTCACCTTGATTTTTATTTTGAACCCATATCCTGACTCAATTTCAGTGCTAAGGGGGGTGTCTATCTGGTCTCAGGGCATGTGTTAATCACAGGTTGCCATAGAGATATCCCTAGTTTCCCCTTCATGGCCCCTTCAAGTCCAGGAGTTGTCTTGGCAATGCCCAACCCAGGCTAGAGATCCTGGAGGCTCTGCACAGTGGCCTGTACATAGACACACAACCACTGCCACTCCTGCTCCGGGGTCCGGCCACCTTCCCACAGCCCCATTTGTAGGCAGGCTCCCCCTCCTCTCTGGCCCACAGCCCCCTCTACCTTATGAACTTTTCATCTTCTCTCCTTCCCCGGTGCCTGGAGGAAGCACTCCCCTGACCTTCCTCCTTCCAAACATTTGTCTATCCCCCACCTACTCTCAGTTCTCCTACCAGGGACTTCGGGGGTTTAGAATTACGGATCAGGGAACACGAGAGGCAGAGATTGACGGGCCTTTTTTGCTTCTCCTCTGCCACATTTCCTAAGACGGGCAGCATCAACAGTCTGCTTGAGAAAGGGGAAAATACTGGCAGACAAAAGAACATAGGGTGACAAGTGACCAATCACCCGGCCACCTCCCTGTTCCCATCACCTGCTCATGTGCCTCCTTCTTCCAGACTGTGAGGCCTGCAGTGTCCGTGATCCTTGTATTGTCAGCACGTGGTATCTGGCTCATAGTAGGTACTTCATAAATATCTGTCAAGACTAAAAATAAAAGTAAGAAGAGAATGGACTTGGAGTCAGGAGACCTGAATGCATCCCGCCAACTGTCTTCCCAGTTGTGTGACCTTGGGCAAGATACCCTACCTCTCTTCTCTTGGCGGTAGCAACAGGGAGAAGAAGCTCTGAAGAGGTGAGGGACATGGCGCCCTTCAAACCTCTGCAGCTGGTACTTCCCCCTCTTCCCAGCCTTCTCAGATTCTGGCTCCATTTTACCATCTTCCTGTCATGCTTCAAGTGACCCAAAACTTTTATATCAGGTGCCTCTCCCCCTTGCAAAGCTGTTTTGTGTATAAATAGATTTTTGCCCTTCCTCCTCCGGGTGGGCCCCTTTCCTTCCTTCAGTTAACAACTTTCAGGATTCTTGAGTTCCAGGGATTTGGTTTGTGATGAAGTACAAAGAACTGGAAATTCTGGTTCTGCCACACCCTGGCTGTGGGGTTGGACCAGTGTCTAAGTCTTAGTTTCCGCATCTGGAAGATAGAAATGATCATAACTGACTAACTAGCTCCTTCAGAGCCTGGACTCTGGAGCCCAAGCTGCCTCGGTTCAAGTCTCAGCCCAGTCACTTCCCAGATGTGCGACTCAGGGTAAGTGACTTAACTTTACTGCTTCTTAACTTCCTAATTTATAAAAGGGGCACTGTAATATAATCTACCTCATATGCTTATTGTTAATATTCATTGAGTTATTAGTTCATTAGTTAACACCTAAAGTGCTTAGCACCTTGTCTGAGTAAGCACTCCCTATGTGTTGGTTATTATTATCTCATAGGCAGCCTCTCTCTTGTTTTTGTTTTTTGGCAGGGTCTCGCTCTGTTGCCCAGGTTGGAGTGCAGTAGCATGATCTCAGCTCACTGCATCCTTGACCTCCCTGGCTCAAGCGATCCTCCCACCTCAGCCTCCTGAGTAGCTGATTACAAGCATGCACCACCATGCCCGGCTAATTCTTGTATCTTCTGTAGAGACAGGGTTTTGTCATGTTGGGCAGGCTGGTCTTGCACTCCTGAGCTCAAGCCATCCGCCCACCTCGGCATTCCAAAGTGCTGGGATTACAGGTGTGAACCTCTGCACCTGGCCAGGGCAGCCTCTCTTTAGCTACCCACAAACTCATGATGTGTGGATAAGTTTGCTGGGTCTGCTGTAACAAAGTAACTCAAACTGTTCTACTTAAACAGCAGAGATTTATTTCCTCACAGTTCAGGACCTAGAAGTCCAAGATCAAGGTGTCAGCAGGTTTGGTTTCTCCTGAGGCCTCTCTCCTTGGGTTGCAGAAGGCCACCTTCTTGCTGTGTCTTTACGCGGTCTTTCCTCTGTGTGTGCATTTGTCTTCATTTTTCTATGTAGAGTGTCTAAATTTCCTCTTCTTATAGGGTTACCAGTCAGACTGGGCTCACCCAAATGGCATTATTTTAACTTAATCACCTCTTTAAAGACTCTATCTTTAATACAGTCAAACTCTGAGGTAGCCAGGACTAGGGCTTCAACATATTGATTTGGGAGTGGGGGTGGGGACACAGTTCAGCTCATAACAATGTGTACATAGACCCGAACATTATTAGATGTTCCTGTGGGTAAGTCTCTTTCTTAACCTTACTCTTAATGAATGTCAGGATATTTGAGTTCTAGGGATTCCATTTGCAGCATAATAGAATCTGCAATCAGAAAAGCAGGTTTTGAAGTCCAGGTACAAAACCTGGAGAGTTGCAGGAATGAACTTGGATGAACTACATACCCTGCCAGTGTCAATGGTAATTCACACAGAGGCAGCTGTGAGAGGCAACAATGTATGTGAAGGCCCTCTGTGATCTCTCTGCCCCTGGGTTTTTGCCTCTGAACTAAGACAGTACTAGATGGATGGTCTTAACTCTTCATTCCATCTTCAACATTCTATGACTCTGACTCTAAGGGTGGAAATTCAAGTATCAAGGACAAGCTGCCAGTAGCCGAGCACAGTGGTATGTGCCTGTAGTCCCAGATACTAGGGAGGCCAAGAAAGGAGGATCTCTTGAGCTCAGGAGTTCGAGACCAGCCTGAGAAAAATAGACCCTTGTCTCAAATATAAAATAATAATAAAAAAAGAACAAGCTGCTGGGGAAGCAATTTCTGGGCCCGGGGCTTTAATAAACATTGCAGAACTGGCTAGGCGCAGTGACTTACGCCTGTAGTCCCAGCTCTTTGGGAGACTGACGCAGGTGAATTGCTTGAACCCAGGAGCTCGAGACCAGCCTGGGCAACAGGGTGAAATCCCGTCTTTACAAGAAATACAAAAAGTAGCTGGGCATGGTGGTATATGCCTGTAGTCCCAGCTACTTGGGAGGCTGAGGTGGGAGGATCACTTGTGCCCAGGAAGTCAAGGCTGCAGTGAGATGACATTATACCCCTGCACTCCAGCCCTGGGAACAGAGTGAGACCCTCTCTCAAAAAACAAACAACAATAATCACAATAACAACAAAAAACACGGCCGGGCACAGTGGCTCATGCCTGTAATCCCAGCACTTTGGGAGGCTGAAGAGGGCGGATCACCTGAGGTCAGGAGTTGGAGACTAGCCTGACAAACATGGAGAAAACCCGTCTCTACGAAAATACAAAATTAGCCAGGCGTGGTGGTGCACACCTGTAATCCTAGCTACTCGGGAGGCTGAGGCAGGAGAATTGCTTGAACCTGGGAGGCAGAGGTTGCAGTGAGCCGAGATCACGCCATTGCACTCTAGCCTGGGCAACAAAGAGCAAAACTCCATCTCAAAAAAAAAAAAATTATGGAAAAACTGAAGGAAATCATACCATCATAGGGAACCACTCACCTGAATATTCACAAGGCTCAAACTGGAATGTACTAAAGTTCATCATCCATTTCCTGGGCTCTGGCATGTGTGGCTGGACTGCTATGGCAAAAACTCACAGGGAGACAGGCCCACAAACTAGGATTGAACAAAGGAAAGTCCCTGTCCCAACAAATATTACATTCTACTGGATGAACCAGGCCAAAACATACATACACACACACACACACACACACACACACACACACACACACACACCATCATACAGTGCTAGGTCATGCTAAGGGTGTAAAGAAAGATAAAGCAGGGTGAGGGTGGCAGTGACTGGGGATTATGCTATGTAAGATGTCCTAGTCAGGGAAGTCCTCCCTGAAGAAGGGGCATTTAGCATCCACCTGGACTATGAGAGCAATGTAGCTGTGGGAATATCCAGAGGAGAACAGGCAGAAAGGCCCTGAGGAGGGGCCGAACATGGCAGGAAACAGCAAGGGGCCCAAGTTCCTAGAGCTGAGCTGGGGGTGAAGAAGCCAGGGGTGGATGAAGTTAGCAGGTCTTGAAGGCCAGAGTCAAGATTCTGGATTTTCATCTAAATGTCATGAAAGTCATTTGAGGATTTTGTGCAGGTGAGTCACCAGCATCTTAAAAGGATCTCTTGACGTGGTTTTGAGAGAAGACTTTAAAGAATCATGGTAATCACAAGGCCGATGGCCAAATATTTCTTGCTCTCTACCTCCTGGGCACATGCTGGCTTCCTGTTTATGCTTCCTGTTGTGCAGCGTGGCCATGAGACTCTGACCAATGAGTTGTGAGCACAGGTCACTGTGTCACTTCCAGGCCAGGCAGCTGGTTGCCAGAATGCGTGCCTCTAGAGCTCCTTTACAGCCACCAATGATGTTCAAGCTGGATGCAGCTCAGAAAGCCTGGGTCTTTGTTTGTGCTGCTATCACAAAACACCCAAGACTGCTGGGTAATTTATAAAGAACAGAAATTTATTGTCTCACAGTTCTGGAGGCAGGGAAGTCCAAGATCAAGGTGCTAGCATTTATTGAGGGCTGCTCTCTGCTTCCAAGGTGGCACCTTGAACACTGTATCCTCCAGAGGGGAGGAACGCTGTGTCCTCACATGGCAGAATGCAGTAGGGCAAAGAGGATGAACTCCCTCTGCCATGCCCTTTTATAGCAGCATTAATCCATTCATGAGAATAGAGCCCTCATGACCTAAACACCTCTGCAAAGGCACTACTTCCCAACACTGTTGCATTGGGAATTAAATTTCCAACGCATGAATTGTGGGGGACACATTCAGGCCACCACAGCCTAGGTCCAAAGAGTGAGGAGAGACAGGGTGGAGGTGTTGACCTGCAGACAAGTGGCTTTAGCAAGAAATCCCTTTAATCACTTTGTTGGGATAAATCACGAAGATTTGGGAGGGTTACCATAGCATAACCAAGCATATCCTGACAGTACAGAGTGCAAGAAGAGAAGACTAGAAGTCCTCCTCTTTTCAGTTAGGAGGCTGAGAAGTAATTCTTTGTTGGACTGGAGCGACAGCAATAGAGATAATGGGAAGTGGTCAGATTCAGGATATATACTGAAGGTCAAGTGCAAAGGCTGGACTGATGTAGGGTATAAGAAAAAGAGAGAAGTCAAGGATAACTCCAAGGATTATGGCTTGAGTAACTGGATAAATTACTGAAAAGAAGAATACTCTGGAAAGGACAGGATTATTCACAGTGCCAGGCAGACAGCAAAGCTACACGATGCTAGGTCTTATGGTTATTACTTTAAGAGGGGAAGGAATATGGAGTGTAGATGCTTAGGGAACTTTTCAATCCAGAGTTATTGAGATGTAACTTATATACAGTAAAATTTACTTACCTTTTTTCAGAGACAGGTTCTTGTTCTGTCTCTCAGGTTGGAGAGCAGTGGCATGACCATAGCTCACTGCAGCCTCAAATTTCTAGGTTCAAGCAATCTTCCTGCCTCAGCCTCCTGAGTAGCAAAATTTACTCGTTTTGATGTACAGGTCTGAGTTTTGACAAATGCATTCTATCTTCTAAGTACCTCCATAGTCAAGATGTAGATAACTTCCACCCTCCCCCTGCATTCTTTTTTGCTGCCACTCCTTTGTAGTCAAATGCTCCCTCCACCCCTAATCCTTGGCAACCACTGATCTGTTCTGTATCCCTCTAATTTTGCCTTTTCCAGAAAGTTACGTAAATGGAACCACACAGTATGTGACCTTTTGAGACTGTGTTCTTTCACTTAGGATAATGTATTTGAGATTCATCCACATTGCATAGATCAGTAGTGTGTTCCTTTTAATTGATGAGTAGTATTCCATGGTATGGATGTGCCACAATTTGTTTATTTTCTCGCCAGTTAAAGGGCATTTGGGTTGTTTCCAAGTTTTGGTGATTATGAATAAAGCTGCTATAAATATCTGAGCACAGGTTTTTATGTGAACATATGTCTTCATTTTTTTTGGTAAATCCCTAGGAGTGGGACTGCTGGCTCATATGGTAAGTGTATGTTTAACTTTATAAGAAACTGCCAAACTGTTTTTCCAGAGGAACTGTACCATATTGCACTCCCACTGGCAATGTGTGAGGGTCACTCCACATCCTCTCCAGCACTTGGGATTGTCAGGTGGTTTTTTTTGTTTGTTTTTTTGTCTTTTTTGCCATTCTGATGTGCAGTGGTGTCTCTTTGTGGTTTCAATTTGCATTTCCCTAATGAATAATGATGTCGAGCATCTTTTCATGTACCTATTGTGCATTCGTGTATCTTTTGGTGGAGTGTCCACTCACATCTCTTGTTCATGTTTTCATTAGGTGGCTTGTCTTCTTATTGCACGGTAAAAGTTCTTCATATATTCTGGATATAAGTCTTTTATCAGATATGTGCTTTGCAAATATTTTCTGTCTTTGATTTGTCCCTTCATATTCTTAACAGTGTCTTTCAGAGAGAAGTTTTTAACTTTGATGGTGTAGAAGCTATCAACTTTTTCTTTTATGGATCGTGCTTTTCGTTTAATATCTAGGAAACCTTTGCCTACCCAAGGCCACAAAGATTTTCTCCTATATTTTCTTCTGGAAGTTTTATAGGTTTAGGTTTCACATGTTGGTCTATGATACAGTTTGAGTTAATTTTTGTCGAGGGTGTGACGTATAAGCCAGGACAATTTTGACTTGTGATATTTCCTACTATGGAAGAGGCAGATCAATGAAACTTCACATCTCTGATAAGCACGTGCACAGATGACACTGTAAAATGTCACCAGGTTGCAAAATCTGGTGAAGGTTCAACGCAGATGGTCAGGGAAGTTCCATCTCGCTCTGACTCCAGGGGAGCTTCTTTAGAAGTTAATCTTATCTTCAGCATTAGTCTCCAGATGTACCCAGTGATACCAGCACAAGCCTCAGGCTTTAAGTGAGATGAGCTGGGTTCTCCCTAGTTCCTAAGACCCTCCAGCTCCAGGTAGGTAGCTGCTCCAAGCAACAGTTTTCTCTTTTAAGCCACTGAAGGAATATTATGTGCAAAGCAGGGCATTAATTCCTAGCTATTAGGATTGACATTTTAACCTTTCTGGCTTCACTCCTTCTTGGGTGGCTTTTTCAGTCACCTCGTGATACAGTTTTCTCCTTCCTCTTCCCCTCAATCACACATAACTCGGAAAGCTTCATTAAGATCATCTAGGTCTTGGTGCCCTTAAAACTACACGGATAAAATCAGCGAGGGCAGAGAATTGAGAAATCAACACCGAATTGCCCACTGGTGATCTGGTCAATTGAGGACATTTTAGGAAAGGCAACTGCCACGTACTATTGCCATCATTCCATTAAAGAAGGGACGCTTAAATTACCCAAACCTCTGAAAAAAGAAAAAAAGTGAAAGAACATCATCTCAGAATAAAAAATAGTCTTTCCCAAGAATCAACCATTGGTAATTTATCTGGTCATAGGAAAGTACTCATACATTTACCCTTTATTTTTCTCATTGCACTGCAGATTGTTGAAAATGTCACCCCCGATCAGGGTGTGGGACTCAGACCATAAGAAGGTGTATCATGGGTGGGGCAGGGGTAAGCACTGAGGTGTTTGGAGCAAACCTTTTTTCTCTCACTTGTTTATAATACCTTCATTGGGGATTCCTAAGGTTCAAAGTCCTAGGCTTAGTGAGTATTCAGGTTTCCGTCTAGGGAGTAGCACTTGCAAATTTAACGGCAGGAGGAAGCCTGAGTTGATAACTTTCCAGCCCTTCCCATTGGCAAGCCTCAGTGGCTTTCACTTCTTTCTTGAGCTGAAGAAAGGAGGGAAGCCCACCCAAGCTGCCCTTCATGGTCTGAATCCGGGCCACTTTAAAGGTCCTTCCACTACCTCCCCTCCTCCAAGGAGTCTGCTTCTCCCAGCATCTAATTCTTTAAGGCAGACACTGACAGTCCCAGGTAGACATATTCTTGTAAACTCATCAGTGGCTTCCATCGCATTCAGGATAAAGACCTCACTCCCAACTCACTCCCTACCCTGCCATATGGATCTATCCAGCCACCTGCCTCTCCAGCCTCATTTCTCCTCTCTGGCGGGACTCTGGCCACAGCTGCTTGCCTTTAGCTCCTCCAAAGCACCAGACACCTGACTGCTTTTGCCTTTTTTTCTTGTGGGCAACTTAACTTTTTCAGGGGAGTTCCCGGCTCCACCGGCTACATCAACAACCTCCCTCTCTTAGCACCCTCTCACCTCTCATCTCGTATTTTGTCTTTGTAGCAATTGTCACAATTGTAATTACTTGTATAATGTCTGGCTCCTCAACTAGGAGGTAAACTCCAAAAGATTAGGAATGAAGTCTATTTTGTTTATCTGATCTTCCATTCCCTGGCATGAGCATGATAGCTAGTTGCTACTCAATATATTGTTAAATGAAAGAGATTTTTTTTTCAACGAATGTACACTAGTCAGTGTTCTAGGCACTTGATATATACTAGGTGGGATGGTGGGGGGAACACAGCAGAAAAATAAAATCCCTGCCATCATGAAGCATATATTCTACTGGGGCAAGGATCTGCTTAAACAAGATAACTGAACTGTGGGGTACATTAGAGAAAAAGTCTCCTCATTATAAGAGCCAAATGTAGGGTATGCTAAGGAGAGAAAAGTAGAGCAGGACAGAGGGACATGGGACATCAGGTTGTGGGTTGGTGTATGAAATTTTTAGATTGGGCCGGGTGCAGTGCCTCACGCCAATAATCCCAGCAACTTGGGAAGCTGAGGCCGGAGGATCTCTTGAGCCCAGGAGCTCCAGACCAGCCCGGGCAACATGGTGAAACCCTCTCTCTACTTAAAAAAAAAAAAAAGAAAAAAAAAGAAAAATTAGCTGGGTGTGGTATTACATGCCTGTAGTCTCAGCTACCCAGGAGGCTGAGGTGGAAGGATTGTCTGAGTTCAGGAGGTTGAGGCTATAGTGAGCCGTGCTGTGATCCTGCCACTGCACTCCAGCCTGGGTAACAGAGCAAGACTCTGTCTCCAAAAAAAAAAAAAAAAAAAAAAAGAAAAGGAAAGGAAAAGAAACAAAACACATGCAGATGTAGATTGCGTGACCAGGGAAAATCTCAGTGAGGAATTGACTTTTGCGTAAAGACCTGAAGGAATTGAGGCAGCTGACAATGAATGTGGGTATCTGCGCAAAGAGCATTCCAAGCCAAGGAAGCAGTAAGTGTGAAGGCTCTGAGGCCCTGAAGGTAGGGAACTGTTTTAGGAACAGCCAGGAAGCCGGTGTGAGTGAAGCGAATGAGGGGAAGGAAGTCAAAATGTAGACTTCGAATGTGTCTTATGTATCTGTGGAAACATTTATACTGGACATTTCTTGGCCAGTGCTTCTAACCAGCATCTACACTAAAACCACGGGTTTCAAACAATTTTTTTTTTCTCTTTGAAGCAGAGTCTCACTCTGTTGCCCAGGCGGGAGTGCAGTGGTGTGATCTCATCTCACTACAACCTCCGCCTACTGTGCTCAAGTGATCTTCACACCTCAGCCTCCCAAGTAGCTGAGACTACAGGAGTGCACCACCATGCCCGGCTAATTTTTGTATTTTTAGTAGAGACAGGGCTTCACCATGTTGGCCAGGCTGGTCTCAAACTCTTGGCCTCAAGTGAAACATTTGCCTCGGCCTCTCAATCAAATAATTTTTAAAGCAGTAGAACCCTTTTGTCAAATGAAATATGAAATGGAGGTTCAAGGGAGGAAACAGAGGAGCAGGGACTGGCTGGCAACTCTCACTGTTACTCTCACCCCATACTGGTCCAAGATGACATCTTAGAGGAAAATTAGTTCCCCACCCAGCTCAGCCTCTAAACCCCACTCCAGAATCACAGTACGCTCTGCCTAGAGCCACAGCACTCTGGAGCACACTGTACCAGAAATAGTCCCATTTGACTCATACAACTACAAGGAGACTTTCAATAGATATTTGCCTCCAACATCTGAATGAAATTAGAGCCTCTAAAGTTACAACCACATGGTGATCCTTGGGTCTGATAAGTTCCTAGAGATAGTTCTCTACTCTGAAATTGTTTTTCTTAAACACATTTTTTTGATTTTTTGGTTTTTTTTTTTTTAGACGGAGTCCTGCTCTGTCGCCCAGGCTGGAGTGCAATGGTGCAATCTTGGCTCACTGCAACCTCCGTCTCCCTGGTTCCAACAATTCTCCTGCCTCAGCCTACCGAGTAGCTGGGATTACAGGCGCCCATCACCACGCCCGGCTATTTTTTTTTTATTTTTAGTAGAGACAGGGTTTCACCATGTTGGCCAGGCTGGTCTCGAACTCCTGACCTCAGGTGATCCACCCACTCGGCCTCCCAAACTGCTGGGATTACAGGTGTGAGCCACCGTGCCTGGCCCTTCTTAAACACATTTTTAAAAACTTTTTCTTTTTTGAAAAGATAACACAAGACAAAGATACAAAACGACATACTAAAACAGTCAACCTCCTATGGATAAATTACAGTGTATTTGCAATGGAATTCTACACACTTAAGCAAACAAAAATGAACTATTGATGTAGGCAACAACGTGGATGGATATCACAAATATGCTGAGCGAAAGGTGCCAGCCAGACACAAGAGTACAGACCATATGACCCCTGCATATGACCTTAAAGAACAGGCAAAACTAATCTTTGGTGACAGAAGTCGGAATTGTGGTTACCTAAGTGAGGGATGACTCATTGGGAGGATAAAATGTTTTATTGTTCTAATGGTGGAAAGAGGGGTGTAGATGTATGCACTAAGCTGCAGTGTGAAAATTTGTGTATTTTATTCTATGTATAGAATAATAACAAAGTCTCCTTTCCACTACTATGGCTCCCAGCTACCTCCCCGGAGGCCACTCTTCCAGTGAGGATTTCTTAGTGCCCCGTTTCTGTCACGACCTTCATGCCAGGGGCAGAGTCCTGGGAGCATGCCAGGGAGACACCAGAGGCCAAGGCTGCTCCATGGCGCAGCTGCACTGGGCCATGGCTTGTGTACGTACCCTTTGGCTTTCTACGGCCCTTTTACCCCTAGAACGCTATCCCTCTCTCTTCCTCTTCCTTCTTTCATCCCTCCCCTAAGGAGGCAGCTGTGGCATTGAGGCCTTGAGAGGTTGCTGACCCTTGCTAAACAGTGTTGCTTCTCCTGGCCCTCCTGGGTGCGCCTGCCTGGAGAGGACACTGCGTGCTGATCAAACTTATTGTTGACACATTCATTCTCTCTTTTATTCTCTCCCTTCTGATCCCTGGACTGATCTCTAGGAATTTCTGCTCCCTGGGTGCTCAGTCTCAGTGAGCTTCCCTGGTGGCAAGCCCTGATATGCTTCCCTTCCATGGGGCAGTCCTGATAACAACCTATTTTATATTTGCATATAAACCTGGCTGAGGGTCTGTCTTAACTCCAATCCCCCCACCCCCGGGCCCCAACTCCTAGCAGCATTCTAAGACTCCGTCCCTCCCCTAACCTGGGGCTTCAGCACAGCCGCGTCTGTGTCTTTTATCATCTGGGGTCGTCCTCCTACCAGATCTCCCTGCCTGAGGACAGAGGGTCCTGAGTCACGTTCAAGTCAATTTGGCAAGCGTTTTTGGAGCAGGGCAGAAAGTGAAGGGCACTACCCTGTTCCTCGACTTCAAAAATCGAACGCGGGGGAAATGGTGCACAATTCAGGCCCAGTTATAATAGCTCCTAATACCCAATATCTTGTTTTGGTCCTTCGTGAATACCAGGCATCCATCAGCGAACCTTCCATGCCTGATTTCTCCGAATATTCAAAACAACCCTGGGAGGATGAGCCCCATTTTGGAGATGAAGGAGCTGAGGCACGAGGTTTTAATGCGGGCATGTGGTCGCCAGAATTTGAATAGCAACTTCCCTAAGGAAACGCCCTATTTAGACTCTAGGGGAGAGGAGGATCCCAGGAGGAGTCCGCCAGCAGAAGCTCAGAGTCTGGCCTGGGGGTATTTAGTTATGCCACGCCCTTTCTCTACTGTTCCCTCCCGCGACAGGGGCCTGACAGGGAGTGGGGCTTCGGGCCAGCGTCTCGGCCGGACGCAGGGACTTCAGAAGAGGCAAATACAAAGCTCCGCATGGCAGAGGAACAGAGGGGCGCGGGGGAACGCGGTCCAAAGGTGGACCTTGTCGGCCCCTGGGCACTGCAAGCCTCGAGGCGCTGCGAGCGGTGAGGCTGTTGCAAGCTCCCGCGGCGCGCGCAAACTGCGTGGAACTACTTCCCCGGGGCGGCTTCGGGGCCGGGGTCCCGGCAACAGCCTCACGGGGCGCCGTGCGGGGCCCGAAGCCAGTTGCCAGCTCCCGGGCGCGGCCACGTGCGCCCCGCCGGGCTTGCACGCTCCGCCGCGCCGGGCCGCGGGGCCACCGACAGGCACGCGCGCCCCCAGCGCGCACACACTCCCGGGCACGCACACCGACCGCCCGGCCCACGTCCGCCACGCCCCGCCTTCCCCCGCGCCCCGCCTCCGCCCTCGCGGCGCCGGCCGCCGCCCTCCCATTGGCCGCACGGCGCGTGACGCGCGGCGCCAGGCCCCGCCCCTCGTCAGTCACTCGGCGGAGGCGGCGCTGGCGGGGACTAGTCTCGTCCGGAGACTGGCAGCGGCGGCGGCGGCGGCGGCCGGAGCTCGAGCCCCAGCGGCTGAGGGCGGGCGGGCGGGCGCGGGGGAGGGAGGGGGGCCGGTCCGCGACGACTCCCCGGACGGCGTTTCTCCTCCGAGCGGCGCCGGTTTCGGCTTGGGGGGGGCGGGGTACAGCCCATCCATGACCATGGGCGACAAGAAGAGCCCGACCAGGTACCTGCTCCGAGCGGAGGGGGCGGAAGGGGAGGGAGGGCTGGGGCGGGCGGGGGCCGGCGACGACTAGGCCCCGGAGCCACCCGGGGCGGGGGGAGGCGCTGCTAAGATGGAGATCCGGGGGCGGGGGGAGGCGGCGGGCGGTGGCGGTGGCGGCGGCGGCGGGAGGCGGTGTCGCTCCCGCTCGGGGCCGGCGGCCGTGCGCGCCGCAGCCATGGCGGCTCCTCCTCAGCCGCCCTCCGCCGCCGCCGCCGCCGCCGCCGCCGCCGCCGCCGCCACTCCTCCCAGACAAAGGGAGATTTAACCAGGTGGGGAGGGAGGGAGGGCGCGAGCTTGGGAGTGGAGAGGGAAGGAGCCGGCCCACTCCCCGTCGCCGGCCTCGGGCTGCCCCTGCGCGCCCCCTCCAGATCCGGCCCGCGGCTCCCCTCCCGGCCCCCCCAGCCCCACGCTCAAGTCCACAAGTCCGCCCGCTTCCTGCGCCCGCCGCGGCCCTTCCCGGGGCGCCGCCGCCACCGCCTGGTGTGCGAGGCTATCCGGCCCGGGCCCGGGGCTTGCAGGGTGCCAGTGGGGGCGCCCGGTTCCCTTCCTCGCTCCCTCTTCCAGTCCCCGGAAAGGGTGGGTGGGTGGTCTCCCGAGCGAAGTTTCCAGCACTGGATTCCTGCGAAATTACGACGGCTCACCCGCGTCTGTGTTTTGCTGTCTCTCCCCCGTTTTCCTGCTCCCTGCCTCTTCCCTCCCTTTTCCCCCACTCTCCACTCCTCCGAAGGCCAAAAAGACAAGCGAAACCTGCCGCAGACGAAGGGTTTTGGGATTGTAGCGTCTGCACCTTCAGAAACAGTGCTGAAGCCTTTAAATGCAGCATCTGCGATGTGAGGAAAGGCACCTCCACCAGGTACTTGAAGATCTGTGTTACCTTTTGTTAAAGGACTTTTTTTTTTTTTTTTTTAAGTGAGAGGGTAGTGAGCCTTACTTTCTGCCCTTTTTCCAACTTGTTGATTACGGCTTTTTTTGTATTTGCGGGTGGGTTGTGTGTGTTTTTGGGTTGAGTGTATTAAGTGTTGGGTGAAAAGCCTTGTGTTCGCTAAATGATTTATGGGAGGGAATTTTTCCAGGTTTTCATTTTATTTCAAACGGACACTGGATTTATTTGACACTTGTGTCTATTGGCTTATTGGTATTGGCTGGGGAAGAGAGGAAGCAGTACTATCGCTATGGATTGTAGGACATAGATGTTTTATATTTTTGCCATGTGTAGAATGGTTTTAATTTGCCTGTCCCGAGTTACTTTTCTCTTGTCTGAGAAATTTAGTGGGGGTAGTAAGGCTGGCTGTGCTTTTCCTGTCTTGAGCTGCAAATGTCTGTTACTTTCTTGCACTTGAAAATAAATGTCGGTATTTGATAAAGTAAGTGCATTTTGTGGGAGACTGAGCTGTCAGTTTTTTTTTTCTTTGACTAGCTTATGTGGGGTGGTGATGGGGGACGATTTTGTAAAATGGTGAAATGAGCAGTGACTGTGGAAGTTTGTGTTTAAAGCTCTGTGATGATGAAAAGAATGTTGAAAGAATTCCTTTTCATTTTGATGAAGGTCGTAAACTGCATGTGATGTTAAAACGAGTTAACTACTTTAGATTTAACATTCATAAATACTTGGATAAAATGTCAAGACTCATGTAGTCTTTTGGTCATCTTTTAATTTATGTCTGAATTTGTTTCATTGGCGTTAGAGTTTGAAGTTAAACTGTTCTTGGTGTCATTTAATGAACAGGCATTGGGTGTGTGTGTGAGACAAGAATGAGTTTTTGGTGGATCCTTTAGAACATTACAGTTGATTGCCAAAAGTCTCATTTTATCAGGTACTTATTTTTGAATTGGTGACATTTCAGTGTGACTGTGTAGTAGTACTTCACAGTTCCAACTGGATATTGTTCTTTGATTAGATGAATATGTCATGTTAAGGTTTCATTGGTTTATTTATACTTGGGATTAAATAGGATTATTGGGCAACCTAAAATAATCTAACTCTGAGATTAATTGGCCTAATTATTGTTTCTGTGAATTGCACTCTTTAAATGATGATACCTTTGAATAAAAATAATCAAAAACTAAAAATATTACTCCATACGTTGTTTTAAGAAATTTTTGTCGGTGTTTTGTATTATCATGGAATATATCTAAAGTAAAAAACACGCATCAGTAGTTTCATAGATTTTGTTTTGCTGTCTAAAATAGGGAATTCCATCAAATGGCATGAAAGTTTTTAGAAATGTATTTGTTATTTAAAGCAGTAGTGATTGTATATTATTTATGAGTAATGTTTTTTACATGTAGAAGCCCTCAGAGGCCAAACCTCTTTATTGTGGTTTTGCTTTGAGTGTTACCGTAGATGGTGTTCAAGTAAATGATTAGGAAACTCCTAAGAACTTGAGAACATTACTGGTGAAGAGAAACGTAAACCAAATTCAAAAGTTTATGTCTGATTTATCGCTGGGAATGATTATCTCATAATGAAGTGCATTTCAGCTTTTAACATGTATTTTAAAAAACCTTACTCATCAATTTTTCGGAAGCACATGGAAGGTGTTGACTTTTAAAAAAGGTATGTATGTATGTTTAAAGTTTTTTCAGAGCCGCAGATGACTGTTGAAACTTAGTTAAAACTACTGAATTATTTACAGTGAAAATATTTTAGAGTCTATTCAGGAACAGGGAAAGGCGTCTACTTTAAGGGTCTTCGAGTAATTTTCTGATGTCATTTAATAGAATTTGAATACAGATTTAACAGGTGTGAGGACTGAAAACTGTGTGCATTCATGACACTCTTAGCTGGCCACAGTTGGTTTCATTTTGGTTATTGTCAATATTTTGGTGTTTTAGATCTATTCAGAAGTCATCGTTGGTTGGAATGCAAATAACGTTTTGGTTTTCCTACATTATGAACAGGTTTTATGTGGAGAAGTGAGTTTGACAGGTTTTCATCCTATCCTGTCTTGTGTGTTAACTGTTGGTTAATCCCTTTGTGATACTGGTTACTGCCATGTTTTTTTCTTGGCCCTCTTGTATTTTTTTTGTACCTCAAAAGTTTGAGTATGAACTTGACATTTTCTATCTTGTGTAGTTTTAATCAGACTTGGTATAGATTGATGGCAGTAGAAAACTTGTGTTTTGGATGCTGGGTAATAGGCAATATTTGTGATTTTTAGAATAATTTGTTTCGTGGCACAGAAATTGTATTTTATTGCTCTGAGCTGGTGTTATGTATTTTAACAATTCTAGCTAGTTGGCTAGCCGGTGGTTATTTTGCAGTTTTTGATCATTCTCATCACTGTCACCTTCATCTACCAGTCAACCAAGGAAACCACCTATGACTTAGTGGTAGGCCAGTATGATAGAGAACTATATTTGCCCTTTGAGGGTAGAATTGATATTGCTGATGTGATTGGGAAAATACTGCCATTCGTCTGAAGAACACTTATTAAATTCGTAGGATATGAAAGATGCTGCTGAAGGGATTGGAGAGAGGAGAGGGGAGTGTTAAAATGTTGATAAGCCGTGTATGGGAATGACCATAATTCCAATTATAAAGGCTGTACGGAAGCAGGGGTCTGGCTTAGGGAATCAGTTAGAAGGATTCCTTCTTCTCCACTTCTTTTGGACAAGGAGAATTAAAAAATCACCTGTCACCTTTTCACTATTACCATGTACGTCAGATATTTTTAGTTCTGCAGGTGGAATTGTTAAGGTGATTGAGAATGAGGTCTTTTTTTTCTTTTTGGAGCAGCAATAGAGCAGAATGAAAGGTGAGATGGTCTTAAGGAATCTGTTAAGGGAAGAAGGTGGCCTAGGCTGTGTGGAGGTTCAGGGGCAGCAGGAGAGATCTATATTTTAGATGTATTATCAGTATGTGTTGGGTGTCTTTGGTTTTTTGATAAACTTGTTTTTCTAACTAGACTGTCCACTCTTTATGCCTTTTCTGGTTATATATATATCCTTTTGTTTGGAGACAGGGTCTTTCTCTGTCACCCAGGCTGGAGTGCAGTGGCATGCTCATGGCTCACTACAGCCTCAACCTCCGTGGCTCAAGCGATTCTTCCACCTGAACCTCCTGAGTAGCTGGGACTACGGGTGTGCACCATCACATCCGGCAAAGTTTTGTAATTTTTGTAGAGACAAGGTTTCGCCCTGTTGACCAGGCTGGTCTTGAACTCCTAACCTCAAGTGATCTTTCTGCCTTGCAGGAGTGAGTGATAATTTACTTATAACACCCATTGTAAGTCTGCAAATCAGTGATTTCTAGTCATTTTAAAGAGTTGTGCAGCCATCACGGCAACCCAGTTTTAGAACATTTCCATCATGTCAAATGGTTTCGTTATATCCGTTCTGTAAGTCTAACAGAACAGAATGGAGAAGTCATGGGCAACAGGTTGCTTCCCTACCATGCTGATGTACCCTGAGCCTTTCAAGGTAGAAAATAAAAGTGCATGTTAGAATGTGTGTGTAAGGTGGCAAGTGGCTGGGGGAGAAACACTATCCCTTTCTTAAGTGGTAAAGTAGTATTTCCCATCCTGCTTTGCCAGTCTCAAGAAAGAGGATACCGGCTTTTAAAAGTAGAAGAAAAAAACTACAAATGCATGAATGTACCCAACTGTGTGTGTTTTTTTTTTCTTTGTATTTTCCACCTTCCTACACTTCCAGCTGATGTTTTTTTTGTTGTGGTGGTGGTTTTTTTTTTTTTTTTTTAAATGAAGAGACAAGGTCTTGCTATGTTGCTCAGGTTGGTCTTGAATTCCTGGCCTCAAGGGATCCTCCTCCATTGGCCTCCCAAAGTGCTGGGATTTGCCCAGCCCCTAACTGTTGTTTTGTTAAGTTGCATTTCTCAAGATTGGGCAGAGTAGCTTCCTAGACTTGGTGATTTAATTTTACTTTTCTTGTCTTGTTATTTCTCTGCATTCAATGTTACCTTAATTGTAAAATAAAAATTACCAAGACATTGCTGAATATAGTTGTTGATTAGTGTTCCCTTGATAGTAGTCCTGCATTTTTACTTTCAGCTACTGCTTAATCACATTCATTTGCAAAATTGGAAAATTTTTACTTTGGCTAATTACCATAGGTTTAGAACTTTCTGGTCTTCAGCTCCAGAAATGTATCGCTGTGTTGAGATCATGTTTTATTTCATCCATGTTTATTTGAATACTGCCCCTCTGAAAAGCTGACTGTTTTTGGAGCTTTTATACACAAGTATGAGTGAGGAAATTACTTTAGGTGTAGAATAAAATTGTGTAGAAATAATTATCTTTGAAAAAATTTGGTATTCAGGATATTGAATTGGAAGTGTTGAAGAAGCAGCTGTTTTGTGTGTAATACGTTTCTCTTGTTTGAGAATTTACCAGTTTTTTGCAGTTGTAGCTTTGAACTATCCATTCCCCCCTTAAATTTAGATACCCTGACAACCAAAAATCTCTTGAATTGTCATGAAGTACTTTAGTAGAAGTTTTATGGAAAAACACAACATAGCTATGATCTTTGCTGGAAGCTTCAAAAAGGCATCATCGTGTGATGCTTTTTAGGTAGAAAAACTCCCAGAAATAAGATAAGGTACCTACACTGGGCAAAGCCCAAGCCTCTTACTCATGTTTCCTGGTAATCCACAGCAGTGGTTTTGCTCCTTTCATGACATTGTTTTTGTTGTAGTGTTTGTCTTTCATAAAAATTCTCCATAAAAATATATAAAAATTACCTGTCTTCCAAATCAAACTTTTATCAAACCTTCCAAGCTGAAAGCTGGTAAAATTTAAGATCATTTTACCCAGGAACAGAGTAATAATTTATTTTGTGTTTACTGTTTCATTGGACTTACTGATTTATTGGTGGTGACTTGATCTTATGTGTACTTGGTGACCTTAAAGTAAATTACCTGGGTAGTTGTGGTCATTTGACAAGTTTTTATTGAGCACACAGCCATTTGCGCTCTTGGTGTACAGTGGTATAAAGACAGACCAGGTCCCTGTTCTTACGGAGCTTAAAATACTATGGAAAGGAAGAGAAAATAAACTAACAGAAAAATAACAATTTCAGCTGGCGACAAGTGCTACGAAGAATTTAGAGAAGGGTAAGGAACTACAGAGTGATGAGAACTGGGTGGAGTGACTGCTTTATAGACAATGTTGAGATAATGCATTTAATTTTTTAGGAAAAAGTAATGCTACTTCCTTTTGGAGCCGGGGATAATTCTTATGTAGGTTTACCTGTGCCATTTAGCTCATTTGGTTGGGGGACAGACAGCTTTTAGATTTGGAGCCCTTGTGCATAGGCTGCTAAACTTATAAACTTAGTTCCATGTTGTAGACTAAACCTAGGCCAGCTAATTTACTAGTATTGTTAGTCATTAGGGTGGGAGATTATGAATGGATTCACTTACATATTATTTATTCATGTGGCATATATTTGTTGTGTATTTCAGTAGGTGCTGAAGAAAATTCCAGGATTAAGAAAAACTTTCTCAAGTAGCTGTAGTTTACCAAAATAGTTATCAGAACTAATTTGGTTCATTAGGACTTTGAGTAAATAGTAGGTCTCTCGTGTCCTAAATGACTTGAGCTAACACATTCTGCAGTCTTTCTGGCACTTCTTTTCTCTTTTGCCTCATCACCCATGCTTTTTCTCTTTGTGGCATCTTCTGTGTTACTTTTCATAACTAGTACTCCCACTTCCCTTTTTACCTATAGATACAAACTTTTTCAACGGTCGCATACATAGAAGTGCACAAATCGTAAGTATAAGGATTTGATAAAGTTTTGCAGAATGAGCATATCTTTGCCACTAGCACCCAGATTGATTTTTTTTTTTTTTTGAGACAGGTATCTGGCTCTGTTGCCCAGGCTAGAGTGTGGTGGTGTAATCACAGCTCACTGTAGCCCCTACTTTGAGGCCCAGGTGATACTCTCACCTCAGCCTCCTGAGTAGTTGGGACCATAGACATGTGCCATCATGCCTGGCACATTTTTAAGGGCTTTTTTTTTTTCTTTTTGTGAGACACGGTCTCCCTATGTTGCCTAGGCTAGTGTCTTATTTCTGGGCTCAAGCGATCCTCCCGCCTCAGCCTCCCAGAGAGTTGGTATTATAGGCATGAGCCACTGTGCTGGCTTGCACCTAGATTCTTAAAGAGAACATTACTAGAACATTACCGGAAGCCCCTTGTGCACTGTCCCCTGTGGGCCACTTCTCCCACCCCATTCCTGTCTTTTAATACTAGAGATCAGTTGTGCTTGTTTTTGAAATTTATGTGAGTGGAGTATACTATGTATACAGTACATAGTAAATACTGTATGTACCACTGCCTATATACAGTATACTCCACAGTGAGTGAAACAAGCCAGACTCAGAAGCATACATACTGTATGTACCACTTTGCTTAGTAGCCACAGTGTATGCACCATGGTACATGCATATACTTCTGAATCTGGCTTGTTTCACTCATGGTTAGGTGTGCAGGATTCATCCATGTTGTTGTGTGCAGTTCTTGCTTATTTTACCAGTCTGTCTTATCCTGAGAATATCTTTGACATTCAACTCTGCATGCAGACCCTTCCTTACACGTTCTAGAGAGAGGACCTGTCTTCACCCTGTGTTTATTACCCACATACTTGAACAGCTGTTTCCTCCAGGCATCATTATGCAAAAGGAATGAAACCCGGTGTGTGCAGCTTTTTTAGAGGACGTAAAAGGAGTCAGCTCTTGCCTCTCATCAATAGTATTGTTTATCAGTCATTTCTCTTTTGAGACATTGGTTGAATAAATGGGAAAATTCCTGCTTTCAAGGAACTTAGCAGACTTGTTGACAGATAAGACCATAAGAAGAAAGCCAGTGAAGTACCCAGTGATGTGAACGCCATGGTATGAGCAAGTACATAATAGAGACCACAAGTGCTTTTTAGAAGTTAGAGATAGTCATTCTCTGGGGCTTCCTCAGGAAAATCCTCGCTGAATCTGGGATCTAAAGTGGGCCTTATGATTCTTGGATATAAGGTTTGTTGTATAGGTTGATACAAGTTACTTATTAATAGTTGTTTGCCCCCCTCCCTTTCACTATCTTTAGGTGATGATGTCCACACCTTTCCACATCTCCTCAGGAGCTGGTGATTCCCAGATACTATTTGTTAACCTGCATCACCACTCCCATGCACACGAACACAGGACAAACAAATCCAGCTGCTTCCTGGCATCTCTACTTGAACAACTTAAAGGCAATTCAGATCCCACAGGGTGAAAAGCTGAATTCATCTATCAGAGTGTTTTCTAAAATCCCAAGTAGATTATGTCCCATTCCTGCTTAAAATGATCTCCTGATTCTCATTGCCTTTTGGATAAAATCCAATCCTGAGTATCAACAAGGGTCTTGTGATTTGGTCCTTTTCTGTGTCATTCTTTAGAATTTCTGGAAGCAGCCTATCATCGCTCCGTCTGCCCTCCATACACAGCGTTTGTGTGTGTTATGCCAAACTGCTTGGTGTTTTCCAACCGTGGACCATGATATCTCACTTCCTTAACCTTACCTTCATATGCTTTTCCTTTGTGTCTTCTTCTGAAATGCTTCTTCCTTTTGTCCAGGCTGACTCCTGTTTGTCTGAGACATGTGTCTCAGGAAGCCTTTCCGTTCCCCTCCAGTCATTCATACCTCTGTCATAACACATAGACTGTATTTTTAATTTGATTTCCAATCTGTCTCTTTTAGGTTGTCACCTTTTTTGAGGGCAAGACCTTTTTGTTTCATGGCTTTAGTTTGCTGTGTTTGTTACAGTGCCTGGCATTTGGTAGGGGTTGAGTAAATGTATACAGAATAAATGAAGCCTGGGAGAAGGAGTTCCAGTTAAGAGTTCTAATAAATAACTGTTTTTTCAAAATCTTGGGGCTTTCATCTTGTGTGTTGAATGTTACTGGATTAGGGGAAAGTTGTCTTTATGAAGTGGGCCCTTTAAACTAGTATTCCTGTTTTTCTGTTATAGTTCCCTACTCCCCGCCCCACACCCCCTCTAAAAAAAAAGTACTAGAAGTTACACACACAACTGTAGCCTTGGAGGCTGTAGGCAGTGCATTTAAAGTACTTCTGGAGTGGTTTTGAGCTTCAGAGCATTGACACACTTCCCTAAATAACTGTGACAATTCTTTCTATTTGCTGTTGCCCATCGGTGATTTCAGTGGCCAGTAGTCATACTGGAAAGTCTGATAATAAAGCAGGGGATCAGTCATGTGGTACCAAACCAGTTGTGGGGAATGTTAGATGTGTTAAGATGTGATAAGCAACGACATTCCTGTTTGTAAACTGGCATCTATGGCGGTTTAAAAATGGTGGCAAAACCATTTTGAGTATTGTTGGAAATGTTATCTGTTCTGCCGTGTTAATATACCTATAAGTTGGTAGTTGCATCTTGTACCCTTGATAGTCATACTTTGTACATTGTGTATGCCACTCTTCTGTTGAGTAATTTGGATTAATTACTTTGGAGATTGAAGTCTTGACTCATTCACTTCACTCATTTATTTAGCTGTATTTTCAGTTCCATGCAATGAGTGACACAGACTGTGCTGCCAAAAAGGAATTCTCAGTAAGGGCAATGCACATAAATTACTGTGTTACTCAGAAATCATGAATAGTTGAGATCACAAGGTAAATGGTAAAAATTTTGTTTTTAAATAGGATTAAATATGACTTTCTCTCCTCCTTTCTCCCTCTGTCAATTTAGGAAATCTACTTAAATTGTCCTGTGGTTGGGAAAAGAAACTAGTGGAAGGAATATGTTAAAAAAGCATCTTTCTTAAAATGTATTCAAAATATTTTTCTCTACAATTTAAGAGCATTAGCAAATACAACCTAGGATGAAACTTTAACAGCCTTTGAGAGGGACAAGAAATGAAATTAAGGGTGATACATGATGCCAGTATCATCGGTGTATTGGGTCTCATAATACATACAATACATGGTAGTTAGTCATAGGGAGAAAACAAACCTGGTGGCTGCTTTCTAAGAACAAATCAGATTTCTTGTGTAGCTATGTGGTTTAACTGTTCTTGCCCTTCTTTTACAAAACTAAACAGGTTTAGTATCATAAGTGCTACAGAAATAGTCAAGATTGCAATAATTAGGAATCTAGCTCAAACTACCTTAAGTCAAAAAAGCCAAAAATTTATTGGCCCACGTAGCCAATGAGAGAAAGTTGATGTTTAAACTCAGGGAAACGGGAAGAACTGCAGGAATCAGAACTCCTGTCACTTGACTAGTCCCTAGATTAAAACAGAAAAACAAATAAACAAATGTCACCCATCATCCTGCCATTCAGAATTATTTATTGAGCAGTTTGTTCATTGGACTTCACGTATTTGAGTAACTACGGTTTTCCAGGTGCTTTGCTTTAATAATGATATTTCACTGAATTTTCAAAACGATGGTTCCCTGTGGTAGTGGGAATTATGCTATGTGTTATATGAAACAAAGTAAGTTTGATTTTTAAAGGCATGTATTCTGGCCTGTTGGTTGATAGAGTTCATTTTGATTTCTTCTTCTAGGGGAGAAGTTTTATGAACACTTAATGGTTTTAGAGTTCTATTTGTAGAAAATAAAGATAAAATCCAGATTTCTTTCAGGATTATTTTCATTTTGGGAAGAACCAAAACATTGGATTCTTAATATCTATAGCATAATTAACTTTGCCCAAATCTTCCATTAAAGAATAATTATGTATACAAGAGAACCCACATGTAATATTTTTGTTCTAAATTTGTTTAGAGTGCTGGTTCTCAAACTTTAGCATGTTATCAGAATCACTTGGAAGAAGACTTCTTCAACACATTGCTGAGTCCCATTCCCAGAGGTTCAGAAAATTAGATGTTGACATTTTCAAAGTGAACTTAAGAGAAGTAAGTGGTCTGCATTTATAGGAACCATGTTTTTGGCATTTGAGGTGATGCCTTAATTGATGAAAACATTGTGCAAAGTATAGGAGTGTTTATAAATTAGGGAACCATATCAATTAAACTCTTATCTTTTTGCATTCTAAAATCATCTATCTTGCATTATTAGCACTTAGGATTGGATTTCAGATATGTTTAAAAAAAAAAAAATCTCATTTCTGGCTGTGATGTGGTGGCTCATGCCTGTTATTCCAGCACTTTGGGAACCTGAAGCAGAAGGCTTGCTTGCTCACAGTTAGGAGTTTGAGACCGGCCTGGGCAACAAAGTGAGAACCCGTCTTTACAAAAATAAAATTAGTTGGGCATGGTGGTGCATACCTATAATCCCAGCTACTTGGGAGGCTGAGTCAGGAGGATCCCTTGATCTCAGGAGTTCGAGGCTACAGTCATCTATGACTGCGCTCCTATACTCCAGCCTGGATGACAGAGCAAGAGCTGGTCTCAAGAAAAAAAAAAAATCCTATTTTTTTTTTGCATTGCACAGCGGAGAGATGGAACCAGGTCTTATAATCAGTAAACCAATATTCCAGTAAAAAGCCTGCAAAGAATGCAAATAAGTAATAAAATAACTACAAATTAAGTCAGTAAATATGAGAAATGTATAGCCTTCCCATTACTCAAAGGAATACAAAGTAAGATAACTTTTTTTTTTTGGCAAATCAAGTTTTAAAGATTAAAAAAATAACTTCAGTGAGACTGAGAGATAGGCATTCTAATAGACTCTTTGCGAGTATGGGAGTTGATTTACATTTTCTGACTGCCAGTACGGCAGTTAGTATCAAATGCCTTTGAAATATTTGTACCCTGTGATCCAGCAACATAACTTCTAGGAATTTGCTTGACCTGCTTATAAAAATTTCTGTTACGAATTACGTCATTATTACAACAAAAAATTGAAAATGACTTAAATAGGGATCCTTAGGGAATTGCCAAAATTATGGAACCACCATGATGGAATATTTTGCAGCTGTTAAAAATGTTTGGTAGGTTTTCATACCTGTCATTTGTTTTTTTTTTTTTTTGAGAGGGAGTCTCTTTCTGTTGCCTAGGCTGGAGTGCCGTGGTGCGATCTTGGCTCACGGCAAGCTCCACCTCCCGGGTTCACGCCATTCTCCTGCCTCAGCCTCCCAAGTAGCTGGGACTACAGGTGCCCGCCACCACACCCGGCTACTTTTTTTGTATTTTTAGTAGAGACAGGGTTTCACCGTGTTAGCCAGGATGGTCTCCATCTCCTGACCTCGTGATCCGCCTGCCTTGGCCTCCCGAAGTGTTGGGAGTACAGGCATGAGCCACCGTACCCAGCCCATACCTGTCTTTTTTTTTTTTAAGTTTTCAGATCTGCCACACATTGCTGGTGAGAATATAAAATCGTACATTCCACTTTGGAAAATAGTTTGGCAGTTTCTTACAAAATGAAACATATACTTACCATATGACCTAGCAGTTGCCTCCTGAGCATTTATGCCAGAGAAATGAAAGCTAATGTTCACAAAAAAAACCTGTCCACAGCTTTATATGTAATAGCCCAAAACTAGAAAAAACTCACACGTTCTTCAGTAGGTGAATGGTACATTCATACTATGGAATACTATTCAGCAACAAAAAGGAACAAACTATGGATACATAGAATAACTTGGGTGGACTCCTGGGGCTTTATGCTGAGTGAAAAAAGCCAATCTTAAAAGGTCTCGTACTATAGGATAATTTCAAGAATTAACATTCTTGAAATGACAAAATTACAGAGATAAGAGAACACATTAGTGGTTGCCAGGAGTTAGGACTAGTGGCAGGAGGGAGGGAGATGGATGTAACTGTAAAAGGGTAGCAAGAGGAAGATCTTTGTGGTGATGAAGTAGGTTTGCATCTTGATTGTAGTGGTAATTACATGAATCTAAACGTGATAAAGTGGCATAGAACTATATGCATACCTACCAGTGTCATTGTGTTATCAAGAAGGTGCACATGTTGGGAAACTGGGTGGAGATTACATGGGACCTCTGTGTACCATTTTTGCAACTTCCTGTGAATTTATAATTATTTTCAAAATAGTTAAAAATGTTGAGAATATGTGATGATAAAGGAAAAGGTTCATAATCAGAAAAACAAGTTACAAAATGATAAAATTACATGAAACTAATATTTCATACCATTCATACTAATACATATACCTGGAAGGAATGACTGATAAAAACCTTAACTCTGAGATGATGGATTCTTTTTTGCATTTCTGTAGTGTATGTGTGGATGAGTCAGTATCACTTTTATAGTTGGAAGAAAGCAGTTTTCCTAATAGGAAATTTTTAGAATTAATCTGGTTTGGAATATTTAAGTGACAATGTGTTTTTACATTAAGGGATTAAAATTTTTATCAGGCACACTACTAACTTAGTATTAAAACAGCTGTTAAGATTGGAAAGTATCTGAATGTATTCTTTAAAATATATTGTATTTGTAAATTTAAAATTGTTTCGTACTCTTCATATATAAGACATTTTGTGTGATGTTCTAAATCAGTGCTATCCAAAAGAAATATATTGTAAGCCACATGTAATTTTAACTTTCTAGTAGTCACAGGAAGAAAGTAAATTAAGCAGGTGAAATTAATTTTAAGAATATGTTTTATCGAACCAATTATATCCAGAATGTTTTTTTTAACATGTAACCAGTATTACAGTGAGATAGTTTACATTCTTTTTTTCAAAGACAGTCTTCAAAATCTAGTGTACATTTTAGGGTTACAGCAAAGTTTAGTTCAGACTAACCACATTTCAAGTGCTCAGTAGCCACCTTTGGCTAGTGGGTACCATATTGAAGAAGAGGATGAGTAGTTGGGAGTGAGGGCTTTGATGTCAGACCCAAGTTTGAGTAACAGCAGCTCTGCCATTTGCTCACCTTGTGACCTTGGGTATGTTACATGAACTTGTGCTTTTGTTTTTCATTTATAAGATAGGGATAATAACTTCTCCATAGTGGTATTAGAAGGATTAAATGAGTCAATGTAGGTAGCATGCTTGGCACAGGACTGGGCACAAAATATGTACTGTAAATAGTATATGTTACACAGTGATAATTTTTTAAATTCCCATATATTGTGTACTGAATTGAATGAGTAACCATTCTAAAAGTGTGACTGATTTCTTAGTAGTAGTAGTAGTGAGTAAATATATAAGCAGTACATGAAATAATCCTTACTTTTTACAATTAAAGTTTTGGATCCTTTTAAATTATGACTGATTGAATACACAAATATTTGAGTACTCATGTGCAAAATATTGTACCAGCCACTTGAACATTTAGAAGGTAGATCTTAAGATGATATTCTCAGATACTGTATATTTACATAAGTACTTGACATTTTGCATGCCACTTTTGTGTCTTTTTTTTTTTCAATTAATACTCAAAGCAATCCTGAGAGATAGTTGTTACTCTAACTTTCACAATTGAAGACGCTGAGTTTCAGAAAAGTAACTTACTTGGTGTCATACCCAGTTAATAGAATAGAAGACAGGTGATTTAATTAAATGGACAAATTTAATGTGATGTTTAAAGTGTTTCAGCTACACTCCTTTGATTATTTCCCTTCCAACTTTGCCATCTTTTCCAGGACCATTTAAATTAGAGGAGGACAATAAGATGTCACTTGAGGAGTTACCTTGCTCCGAATTATCCTGAGGTTATTAGCCTATTCAGATAAGCTATAATGTAAAAAGTTAACATAAGCCTGTATAGATTAGATGATTTATTTTGCTTGTTGCAGTGTTTCTCTTTATAAAGTTGAGTATTCTTCATCCTGTCTTTTGGATACATATACCTATAAAAACGGGCCAAGAATATGCATTCTGTGCTGACTGCCTTAAAATCGGATTCTTTGAAGTGTAGTTTGTCGCTTCACTTATTCAGAAAATTACACAATTCTTTTAAGGAACTGCGTGCCACCATTAAAATCACTAGTGAAAGGCAGTGAGTTTGTGAATGATTGACTTTCCCAGGGCAGTGGTGCAGTGGAAGGCACTCGTTACCTGGGCAGAGTTAGATGGAGCATATTTCATTAGTCGTTCAGGCTCTGTGTTCTAATGTGTAGATTTTGTTTTCACTGTATGCGTTGCTGGCTTTATTTCCAGTTTCTTCTCTAGTTAAAATATGGAGGAAGTCACAGGACATCCAGTTTGTTCTTGGGTACTATGGGACAAAATATATGACAGTAAACTATCAGCTCATCTTGGCAAGTACTTTTGGTGTGGACCACTGAAGCATATTTGTAGGAAGGGAGTTACATTTTGGTGCTCAGGATGGGAGTGATGATAGTTTCAAAGATTTCTATTTTGGAAGAGGGATCTCAAATGCCTAGGGTTTCTGAAAAATTTCACTGTATACAGTTTCTGCTACTGCAATTACGTTATAAATAAATGCTTTAATTATAAGATACAACTTTATATGTGTAAAGATGTGTATACTAGGTTAAGATTTAAAACCGTGGGTTGCAATTAAAATAAAAGATTCCCTGAAATTCATGGAACTGGACGATGTCTTTCCTTTCCTTCTTTATGTTTTTTTAAAGACAGGGTCTCGCTCTGTTGCCCAGGCTAGAGTGCAGGAGCATGCTCATAGGCCACTGCAGCCTTGAACTTCTGGGCTTAAACAATCTTCCCATTTCAGCGTCTCAAGTAGCTAGGACTACAGGCTTGTGCCACCAGGCACAATTTAATTTGGTTAAATTTTTTTTTTTTTTTGTAAAGATGAAGTCTTGATATGTTGCACAGGCTGGTCTTGAACTCCTGGCCTCAAGTGATCCTTCTGTCTTGACCTCCCAAAGTGTTGGGATTACAGGCATGAACCACTGAGCCTGGCCAGAACTAGATGATGTCTATGTCTTTTCCAGTTCTAAAATACTGTGTTATGTCAGTTTGGGCAATTTGTCATACAGTAAGATGACTCTTAAAATTTTACAGTGCCAAGTTACTTGTCTACAAATATATAGAGAAGATAATTTGTCATTTATTCTCCCCCAATGTGTTGTATAGATATTCATGCGTTTTGTGACGACTTTTCTTTCTTTCTTTCTTTCTTTCTTTCTTTCTTTCTTTCTCTTTCTTTCTTTCTTTCTTTCTTTCTTTCTCTCTTTCTCTCTTTCTCTCTTTCTCTCTTTCTCTCTTTCTTTCTCTCTTTCTTTCTTTCTTTCTTTTTTGATGGAGTCTCGCTCTGTTGCCCAAGCTGGAGTGCAGTGGTGCGATCTCGGCTCACTGCAACCTCCACCTCCCGGGTTTAAGTGATTCTCCTCCTTCAGCCTCCTGAGTAGCTGGGACTACAGGCGCCTGCCACCATGCGCAGCTGATTTTGTATTTTTAATAGAGACGGGGTTTTGCCATGTTGGCCAGGCTGGTCTCAAACTCCTGACCTCAGGTGATCCACCTACCTCGGCCTCCCAAAGTGCTGGGATTACAGGCATGAGCCACCGTGCCTGGCCGCATTTTGTGACTTCTAAAGAGGAAAGCTTTATCTTAAAAATTTTTGGTAGTGTTATTTATGTGTAGCTGAACGGTTTTCTTATTTAAGTTATAATTAAGGTTTTAATTTGGAAATCTTCATTCAGGGGTTAACAAATCTTTGCCCCATTCTAAGAAATTAAACTCAATGCAGACTGACCAAAGACAAGATTCAGTCAGTCTCCTTTTCAGGATCTCTGAGATGAGGGCTTCAGGACAGAACACCTGGTATGGAAGGCTAGTGTTTTCAAGTATAAACAGGTGTACTGCAGCCCTAAGGCTGTTCTTACTTAGACCTTGGTTATATTAATTAAAAGAATGACACTGATACATCTTTTTTTTTGAAAAGTGTTTTTATTACTGAAATGGTTAATACTGAATCATGCTCCATAGCAAAGCTTGGTTCTAATAGAACAGGTGTACATTGGGTGTTTTTCCTGCTTAACATTTTTTGATACCCATCCCTAGCATTCAGTCTGACACCAAATTCTGCTGACTTTATTTGTCCAGTATCCCTGCTGCGACTACCTTAATTTAGGTTCTCATTATATTTCATTTTTTATTTCAATTCTTAATTACAAGCCTGTATTGCCCAGACCTGTACCATTGCAGTAGCCTTGAAACTGTTCTGCCAAGTCTAGTCTGTTGTGCTGCCTAGAGATATCTCTAGAAAGCACATAGATCATGTAGTGTGCTTAAAAAACCCTGGATATACTGCCTCATTGCCCAAAGAGGTCTTGCCCTTCTTAGCATGCACTTTCTGGTCAAACTGTTCAGTGTTCCCTGAACATGTTCTTTTATGCCACTGTGCTGCCTGCCACATGTACTTCTAGAACTGCTTGAAGACTTACCTCTTTGCTACCGTGGTAAATGCTAGCTTCTGCTTCAAGACCCAGCTCATGGTAACTCTTTGGGGAAACCTTCCTTGATTCTTTTTTTTTTCTGTGACAGGATCTTGCTTCTTTGCCCAGGCTGGAGTGCAGTGGTGTGATCAAAGCCCACTGTAGCCTCAGAACTCCTGGGCTTACGCAATCCTCCCACCTCAGCCTCCCAAGTAGTTGGGACTCTACAAGCATGTGCCACCATACCCAGCTAATTTTTTTCTCTTTTTTTGAGAGATGGGGGTCTCCCCCATTTTGTCCAGGCTGGTCTTGAACTCCTGGCCTCAAATGATCCTCCCACTTTGGCCTTCCAGAGTGCTGGGATTACAGGCATGAGCCATTGCTGGGCCTTGATTTTTGTCTTTTGTGATCATTGAAGCACTTTGTGATATACTTACCGTACCACACAATCATGTTGTACTGGAATTTCGTGTTCACATTTGCTGCTCCATATCCGCCCCGTATGAGGCTCTCAGGGATAGAGACTGTAACCTGTTGTTGAATCTTTAGAGGCAAGGTCTTACTATGCTGCTTTTGTGTTCTTCAAATGTATTTAGAGGGCAGTCTGTTCTTCTGATTTCTTATTTAAAATGTTTACTTTTTAAAATAATTGTGTGATATATTGGCTAACCCCCTCTGCAAATAGGTTTATTCATTTAAAACCTTTGGGAAATGCCTTGGAAATACTGCTACACTACTTTCCTTTTTCACTTCAGTTTCTAGTTTTACTCTGTGCATCATTTCTTTTGTTACTCTTAAGATGATTCCCTTGATTGTCTGTCTCTCTTTGAAGTTCATGCCTGCTTTTCTGTTCATAACAGGTACAACAGTTGATTGCTAAATAGGATTCTTCTGAAGCACTGTCTGTTTTAAAACGGTGATCCCTCTTAGTAGAGCTCCCATAGAATGCCTTCCGAAGTTCTCTTCTGCTCTGTACTCTCTGGCTGAAAGTTTTAGAAACAGAGCGACTAGAGTGGTCTAGAGTCAGAATACAGTGTAAGGAAGCAAAGGGGATGAAAATTGAGAAAATCGTGAAGTCTGTATTCTTCATGAGATTTTGCAGCTGAATAGGACTCAGAATAGTTGTAGTTCTCTTGGGCTAGATAATTGTTTGAACTGATAAATAATTTAGATACCGGAATTTTCTCTCTCCTTTTTCAGGAGCCACCTCCTAGATAATCTTCCTCTTCAGCTGGTACTGTTTTATAAATGAAGCCTCTGAATTGTTCATTAGTATTTTCAGACCTCTTTTATCTAGGAAGTTTTATGAGAGAAGACATTTTTCCTGATGAATTGGAATGTTTTGATTAAAATTTTTTTTTTATGTTTTAAGTTAATTTATTAGACATTAGTAAGCACTTAATTTTTGGGGCACAGTATGTGTGGAGACTAATGCTCAACTACAAAGTTAGTTTCTCCATAGATGTTATGTAGAAACTTCTGTAATCTTCAGTACCTAGTTTAAAAAAAATTAGAATTAGGAAATGATCTATATAGAAGTGAATAAATTTAGTACACAGTGACTAGATTGATCCCTAGATTGGGGGATTTTTGCTAATTTAATATTAGATTTAATCCTAATAGTTAAATCAACTGGTAATGCCATGAATAATTTTGATCCTTTTGTGGTTTTGAAAGATGTATTTTCAGAATTAATTTTATTACCCTCATAACATGCTCAGAGAACTTTGGTGTAAAGATAATGCGTTGTTTTTCTTGGTGGCCAATACAATCTTTTAAAGTGTACTTTTTAGCTTAGGTATCCCTGGAAGTTTTTGTTCTCAGTTTAATGATCTTGTCAAGTAAATACCACCTAATTATCTATTCCTATTCCGCTATCATTTATCCAGGCAATAGAGTTTTATATTAAATAATGCTTTAGGAATGAGAGATTTATTTGTAATTCCTATTCAGCTATCTTGTCTATAAAGCAAAATTCATACTTACAGTAGTTTGTATTCTCTTAACTTCTCGGTTAATAGGCAGTGTGGTGAAGTGGAAAAACCCTACAAACTAACACAATGACAAATACATCTTGGATATTTTTGTGTAGTTCCCTTGTCATTTTAACTTTTTCTAATCTGCTAATGAATCAGACTTTAGAGGAAAGAGATAAGAGCTGACCTTCTGACTTCCTCCATATAACTGAGTAAACCTATCGGGATTGTAGATTTCATTTCATTTCTTTTTTTTTTGAGACGAAGTTTCACTTTTGTTGCCCAGGCTGGAGGGCAATGGCAGGATCTCAGCTCACCGCAACCTCCGCCTCCTGGTTCAAGCGATTCTTCTGCCTCAGCCTCCCAGGTAGCTGGGATTACAAACACGCGCCACCATGCCTGGCTAATTTTGTATTTTTAGTAGAGATGGGGTTTCTGCATTTTGGTCAGGCCGATCTCAAACTCCCGACCTCAGGTGATCCACCTGCCTCAGTCTCCCAAAGAGCTGGGATTGCAGGCATGAGCTACCACGCCTGGCTGTAAATTTCATCTATAAGAGAGTGATACTTGTGGTGTTCTTGTGTTTATATATTTTTTCCTCTAAGAAAGTGGGCTTTTTGACTGATGGCTTGTTCTTTAGAGTCATAATATCTTTAGTGTATAGATAAACCAAAATTCTTCTATATTTCTGTGATGGAGGACATAATTTGACCTTCAGGTTAGTGAATATTTGCATTGAGTTGTGCAATATTTCTTCTACGTATATGAATGAACACATATCTGATTCTTGTCACAGGCTGTTTAGAATCAGAGGAAACAAGGCTTGTTGGTCTCTGCTGCTTTACTGCAAAAGCAATGTGAGAGTGATGAATGCAGAACAATTAGTGTAGCTGCCAGTTTTCAGTTGTCTTATATGATTGGAAAGTTCCTCATCTAAACACTAATTTATTTTAATCATTAAACTTTTCATTATTTTCTCCCTCAAAGATGCGCCCCCCCTCAATCAAAAACAAAAACCCACCCAAGCCCTAAAATTAAACCAAAAAAAGACTTCTGGCAAATAAAGTTGATTTGCTTTTCTTTCCTTACCTCTGGCCTTTGAAGATTCAGAGACTCAAAAGTAGTGAAACAAGTCATACTTCTCCCTATATCCTGCCCACAGAAACTTTCAGATGACATGAAGGAAGAAAGAACTAACTAGATAGTTGACTTTTGAGTAAACTCAGGCTTTGTTTCTTCTCTATCTTGTGGTAGATAAGAAAGACTTTGGACCAGATACTGGTGTGAAGATAGGAAGAGTAGGATTACTTTATTGTTGGGAATATGGGAAATATATTCAAAATATATGAAGCTGTGTTCCAGTGTAAATATGCTAGGTTGATTATCTCTTCCAGTCATCACGAAAACTACTTCATGCCTTGGTGAAACTGGCAACATGGGTTGTTTCTGAAGAGATACATGTTTTAATTTATGAGGTGTATTTTTTGTGTTTGTGTGTGTAATGGTAATGATGATATTCATACTGAATTTACTGCTACAATGTTACAATCTGTTGCCAGTTAAAATTACCCAGGAATGAAGATAGAGCATTTTGAAAATACAAGTTAGTGGTAAAATACTTTGTTGTACAAAAATAGAATTTATTTGTTGCATTTCTATACTACATCATCAAATAATATTAAACAGTTGGATTTTATCTCCTGGTAAAACTTGTCTAAAGTAAATGCTGTAGACTAATGTGTAATTTTGAATTATTTAGTCTCTGTATTTAAGAAAATCCAACAAGTATTATACTGCAGCCAGCATAAAAACACAGCATTTGCCATCCTTATTTAAAATTTTTCAGCTTTATTAAAGTGTAATTGGCATGTAAGTAACTTTACTTTTAAAATATTACCTAGGAAACTACCACTGTGAAGATAATGATCACATCTGTCACCCCTAAAAGATTTCTCCTGCCTTTTGGTAATTCCTCCTTCCTGTTCCTTTGTCACAGGCAGCCACTAATCTGCTTTCTGTCACTATAGATTAGTTTGCATTTTCTTGAATTTTATATAAAGATAATAGTGTATGCGTTTTTTTTTTTTTTTTGGTTTGCCTTCTTTCAGTTATCATGGTTATTTGAGATTAATCAGTGTTTATTTTGTTATTGCTGAATAATATTCCATTGGGTGAACAATCTGCAATTTAACTGTCCGTTCACCTGTTGAGGGACATTTGAGTTTTTTGCAGTTTCTAGCTCTTACAGATAGAGCTGTTGTATGCATCCCTAAACAAGTCTTTGTGTGGACATATGCTTTTACTTCTCTTGAGTAAATACCTAGGAGTGGAATTGCTGGGTATTTTTAACTTTTTAAGAAACAAGCTGTTTCTCAAAGTGGTTGTATCACTTGAAATCCTACCAGCACTGTATGAACTCCAGTTTCTTCATATCCTTGCCAGCCTTGATATGGTCAGTCTGTTTAATTTTAGGCTGGTGGCAGGTGTCTAGTGGTAAAGTAGCTCATTGTGGTTTTATCTTCTGTTTCCCTAATAACTAGTGATGTTGAGCCTGTTCTCACGTGCTTATTTGCCACCTGTATTTTTATTTATTTATTTGCTTATTTTGAGACGGAGTCTCACTCTGTCGCCCAGGCTGGAGTGCCGTGGCGCAATCTTGGCTTACTGCAACCCCTGCCTTCTGGGTTCAAGCGATTCTCCCACCTCAGCCTCCCGAGTAGCTGTGTCTACAGGCATGCGTGACCATGTCTGGCTAATTTTTGTATTTTTAGTAGAGATGGGGTTTCGCCATGTTGGCCAGGCTGGTCTCAAACTCCTGGCCTCAAGGGATTCGTCTGCCTTGGTCTCCCAAAGTGCTGGGACTGCAGATATGAGCCACTGGGCCTGGTGGCCCCCTGTATATTTTTTAAATGTCTTCATATTGTTTACTCATTTTTCAATTTGGTTGTTTGGCATTACTGAATTGTCCTTTATCCTAGATTCATGTATATATTTTGAGAGTGTCTTTTGAAGAGCACACTTAACTTTTGCTTTTTGTGTGATAGTTAAAAAAATCATTACCAAACCCAAGAACACTAAGATTTTCTCATAGCTTTACCTTTAGAAGGTTTATAATTTTAGCTCTTATATTAAGTACTTGGATCCATTTCGAGGTAATATTTGAATACATATTTCTAAGGGTGAGGTAAGTTCATTTTTTTTTTTTAAACGTACTGCTATCTAATTGTCCTGGCACCATTTATTGAAAAAAATTACCCTTATTGAAGTGCCTTTGTATCTTTGAAAATCAATGGGCTGTATATGTGTGAGTCTCTTCATTTTGTTTCATTGATCTTTCTTTACACCAGTACTATTACTTAAATAATGTAGCTTTATAAGTCTTGAAAATTAGGAGAAGTGTAAGACCTTCAATTCTTTTTAGAGTTATTTTGGATATTCTACATCCTTTGCATCTCCTTTAAAATGTTATAATTAGCTTGTCAATTTCGACATAAAAGGGATGCTGCTGGCATTTCTATTAGGATGCATTGCAGATATAGATACATTTGGGAAAAACTGAAAATCCAAAACATTGGACTCAGTATTCCAATCCGTGAACTTAGGTATCTCTGCATTTATTTAGGTTTTCCTTCAGCAGTGTTTTGTAGTTTTCAGTCTCATTTGTTAGATTTATCACTATTTCATATTTTCGATACTGTGTAAATGTTACTATTAAAATGCCAATTTCTGGTTGTTTCCAGGTAGTTTATATACAGATTATTTTTGTATATCTTGTTTCCTGTAACTTGGCTAAACTTAATAGGTTCTAGGAACTTTTTTTTGTAGATTCTGTAGAATTTTCTCCATAGACAATTTTGTCTTTGAATTGAGACAATTTTTACTTTCCTTCCAATGTGGACACCTTTTATTTCTTTCGCTTGCCTGTTGTGCTAGCTAAAACTTCCAATACAGTGTTGAATGGAAGTTTTGAGAGTGGACGTTCTTGTATTAGTAAGTGTAATGTTAGCTGTAGTAAACATTTAAATAGGTTTAGGGAATTCCTTTCTGTATTAATTTGCTGAGGGTTTTTTTTCCTTAGTCTGGGTCTTGCTCTGTGGCCCAGGCTGGTGTGCAGTGGTGCAGTCACAGGTCACTGTGGCCTCAAACTCCTGGGCTCAACCTGTCCTCCTGCCTCAGCCTCTTGAGTGGCTGGGACTAATGCACCACTATGCCTGGCTAATTGTTTGGGGGGCCAGGGGGGTGGAGATGGGATCTCACTGTATTGACTACACTGGTCTGGAACTGGCCTCAAGCCATCATGCCATCTGGCTTCGGCCTCTCAACGTGCTGGCATTACAGGTGGGAGCCATCGTGCCCAGCCCACTGAGCGTATTTATTAAGGAACAGAAGTTGGATTTTGTCAAATATCTTTTTCTCCTGCATTTAGTAAGACAGTCATACAGTTTTCCATATAATGCTGGATTACATTGGTTGATTTTTGATTGTAGGAATCCTAGACCAACTTGGCATTCCCAGATTAAATCTTACTTTGTCATGATGTATTTTCATGATGAATAATCCATGTTGGATTATTTTGTTAAGAAAATTTGCATCTGTCGTCATGAATGACATTGGTCTGTACTTATTTTTTACCTTCTAGGCTATTTGTCTGGTTTTGGATTCACGGTAATGTGGGTCTCATAGAATGAGTTGGAAAATGTACTGCCCTCTTCACTTTTCTGGAAGAGTGTGTGAAGAATTGAAATTTTTTTTTTCCTTTTTTTTTTTTTTGAGACGGAGTCTCACTCCATCTCCAGGCTGGAGTGCAGTGGTGCAATCTCGGCTCCCTGCAACCTCCGCCTCCTAGGTTCAAGTGATTCTCCTGCCTCAGCCTCCCAAGTAGCTGGAGCTACAGGCACCCGCCACCACGCCTGGCTAATTTTTTGTATTTTTAGTAGAGACGGGGTTTTACCATGTTAGCCAGGATGGTCTTGATCTCTTGACCTCATAATCCACCCGCCTCAGCCTCCCAAAGTACTTGGATTACAGGCGTGAGCCACCGCGCCCGGCCTGAAATTATTATTTTCTTAAATGCTTGGTAGAATTTACTAGTGAAACCATCTGGTCTAGGATTTTCTTTCTGGGGAGGTTTTACTACAGATTCAATTTATTTAAAATACATAAGGGTATTCAGATTATTGATTTATTCTTGAGTGAGCTTTGGCAGTTTGTACCTTCCAAGGAACTTAGGAATTTGTTTGTTTTATTGAAATAGTGTTCATGAGATTTCCTTATCTATACCTGTAGAATCTGTAGAGATGTCACTTCTTGTTTTCATTGGTAATTTGTGTCTTTGTCTTTCGATGAGTCTGGATTATCAAGATTTTATTGATCTCAACAAGCTTATGATTTCACTTTTTGTTTTTGTTTTGTATTTCATTGATTTCTCATGTGATCTTTATTATTTTCTTTCTTTTGTTTATGTTGAGTTTCATTTGCTCTTCTGTTTTTAGTTTCTTAAGGTGTATACTTTGCTCCTTGGTTTGAAACTTTTCTTTTTTTTCAATATGGGTGTTTGGCGCTGAAGTTTTTTCCCTCAAGTTCTGCTTTAGTTGTAACCCACAAATTTTGATATTTTTGTGTTTTCATTTTCATTCAGTTTCAGATGCTTTCTAATTTTTCTTTTTTTTTTTTATCTTATGGGTTATTTAGAACTGTCATTTAGTTACTAGATACGTGAGGATTTTCCAGATACCCTTCCGTTTTTGCTTTCTAATTAAGTGATGTTCAGCTTTGTTACTTTGGTGCATAAACATTTACAATTATGTCTTGATGAATTGACCCCTTTTCCATTCTGAAGTTAACCCACTTTGTCCCTCGTAATAGTATTTGCTCTGAAATGTACTTTGGCCAATATTAGTGTAACCACTCCAGCTTTGTTTCGAATAGTGTTAGCATGGCATCCCTTTACTGTATTTGTGTCTTTGTATTTGAAATGAGTTCCTTATAGGCAGTATGTAGTTGGGTTTTGTTTTTCTAATCAGATATCATAATCTCTGCCTTTTAATTGTGGTTTGTAGACCATTTGTATTTAATGTGATTATTGACATGATGAGTTTTAAATCTACCATCTTGCACTTTGTTTCTACTTTATTTTTGGCTTTAGTTGTTTTTTTAAATATAATTTATGTCTTTTATTAACTTACTAGCTATAACTGTAGTTATTTTATTTATTTATTTATTTTGAGACAAGCTCTTGCTGTGTTTCCCAGGCTGGTGTGAAGTAAGGCAATCTGGGTTCACTGCAGCTTGGACCTCCTGGGCTCAAGCAGTCTGCCCACCTCAGCTTCCTGAGTAGCAGGGATTACAGGCACATGCCACCACACCTGGCTAATGTTTTGTGTTTTTTTTTTTTGTAGAGACAGGATTTTGTCATGTTGCTCAGGCTAGTCTTTAACTCCTGAGCTCAGACGATCCACCCGCCATGGCCTCCCGAAGTGCTGGGATTACAGGGATGTGCCACTGCTCCTGGCCAGTTATTTTAGTTGCGTTAGTATACATCTTTAACTCAAATCAGTTTGCCTTTAAGTGGTATTACACATCTTCACATACAGTCTAACAACTTTATCAAAGCTCCTTTTTTCCTTCTGGCCTTTGTGCTGCTATTGTAATACATTTACTTCTGCATATGTTGTAACCCTCCCCACAGTGTTGTAATAATTTTTACTTTAAGTAGTCCGTTATTGTTCAAATATTTAAAAAAAAGAAAATTTCCCACATTTTTATCATTTCTTGTGCTCTTCATTCCTTTGAATAGATCCACATTTTCATCCAGTAATATTTTTTTTTCTACCTAAGGGACTTTGTTTAATATTCTTATAGTACAGGTCTGCTGGTGATTACTTTTAAAAAAAGTTGCAAATTTTTTGTTTTGCCATTTTTCTGGTAACAGCTTTATTAAGGTATAATTCACATATTATACAGTTCATCCATTTAAAGTGTGGAATTTATGGTGGTTAGTACATTCACAAAGTATGAACCTTTGCCATATTTTGTTACCCTCTCTCCCCAACAAGGAATCCTGTACCTTTTAGCGGTCACCCTCCAGCCTTCCCCAACTCCCAGCCCTAGGGAGCCTTTAAAATAGTATCTGTCTCTAAAGATTTGCTGTATCTTAGAATTTTGTATAAATGGAATCATACAATGTTTGGTCTTTTGTGACTGTCTTCTTTCAGTAGCATAGTTTTCCAGGTTCATTTATGTTGTAGTGTGTGTATCAGTACTTCGTTCTTGTTTATGGCTGAATGGTATTCCATTGTGTAGACGTGCCACATTTTCTTATCCATTCATCAGTTGATGGACATTTGCTTTCTACCTTTTGATTATTATTAATAATGTTATTGTGAACATTTGTATACATACATATTTGTGTGGATGTATGTCCTCTTGGATATATACCTAGCAGTGGAATTGCTGAGTCAAATAAGAACTGCCTTTAACCTTTTGAGGAGCTGCCCCACTGTTCTCCAAAGTGGCTGTAGCATTTTACATTCCCACTAACAGTGGTTTCCCATTTCTTGCCCTTGTTTCAAAACATATTTTCAATGTGTATAGAATTTCCAGGTTCGGTTTGTTTCTTTTAGTTGTCTTAAAAGATGTTACTCCATTGTCTCCTGGGTTACATAATATTTGATTATCATTTTTGTGTGTGTGTGTGTGTGTGACAGTCTCACTCTGTCACCCAGGCTGGAGTGCAGTGGCGTGATCTCTCCTCACTGCAACCTCCCTCTCCTGGGTTCAAGCAATTCTCATGCCTCAGTGAGTAGCTGGGACTACAGGCATGCACCACCACGCCCGGCTGATTTTTGTATTTTTAGTAGAGATGGAGTTTCACCACATTGGCCAGGCTGGTCTTGAACCCAACCTCAAGTGCTCTGCCCACCTCCCAAAGTGCTGGGATTACAGGCGTGAGCCACCATGCCCGGCCAATATTTGATTATCATTCTATCGTTTTTATCTTTGTTCTTTAAAATAAGTCTTGGTTTCTCTGACTGCTTTTAAGATTTCACTTAATCACTGGTTTTTTAGCATTTTGATTATAAACAGCCTTGGTATAGTTTTCTTCATGGTTGTTGGGCTTGGGGTTTGCTGAACAGCATTTTGCCACCTTATTTAAAGCTTATATCCTACTGGGAAATCTATAGAATTTTATAAAATGAGAATGTTAAATCCTCATTCATATTAAGAAATATGCCATAGCCTATCTGGCCAAGAAGAGCTAGAATCCTTTAGATTGCCCTTGGTTGCTACTGTATCTTTCTCTTTGGAAAAATTTCTTTAAGACAGGTTTTAGAGATATTGCCCAAGCTTTAACTAAAAGCCAGTGATTGGCACAAGGTTATGGAGCACATTAATAGTAATAGAGCCTGCACTGGACTCTTGGTCTACCCTTGGGTCTTCCCATCAAATTACACCACCTCTCTGACAAACCAAGTACTAGGGAGATGACCAGGGATACTCCTCTGGACCCTGTGAGTGTGACTGCTGCTGTGCTCTATATTTTAGATTCCTTTACCTCTAAGATAGAGAAAGAAATGGTATGCCTCATGCCCCTTCCTTTCTCCCCTTATCCATCCTTCCCTGTCTTTCAGAACTATGGTAGACTCATGTGTATTTCATAATGAAATAAAAACTATTCAATTTCCAGCTCTTTCATTTCTCCATACAAACACTTCCGTGAAACTCTTTTTTGTTATAGTCCACAAACAATGATAACTATCTCAGACTTCCAATTATGTTACTTTAGGAAGTCTGTGATTTGGGTTGGCTTGCTGTTCTCAAACAGCGGTTAGCTTGACCAACTTTTTTATTTGGTACGATGGGCTTTGGGATGTGAACGTGCTTTCTCTTGACATACGTTTCTGTTCTTGTGCCCACCTTATTTCCCCCTAGCGGGCAGTATGTATGAGTGTGGGTTGGTGATTTTAAGTTACCATCTGTATCACATCCCTAGCGCTTCCTTTCCCTTTGTAAGATTTCCTTTGTTTTTAGAATCCTCTCATATTGGTTATTCGACGGTCTTTGTAGATAATTATGGAGTACCTGGAGCATTTTGGCTGAAGTGGAATGCTTTACATGTCTTTATCCTTTTTGAAGCTTATCTGATTGGTTGTACATTCCCATGCATTAGAAACAGATCATCTAGTAATATGGAACATCCAGTCAGCTTATCTTGCAGAGTTCAGGAAGTACATGTATCTTCCGGAAGTATCTTCTGGCGTTCAAGAGGAATTTTCTAATGGAAAACCAAAATGTTGTAATTTTGAGAAATCTTTTTTAAAGTTAAATTGATTGAGGTATGATAATATAGTAAGAGTAACCCTTTTTGCTGTATAGGTTCTGTGAATTTTGATGAATTTAAGTCCTATGATGACAATCAAGAAAAAATAATGTAGTTTTAATTTTCATTTCCTTGATGACTAATAATAAGCATCTTTCCTGTGCTTATGTGAGTCATCTATATATTTCTTTGATGAAGTGAGTTCAGATTTTTTGCCACAATTTCTAGATTGTGTTGCTTTCTTATTACTGAGTTTCTAGAGTTTTCTGTATATTCTGAGTAATAGTTTTTAATTAGGTATTTGTTTTGCAACTATTTTTGCTGAGTCTGTGACTTTCCATTTCATTTTCTTTTGATTTTGACTTTCCATTTTCTTAATGGTGTCTTTTGAAGAGCAGAAATGTTTGATTTTTATGAAATCCAGTATATCAATTTTTCTCCTTAAAGGCTTATGCTTTTTTAGTTCTTCTGTATGGAGAAAGATATGGATCGAGGTTCTTAATTTTGATGAATGGATGCCCCATTTTTTTCTGCACCATTTGTTGAAAGACTCTCTTCTCCATTGAGTTGATTGGCATATTTGTAAAAATCCTGATTACTATTAATATATATGTGTGAGTTTATTTCTGGACTGTGTTCCATTGACTCTTAAGTGTCTGACTTTTTGCCAATACCACGCTGTCTTAAAAATTGTAAATAGGTAAATCATGAAATCAGGTAGCATCAGCTCTTCAATTTGGTACTTTTTTTCCAAAATTGTTTTGACTTCTAGGTGTTCTCTTTTTCCATGTAAATTTTAGAGTCAGCTTGTCAGTTTCTATGAAACTTGCTGGAATTTTGACAGCATTGCATTGAATGTGTAGATCAGTACTCTTCAATAGGATTATCTGTAATGATGGAAATGTTGTGTATTTACACTGTCCAGTGTGTGGTAGTCACTAGCTGTCTATGGCTATTGACTACATAAAATGTTGCTTGTGTAATTGGAGAAATGAATTTTAAAGTTTATTTCATTTTAATTTATTTAAATTCAAATGTAGACACATGTCACTAGTGGCTATTGTATTGGACAACATAACATAGATTATTTTGGGCACAATTATATATTATTTTGACTTCTTAAAGTCAGTATTGAGTTTTAAAGCCCACACATGTGGTATATCTCCCTATGGAGTCCAAAAATTTGAGATTGCAGCGTACGTAACAGATCTTATAGTACATATTTTGTTAAATTTATCCTGGAGTATTTAATGATTTTTGGATGTTGTTTTAAGTGATATTTTTTCTTTAATCTTTTAATTGTTCATTGCTAATATGCAGAAATAAAAATGATTTTTGTATATTGACTTTGTATCCTTTGCTTGCTTAGCTTCACTTATTTTATTCTAGTAATTTTTTGTATGTTCTTTGGGATTTTCTGCATAGACAATCATGTAAACTGTCAGTAAAGACGGTTTTATTTTTTCTTTTCAGTCTGTATGGGTTGTATGTATTTATTTTATTCTTTTAGTGCATAGGTGAGGATCACCAGCTAGTTTTGACCAAAAAGTCTTAGTTTGCTGAGTTTTAAAAATTACTATGAATGGATGTTGAATTTTATTAATGTTTTTACTGCATCTATTGAGATGATCATATAGTTTTTCTTTAATCTGTCGACATGGTGAATTACTAGTTTTTCAAATATCGAACCATCTTTGCCCGACCCACTTGGTCATCATATTTTTTTAATATATTGCTGGATTCAATTTACTAATAAATTGGGTCCATGTTCTTGAGGGCGATTGATCTGTGTGATCTGTGGTTACTTTATATTGTCTTTGTCTAGTTCTGATGTTCTGGTAATGCTTGTAACATTGAGGTGAGAAATGTGTCTTGTCCACCCCTTCAACCCCAAAGACACACACATTGTGTAAATTAGCCAGGCGTGTTGGCGCATGCCTGTAATCCCAGCTACTCGGGAAGCCGAGGCAGGAGAATCACGTGAACCCGGGAGGCAGAGGTTGCGGTGAGCCAAGGTTGCACCATTGCACTCCAGCCTGGGCAAGAAGAATGAAACTCGATCTAAAAAAAAAAAAAAAAAGAAAAGAAAGGTTACCTTGGTGGGAAGAGGGAGGGGTGTTTGGTTTAACTGTTGAACGTTTTGAAGCACACACCAGTTATTTGAGACAGGGTCTCACTCTGTCTCCTAGGCTGAGTGTGATCATGGCTCACTGAAGCCTCGACCTCCCAGGCTCAGGTGATCCTCTCACCTCAGCTTTCCAAGTAGCTGGGAACATAGGTATGTGCTACCGTGCCTGGCGCATTTTTAAGAAAAATTTCTTGTAGAGGCAGAGTCTCCCTGTGTTGTCTAGGCTGGCCTCAAACTCCTGGGCTCAAACGATCCTCCCTCCTTGACCTTCCAAAGAGCTGGGATTACAGGTGTGAGCCACTGTGCCCAGCCCAGTTTAATAGATATAGACCTATCTGTTTGTTCCTTTATGTTATCCAGTTATTCCTTTTTGAGAACGGGTCTTGCTCTGTTGCCCAGGCTAGAGTGCAGTGGTGCAGTCATACCTCGTCAAGTGCGACCTCAAACTCCCAGGCTCAAGCGATCCTTCCATCTTGACCTCCTGAGTAGCTGGGACCAAAGAAAGGCACATGCTGTCATGTCCAGTTAATTTTTGTATTTTTTGTAGAGACGGGGTTTTGACACGTTTCCCAGGCTGGTCTTGAACTGGGCTCAAGCAGTCCACCTGCTTTGGCCTCCCAAAGTGCTGGGATTACAGGTGTGAGCCACCATGCCCAGCCTAATTTTTATTTTATTTTGTTTTTTTAAGTGTAGACAAGATCTCACTATATTGTTCAGGCTGGTGTCGGACTCCTGGGTTCAGGCAATCCTGCTGCAACCTCTCAATTATCTATTTATTCTTAAGTGAACTTTGGCAGTTTGGAAAAATTAGAGATCACATTGCATTTAAGCTGTCAACCTTAATATTTACAGAATTGTTTGTATTCCTCTTTTATTATCCTTTTAATTTCTGTAAGACTTGACATGTTTTCCCTTTTGTTTCCAATACAGAGAATATTTATCTGGTTTTTTTTTTTTTTGGTTTTATATGCTACCCCTTTTAAAACTTAAGAAAAGAAAAAACCGTAATGCTTCAAACGAATAGAAAAGCATACACAGTGATATAAGATACCCATATATGCTCACCACCTAATATTTGCTTTAGTTTTAATTGAATTTTTAAAACAATGAACATTTAGCGTTGCTTTAAAAGACCAAATGCCTCTTCTCTTCATCTCCCTTAGTGCCTTTTCTAACCACTGTCACTGAAGTAGGTATACAGCATTCTTATGCATATTTTCCTATTGTTCTTGTTTGTATCAGTCCATCATCATTCTATACCTTTTTTGTTTGGTATAGTTACTTAAGTGATATACTGTACATATCCTTTTGGATCTTGTTTTTTTCACTCAGCATTGTTTGAGATTACAAGAATGTTGACACTACAGTGTGTGTACTATGTTAGAAATTAGATTCTAAACATCATGTCTTAAATGAGAAACTGCTGCTCTCTTCTTTTTATCTTATTTGCAATTTATGTTTGAAAACATAACCTATTGTCTGTTGGCAAATAATAAAATGTGAGAATATTTTGAAAATTGTATTAGCCTCTATATTGAAAAGGTTAGAATATTGGATTCTAAGTTTTATTGCCATGTAATTTACATACCATACATGTTGCCCTTCAAACAGTTCAGTGACTTTCAGTGAATTTATAGTTGTGCAACCATTACTGAAGTTCAGTTTTAGAACATTTACATCATTCCCAAAAAGTTACCTCATGCCTGTTTGCAGTCCGTCCACTCTCCTTAGGCAACCATTGATCTGCTTTTTGTCTTCATAGAAATTTTATGTCAGTGGAATTATACAATATGTAGTCTTTTGTTTATGTCTGGCTTCTTTCACTTAATATAATGAGTTAGGATTTGTCTACCTTGTTTGTTGCATCATCAGTACTTAATTCCTTTTTATTGCTATGTAGTATTCCATTGCATGGATAAACCACATGTAGCTGGAAACGTAACTAATGAACTCTATATTGGCTAGTTGGTGGACATTAAGAGTGCTTGCAGTTTGTTGCTGTTGTGAATAAAGCTGCTGTAAGTACCTCTGTAGCAGTCTTTGCACACACACACACACACACACACACACACACACATATATTTTTTTTTTTGGAGTGGATATGTAGGAATAGATTGCTGAGTTGTATAGTAACGAGATGTTTTAACTTTTAAAGAAACTGCCACACTGTTTTCCAAAGTGGTAATTTTATATTACCACCAACATATGAGGGTTCCAGTTTATCTGTATTCTCACCAACACTTGGTATTTTTTTAATTATAGCCTTTTGAGTTGGTGTATTGTGAAACCTCATTGTGATTTTTAAAATTTGCATCTCTCAAATGACTAACGATATTTAGCACCATTTCTTGTCATTAGCTATTTGTAGATCTTCTTTGGTCAAGTGTCATCTATTCATATATTTTACCATTTTAAACATTGGGTTGTCTGTCTTATTTATTGAGTTGTAAACAGTTGAGGAATGGGCTTTACCAGATACCAGATAACGCTGGTGCCTTGATTTGGGACTTCCAAGGCTCCAAAATGTGAGGAGTAAATTTCTGTTATTTATAAATTACCCCGTATCAGGCATTTTAAGCCCCCTGAATAGACTAAGAGTTCAGTTTATAATTTACTTATACAGAAGTGTATTTTTCAAGAAGGTAATTTTAGCACTGAAACAATGAGGTATATACTTCATGAGCCTTTTTTAGTTGGTTTCTAAAACCATGTTGGGATACTGCCTTGATTCTTGGTTTTTAGCTTTCTTATCCCAAAACGAAAAAACCATTTACTGTATCTGTATTTCTGTTCTGAACCTTCTGGATGTATACTAGTCTTCCCCACCGACCCCCCGCCCCATTAGTGGGAGATAAATTTTAAGACCACCCAGTGGATGCCTGAAATTGTGGATAGAACTGAACCCTAGATAAACTGTGTTTTTTTCCTATGCATACATTCCTGTGATAAAAGTTTAATTATACGTTAAGTACAGTTAAGAGATTAACAAAAATAACCTCACTACTCTTGCATTTTGGGTCATGAGTAAGTCAAATAAGGGTGACTTAAACACAAGACGGATACTACCACAGTCAAACTGAAATGGGTATTGACAGGCAGGATGGTGTCTACAACATGGATATCTTGAACAAAGGGGTGATTCATATCCCTTGTGGGACAGAGTGGAACAGTGAGGGATTTTATCACGCTGTTCAGAGCAGCATGCAATTCACAACTTAAGAATTGTTTATTTCTGGAATTTTCCATTTAATATTTTTGGACCACGGTTAACTTCAGAAAGCAAAGTCTCAGATAAAAGGAGATTACTGTATTACAAATCTGTGAGAAGTTTTCATTGTATTACTTTGTAGTGAAAAGTAATAGATACTCTCAGCCTAGGCCTGCTCAGGTTGTTTTCTTGAAGAACAAGTAATCAAGCCACCGACTAATTAATTTACAAAAAATAGTAGAAATTTATTTCTCACAGTTCTGGAGGTTGGGAAGTCCAAGATCGAGATGCCAGCATATTGTGTCTGGTGAGGGCTGCTCTCTACTTCCAGCTTTGTTGCTGTGTCCTCACATGGCAGAAGGTGGAAGGGCAGAAAGGCCTTGCTAGTTCCCTCCAGCCCCTCTTTTTATTTTATTTTATTTTTTATAGAGATAGCATCTCCCTGTGTTGCCCAGGCTGCTCTTGAATTCATGGACCCAAGTGATCCTCCCACCTTGGCCTTTCCAAAGTGCTGGGATTACAGTGCTCCCGGTCCCCCTTTTAGAAGGGACTGATCCTATCCATAGGGCACAGCCAGAATGGCCTAATCATGTCTTAGAGGCCCTGCCGCTTAATGCTGTCACCTCAAACGCTGTTGCGTTGGGATTTTCAACATGAATTATGGAGGGGACACAAACATTCAGATAGTAGGAGTATACATTTTCCAATTCATATGTATTTTTTGCCTGCAAAAGATAAAAATTTTTCTTGCTTAAAAAGTAAAATTGACTTCCCTAAACTGGTGGTAAGATGGGGAAGAAGTTAATAGGGATTTCATTGGTGCTTTACTGCGAAGCTTCTTAAATGAAAACTCTGTGAGGGAGAAAGTGAGTGACTTGGAGTGCTGGTGGATTAACATATAAGCTCTGCTGCAAGATTATTCCCATCAGAGAATTAGTTGTGCCTTTTTGGAAGGTATCTCTTTTATTTTGTATTTTACACAGTTATGTGGAGATTGATGTAACATATGAAGCACCTGCTTCATGCAGACATTAACTTAACACAATGTTTTTCCAGCATAGTTGATGCACAGAAGTGCTAATATGGAAAATAAGGACGGTGTTTTAATAAGCATGTTATAATCTTTTAAACATACATTATCTTGGAGCTTGCCTGAAATGGATTTTGAGTGTTTTCAAGTCTTCTCTGGTGATGATAGGTACTGCTGAGTTAACCACAGTCTTTTGGTTAGGCTACAGTTAGTTAGCAAAGAGCTACATGTAGCTATGTAGGTAGTCTGATTTTGTCCTCTTATCAAGCATAGCCTAATAAACTGAATGGATTGCCCAAGCTGATTTGGATGTTTTCCCTCAGTTACAAATCAGGAAGCATGTTTTGCAGGCTGTTGAAGAAATGTGGATAACAGGTGACTGGACTTGATTTCCTTCTTTAATTCTTCCCCAAGCATAACAAGTTTTGCCCTCATTAGCTGCATTTTCACTGTGTGGTTTAATTAGGTTTTCCTTACAAGATTCAGCACTAATTATGCTTTTTGCTTTTCTGTTTTTGAAGAGTATTCTTTGACACTTTTGTTTATTAGTGTCTTTGGGAGTGGGGAGGGAGGGCATTTGGGGAAGGAATGCTGATATGACTGGGAGACTTGTGCTACTACCTCAGCTCTAGGCTGCTCTACTTCATGTGGGCATAAAATGTGTATAAAAAGTTAAACCTGCTAACAAATAATGGAATCTCATTTGGTGCAATATAAAGGTAGTATCTCTTGTCTCTTATTCTCATCATTAGTATAGCTGCGAAAGAGGATTGTTTGGAACCCTTCTGAATCTTTCGAGTCTGATAAGAATAAACCAACTTTACTGTTCACCTCCCTGCAGATCGTGGCTGTTAGCACATCTAAGGTGCATCTGTAGTTCTTGTCACTGATGAAATGGCTTCATGGGATATGGGGGATCCTTTTTTTTCTTTTTTTAAACATTGGTTTCCATAGATAAACATTGAGATGGCTTCTTGTAACAGATTTATGAATTGGCTGACTCATCCTTAATCTTTGCTATTTGTTTGTTTACAATTTGTTCTCTGGGCTAAAGTTGATTTCTCTTTCTCCTTATATGTGTGTAAAATGTCCTTAGGTTTGTACTCTGAGATGTCTGTATGGTTTATAATATACTTTAAAATTTCTAAATAGCTTAGAGTAAAAGATAAGTAATTATTTGATAAGGCTTAACAGTTAAATTATTTGCACATTTTTATAGATTGTGGAAAATAGCGTACCTTACTTCTTTTGTAACCACAGTGAAAGTTCCTTACTGTTTACTAGCTTTCAGATAAGAGCACAAACCTCAGATAGAGTTCTGTGTGTTCAGTATTTGGGTAACTGCAAAGAGTTCTTATACCCATCAGCCTTTCTTAACCAGCTCTGAGAGAATTAGCCCTCCTGCTCCAAGACTTCCATTGTAGACAGTTACCTTTTCCCCTATGCATTCAAAATGGTACTAGTTGTAATAGATAGTTGGAAGAATTGAGAAAATAATCACTCATGTCATTTTTTGGGTGTTCTGTGGTTCAGACTGAGAAAGGCCATGGACCTAGAGAGTACACTGTGATATTATTTCTCATTCAGATTTACAAATGTAAAACAAAACTGCCTGCAGAGTTGTTCTTAGTACTTTAAGACATAACCTGGCATATGCTTTTGGCTTTTCAGTAACCCAAATAGTTAGTGAACCGCCTGTAGTCCTTTCTTTCACAGGCAGTAATGTGCTTTGGCTGCTCAAATTATTTGGAATTCCTGTACTTTTTATTTGTCTCTCACCTTACATAGGTTTTCTTCTCTGTTAGGGATGTTCCCTTTGTTCACCTAGTTCACTGAACTTGAAGAGTCACTTCCTTTGTGTAGCCCTTAGTCAACTGCCAGCACAAGGTTGGTATTCCCTCTTTTGTGCCGCAGTACCTGCACTTAAAATCATTATCTATCACATTTAAAAACAATATTTTACAGAATTGCCTCACCATTCCTATCTCTATCCATCCCTGGAGGGCAGGGACTGTTAGGTTTGTCAACACCTAATGTATGTTGGTTGAATGTTGAATGAGTTGTTGATACACGTTTGCTGTATAAGGTAGGCATTTTACAGTAAAGTTTTGCAGTATTAATAATGGCAGTGGCCGGGCACGACGGCTCATGTCTGTAATCCCAGCACTTTAGAAGGCTGAGGCAGGCGGATCACCTGAGTTCTGGAGTTCAAGACCAGCCTGGCATACATGTTGGTGAAACCCCGTCTCTACTAAAAATACAAAAAAAGTAGCCAGTTGTGGTGGCGGGTTCCTGTAGTCCCAGCAACTCAGGAGGCTGAGGCAGGAGAATCGCTTAAACCCGGGAGGTGGAGGTTGCAGTGAGCCAAGATGATGCCACTGCACTCCAGCCTAGGTGACAGGGGGAGAGTCCGTCTCAAAAAGCAACAAAAAACAAAAACCCAGAACGAAACATTCAAAGGGCACCAAACAGCGGAACACAAAGGTGAAGCTGGTTTTCCTTCTTTTGGAAACAGTTACTTGTTTTTGTTTTAATTATTTACTGAAGGATTTAGTCAGACTTTTAAGTTTGTTCTGTTACATTGAACATTGGTCATACTGTGAAGAAGGGTCACAATTGATAATGCTTATTACCTATTTTTAAAAGATCAACTGATGAATGAGTAGTGGCAGTGTATTGTGAAAGCTCTGAATTTGCAGAGGAAAGTAACAGTTGAATTTTCTTGAAAGTAAAACTAAGAACTGTGTGTAGTAATTTAACTTCCCACGTCAGTGAGTAATTTAACCATATTAACCACCCAAAGAAGTAATGAAAATAAAGCTTTTATTCAAATATTTGGCTGTACACATTATATCTGTTTTACATTTCAAAGCTACATTTATTGAATGGACAACACTTTTTTCTCTCACACTTCTTTACCTTCTGTAGAACAGATAGAGCGAGTCACTTAAGTTTTTAATTCCTACCTGCAAACCTTCTTCGTAATTACATTTATTTCTGAAATGCCTTACAGCATCTTGTCAGCTTCCTCCCCTCAGCCCCAGAGATTTAAATCAGGTAGATTCTTACGATATCAAGAAGTGTTCAGCTTCTTCTATAGAAAGTCATGATTTATTGCAACATACTGCTATAACTGCTTTGCCAGTTCATCCACTGTGAATCCACTGACTGTACTCTCTAGTGTGCATCTTAGTACATTTTGTGTTGCTGTAACAATACCTGAGACTGGATAATTTATAAAGAAAAGAATTTTATTTGGCTCATGATTCTGAGGTTGGAGAGTCCAACATTGGGCAGCCCCTTTGGTTGCGGGTCTTGTGCTCGCTCCTTCAGTTCATGGCAGAAAATGGAAGGAAGCCAGCATGTGCAAGAAGGAACAACCCACTCTTCGAGTAATGAATCCAATCCTGTGAGAGCAAGAACTCACTCCCACAAGATGGCATAGTCTATTTATTAGGTATCCCTCCCATGACCTAAACACCTCTGACTAGGCCCCACCCTCTAACACCGGCACATTGGAAATCAGATTTCAACATGAGTTTTGGTGGAGACAGACCACATCCAGACTATAGGCACATGCATCAAATATTTTTGCTTTGTATGCTCTGAATGTTTTTTGGTGTTCATAGGTTTAGCTCATAATCTCCAAAAGGGAAATTGTAATAACTTCTAACTTGCAATTGAACTCAAACCAGTATAAACAGGGTTATTACTTTAAAAAAAAGTTTTAGGAAGAAGTGGTAGTTTAGTATTTTAAGCTGTATCAATTGGATGAAATAAAGTGGAGGAAATGGTTTAGAAGTATTAAATTGCTGAGTTTATAGAAATAACTTATATGTACTGCATGAAAAGGAATGTATTTGAAAAAGATGCCTGATGTACGATAAAGCAATTTAGCATTATTTCAGCGCAGAGATTGATTTATAAGTTAATACTTTAATATAAAGTCATACCATTGCTTTAATGGTGATGGTGGAGCAGAACACATTTCTAAGAATTTACTGTTGTTAAAACAAAGATTTCTATTGGAAGACATATGTAAGTCATCCTTTTTTTCAAAGTGTAACTGTGTTTGGGAAGGAAATAAATATATGAATAAAATGTGTTTTAAATTATGTCATCAAAAGGTGGGATGTAATGTTCTTCGCAGATTTAAAGAAGCATTTCATGTATATTTGAACTTAGAAGTTTTGGAGACTGAAGGCATTTGCTAAGCATTGTTTTTCTGCTCATTCATTTAAGGCTCCGTATGGCATCTGTGTCAGGCTGACAAATTCACGTGTTACAGAGTTCAGTCAAGAGGCCAGGTGTGCAACTGTTAGCTAACAGGTGGTATAAGCGTTAAGATGCCCAATAACCTGTTCTCACATCTGTCTCTGTATACCGTGGTCAGTGAAGACTGTACAAGTGTAGCTGTGGAAAGTTTATGGACAGTAAGTGGGATAGGTGTTGAAAGACACTTCTGGCATTGATGGGAGACTGTTTCGGTGGAAAGTGACTTCAAACAATAGTGCCAGGATGGTGTAATTTACATTTGGCCCAGATTCACCTTAGTTCTTTGAGAGAACTAATTTTTCTCATTGTGGCAATTGTAATTGGCCCTCGGAATGGATCTGTTTTTAAAATAGTGAAGTGAACATTACATTGCATTTTTTACTTTTGAGATAAATTTTGGTAAACAAGTCTTGATTTTTTTCATGCGTAAAACTGCCTGCTTAATGGTTAAAGTCTCCTTATGCTTTAATGTAAACGTTTGTTATCAAAGATGTGCAACAGCCTGATAGCAAAAACAGATGCACAGATAAGCTCAAGTAACCAGTGAAATCTAAAACTATTCATAAGGTGAGTTTAGTTTTGAATTATTATATACACTAACCTGTGTATATAACCAGTATTGGGGGCAGAGTCCTATTGGTACAGATAATTAACACTGGCTATCAATTTTCCTATATAACAAAGCACAGGCTTTTTATCCAAGGTGTCTCTATTTGTATTTAGGCAATTTTAATAGCTAAGGAGTTGACCTATACGTGACTTGCATTTGAATTCTTAACTGTAATATGCCAGTAACTTTAGTAGTTTTGAATGCAGCTCCTCTCTTCGAGCCTCTTGGGACACTGCGTCTGTCCTTGTCTGTCAGATTCTCAAAAACTTTACCTGGGACACACACAAGTAAACCTGGGTTCAGTAGTTTCCCTTTCCTTTTTTCCTTTCTTGAGAGTGGGGAGAAGCTTCTTTGTTGGACAGAAATCACTCATCTCATTTTTTTTCTGGCACTTTATGGATTTTACACCATCTCCTACAGAATAGAGTTTTGATTAGAGTATTCAAGACCAAATTGCTTACTTTCAGGGTAGCTTTATTATTCCAGCCCAATACTGCACTCCCTACTGCATTTTTGATACAAACTTGCTCATTTGAAAGGGTGTGAAAAGAATGATGTGGTTCCTGAGATTTAGCTACTCAGGGAGTAGGAGGAGACAGCAGGAGTTGGGTTAAATCTAGGAGGAATGAGGTGGGGGAATGTCTAGTGTTTTGAGGAAGGGCTGTGAGAAACAAAATGCTATTTTCTGAGAAGCTTGTTAAGAGAGTTGTCCCTAAGGCAAGTAGTTCTCTACTGGGATTTCACATTTCTAGAATCTCCTCGGGGGATCTATTTAAAATACCTTTGTTTAGGTGGGCCCATCTCCTACCCATTAAGTCAGTGTCTCTGTTAAGTAAACAGCATTTCACCTGTTTGAACTTAGGAGTTTTAGAGGCTGAAGGCATTTACTAAGCAGACTTTGATTTTCTTTTAATTAATTCATTCAAAGGCTCCATATGACACTTGTGTCAGGGTGACAAGTCTCCATTTGTGACATAGTTTAGGCTGGACCAGAGCATCATTGTTCTTTAAAGGCTCCCCAGCTGATCTAATGTGCAGTCAGATTTTTGAGCCACTGATCTCCAGGACAAGCATGGTTGAGAATCAGTGATGTGATCTGGTGGCTTTGTCTCCCAAGCTGCTTATTTTTTAGTAGTGTGTGTGTATTTTGTTTAATCTTCAAGTGAATTTTAAGTTTCCAGTTAGATAGTACAATAGTATGGTATAGGGGTTCATAGTAGCTGAGTACATACGTGATCCCTAAGTAACAGTGCTGATCTGGCTCCTTGCCTTCAGTTCCTGCCTTGTGTTGTCAGCCCGGTCTTGTCAGCCCAGTCTCTTCAGCTTAGCCACCCTAGTCTTCTTTTAGTGTTAACTAACGTATGATTTTTCTTCCTACCACAGGGTCGTTTTCCATGTTTTTCCTGGCTGAGACCACCCATCCGTGGCCACCCCCTTACCCCACCCCTGGCCCAGACGTGGCCACAATTTTTGAAAAAGTCCTTGATGTTCCTGTCCTTTGGAACACTTCCCTCATTTGCAATTTTCTATCCATGTGTGTGATTATTTGCTTGTTTGGCTCCCTTATTAGACCAAGCTTTTTGGATCTGCCTATTCTTATCCACTTTTATTTCTAGCATCTCCTCAGTGCCTGAGATACAGCAGATGTTGAATGAATGAATAAATGAAAAGTGCAAGGTAACTAGACAGAAATTCAATTAGTTGTATGTGTCTGTAGAACAGAATAGGAGAGCAGTGCAATAATGTAAAAGCTTCTGGGGCTGGAGAAATTGTAATGGACAGGAATAGTCAGGGAAAGCTGTAAATTGGAGGTAGAAATAGGGAAGAGGGTAATGGTTGTCAGGTTTGGGGGTGAGAAATGGTGGGAAAATAGGTAAGGTAACCAGACCTATTTGTTTAGGGTATAGGGATGTTGCTTGGGAAAGGCAAACATTAAATTGGTATCAAATTGAGGGGTTTAGGTTTTAGTTGAAAGACATTGAGGGTCTTAGAGGAGGGATTAAAGCAGTACTGGTAAAAGATGAATTTAACTTTAGGGTAGAGGCTAAAGTGGGAACGGTAAGGAAGGAACTGGAAATACTGTGTGTGAGACATGAGTAGGATATGGGTTTTATCTTGGCTTCCTGGAGTGTAGTTTTGAGGAATCTGGGGCCCCATTTTCTACCGTGTTGCCTATGGGTTTAGGAGGGAGAGCATTTATTTATGCTTGGGTATTTGTTATCTCTGGGCTTTTTGGAAATTACTAAAGATGAATGGTAAAGTCAGTGTGGGAAACCTTGTGGAGGAGAAATAAATAGCCAGTGTTTATAAAGGGTGGTTATTTTTTAGAGGAATTGTTATCAAATGATAGTTAATGCTTATTGTAGCAAAATTTAAGTAGTTTGAATTTCTTTGGGTTGATCTTTTTTTAAAAAAAAAATTAGGATAATCCAAACCTTTTTAAAGTTCTAAATTGGCAGGCAGACTACTTGTTCGTTCTTTTGATTGTTCATTAATAGCAGATGAATCCTAGGGCAGATTTTTAATATTTTAGAAACATATTTTCATGTATTTATGAACATTAATCCCAAGATATTTATATGAATTTTATAAGGAAGGCAGTGTTACAAGATAAAAAAAAAAAAAAGACTACTGTACCCAGAAGTTAGCAGACACTAAACTTTTGGCAAATCACTTAGTATTTGCATTTCATCTTTAAAATACAGTAGTCCCCAGTAGCTGTGATTTCATTTACCAGTTAGTTACCCACTGTCAACTTCTATCAGAAAATAGGTGAGTACAGTAAGATATTTTGAGGTAGGAAGAGAGAGCAACATATACCATGTTCACATAATTTTTAATACAGTATATTGTTATAATTGTTCTGTTTTAATATTGTTAGTCTCACTGTGTCTGATTTATAAATTAAAGTTTATCATAAGTATGTAAGTGTAGGTAAAAACGTAATATGTGGGGGTTCAGTACTGTCTGAAGTTTCAGGCATTCACTGGGGGACTTGGAACATATCCTCTACAGATAAGGTGGACTACTGGTAGAAGAAATCTGACTAAATAATTCTAAATGGGAAGGGGCAGCAGAACATGGTTGCCCACTATTTATTGTATGGACTTACCCCACAGCTTAAAAGAAAACAGATCCTAATACAAAGAAAAATGGTAATCATGATTGGTGTTTTTTAATTTTTTCGATAATTATTCCTGTTTTTAATTGTCCTGGGAGTAAGATGCATGGGGATTTATCACTGTTCTTTGCTAATAACTAGCCTTGCAGGAAGCCTAAGCCTATTTAGTGGCTAAGCTCATCCGAAAGCATTGTCAAAGCCAGAATATCCGTGGCAGTATCTTGAAGGCTTCTGTGATCCTGGTGGGCACCTGGTTGGAAAATTTTCCATGCAAAGGTTACCTTAAATGACCTGTGATGCACAACTTTGGGGAGTCAGTTTAGTATTGGTACATGTGCTGAGGTAGTCCCTCCAGATACCTAATGGCTTTGCCTTCAGCTGTCTCTACTATTTACCCCACAATGGGGTAGGATGGTCTGACCTGATTTAAGTTCCTTAATTTTTGCCATACTTCAGCACCTATCTCTATACCTGGTTTCTAATATCTAGACCCCTTAGAAAATGCTTCCTCTGCTGCTTTCTATCCAGCTTCTTCCCAAAAATGGCAAAAAAAATTTGCATTTAAGGAAGATTAGAGGCAATATCATCCCTTTTCCCCAAGACTGTCTTTCCTGAAGGATCAAATGGAGCTAATCAGAGGCTGTTAAACCTGGGAGAGTGTCAAACATGCAGGGACCCTGTCTTGTCTTATCCTAAGAAACTTATTTGCTTTGCTGGCTTCTCCTGTGCCCCGCCCCCATCCTTAATTCATCCCCCTCTTCTGTCCTTTTTCATCAGAGCTACCTGGAGTTCATCCAACCATAGCAAACATGTTGTATGTTGTATATTTGTTCTTTTTCCTAGTCCCAATTTTCTACTAGTAAGCACATTTAAAATATTTGTTTCATTTCTACTCTGTACTTTGAAACATACAGGTGTTTTCTATCCTTGTCTTAAACCTACATTAAAGTAATATATAGAATACGTTTATTGGAAGGGAGTTGATTAGCCATGGTACAGTGCTAAATTTACTAAAAACTAAATTTTAAAAATTACGATTTCTTAAAACATGGAGTTTTCCTAAGGTACTTAATATTTTTCAGTTTTTAAAGAATTTTACTTTAGTATGGACCCTATGTAAAGTACATGCACAGCTTTAGACTAAATATGTGGGAAATTTTGAAGACTTTAAACAATTTATCAATGCATATTGTAGTTAGATTCAAGCTGGATCCTTACCTGTTATCAGATGCCAAATATAGGATAATGCTCTCAGCCACCAAGTATAGCCAAGCGAGTTCAAGACTGTATAATTTCACACCGAGCACCCAGCATCCATTTGTGGCACATGTAGCTTGATCCTGTTATTTTTCCTATGGGGATATTCAGGATCATAGATTGGCCCACTAGACTGATTTCAAGGCTTTCAGTGATATTTTCACTGGAGAAAAGGACATTTAATGGGAAGCTTTTATTGGGGAAAAAAGAATTCTACCGAGAAGATTAATGGGTCTATAATTTTAGAGACAGAGACGAAACACTGTTTTAAGACAAATTAAACAGGGGTACTGGCATTAACTTCAGAAAACATTTCACTGGGTTCTTGGAAAGAAAAATTTTCCTAACATGAGAACCTAAGCAGTGGCGCATTTTCCAGACCAAAATTTCTTCTTGTCATTCAAAGGTTTCAGATATAATAAATTATAGCCCCATCATGAAGAGTCTGAATGCCAGAGAAAACAAATGACGGGGCAAGGATGGCACAGCTAGTTACTATGCATGAGGGCTAGACGTTGGTCACTTCACCGCCTTATTGTTATGAGGGCTAATTTAATCAGATTAACTTCATCTCAAGCATCTATTGGTTCGAATAAATTGAGTTTACAGTGCTGTGCGCTTTTTTTTTTTTAACATGAAGCCTGTAACCAAAGGATGTGATAATGGCAGTAGTCAAAAAGGTAAATTGTATACTTGTTTGCTTATGTGGGTCACCAATATGTCAGCCTTGCTACTCAGACCCCTTACTTGCTTAATGATAGATATTTGCTAGGAACATTACCACCGCCAGCCCTGTCTTAATCCGTTCAGGCTGCTATAACAAAATATCATGGACTGGATAGTTTATAAGCAACAGGAATTTATTTCTCACAGTTCTGAAGGCTTCGAAGTCCAAGATCAAGGTGCTGGCAGATTGATTCAGTACGTGGTTCATCACAACTTTTTGGCTGTTCTTACATGCTGTAAGGGGAGAGGGGTCTCTCTCTAGAAGAGCACTAATCCCATTCATGAGAGCTCTGACTTAACTACCTTCCAAAGGCCCCACTACCTAGTATCATCACCTTGGGGATTAGGATTTCAACATATGAGTTGTGGGGGCGGGGAGGACACAAACATTTGGATCACAGTAAGTCCCTTTTCCCTAATATCCTAACTGAAAGAAATGTGCATTTTTCCAGTTTGACAGGATTGTATGTCTTTATTCTTTAGGGCTGTGTGGTTGAGTGGATACCGAGTATTGTTAACTTGAGAATAGCAAACCTTACTCTCATGAAAAAGCAAGGTTTGCCATTCCTTGTAGCTCTTGTCATCTAGACTCTAGTTGCCCTACCCTCTGTATTTTTAGGGTCTGGGAGCTCAGGATGGTTTTCACAGTTTTAAATGGTTGTTATGTATGTGTCTACTTAATATTCTTGATTTTGTTTTTTGGCCTAAAAGAGTTATTATCAGACCCTTTACAGAAAAAAATTGTTGATCCCTGGTCTAAAGGAATACCATACAAGGCCAGGCACAATTCCTCATGCTTGTAATCCCAGCACTTTGGGAGGCCGAGGTGGGTGGATCACCTGAGGCCAGGAATGTTTGAGGGTGTGGAAAGTGCATATGTATCTATTCATTGTCTGTTGGTGTGTAACACATTACCCTGAAAATAGCCACTTAAATATTATCTCACAGATTTTTGAGAGTCAGGAATCTGGGAGTAGCTTAGCTGGATGGTTCTGGCTCAGAGTTCCTAATGAAGCTATAACAAAATGTTAGCTGGGGCTGCAGTCATCTGAAGGCTTGACTGGAGCTAGAGGATCTGCTTTTCAAGATGACTCACTTACATGACTGCTGAAGACCTCAGTTCCTTGCTGGTTCTTGGCAGGCAGGTCTTAATTGTTGACCATATGAACCTCTCCATAAGGCTTTATGAGTGTCCTCATGATGTGACTGCTGGCCTCTACCAGTGACCCAAGGGAGAGCAAGGCGGAAGCCAGGATTTCTTTTATATTCTAACTCAGAAGTCACTCAGAACCTCATATTCTGTTAGCTGTGATTCTCTAACTCCAGCCCCACAGTCAAGGAGAAGAGAATTAGGCTCCCTATTTTCTTCTTTTAAGGGAGGAGTATCAAAAAGTTTATGGACAAATTTTAGAGCCACTGCAGTCTATTTCAGTGGTAGTGGTGGCAGTGGCAGCGGCAGTGGGCTGTAGTATATATGCATTGGAAGGTATTAATGGATTGTATTTTTTTAGGAGTATGGTTGGTTTACATATAGTAAGTCTTGGTGACCTTTCTAGGCAAGCAGCAGAAGGGAGGCACATGAGCATGTATATTTTGGGTGAAATTAGGCGTGTTTATTTGGATGGTGTGTGTATTTTTTGTTGGTATCTTGGTGTGTGTATGCATGTGTTTGAAGGCATGTGCATTTGAGGGGTGTGTGCACTTGTGTGGGGATAGATTGCTTGAGGGGCATAGGCAGGTTTGTGTGTGTGTGCATGTGCGCACACGTACCTGTCTGAAGGGCGAGTCTATGCTGGTGTGTCTGGGATGATGTTGGGGTAGGGTAACACTGGGATGCTGTGTTAGCTGGAAGGAAAGTTGATTGGTGGGAAAGAATAGACTCCCCACTGTCATCAGGTGGGTTAGGATTTCATTTGGAGGCCCCTAGGAGAGGCCATATCTCTACTTTTGGGGTCTGCTTTTGCCCTGAACTGGGATTATTTCATTACAAACGCACATATGTATGTACATACATACACATGTGAATTTTATATGGATGACTTCGCTGTACGAGCCTGTGGAATGCATCTCACCCAAGCCACCCCATTGTAGTCTACCTCCATCAACTCAAAGGTTTGCTTGAGATATCTCTGGACTCTTAATTTTCATGTTTCCAAATTGGCCCAATGGATTTATCTATGAAGGAGATTGATTAATATACAAAGACTTATTCCCTCCTATTAGAACATATCCCAGAGCATCTCTATTCTGAGAAGACCTTAAACTGTGGATTTTAAAATCAGTCTACTGGTCAAGTGTCATCAGAGGAAAGAAATACAGAAGTGATTGATCCTGCAATACCAGGTGTTGACACTCTTCCTTACTCTTCAAAATATTATTTCCAGAGGCTTGGGTTTTAAAAGAAAGAGTGAAAACTTTATGAGGTACTTAAGATTTAGTTAGGGAATTAAATACATACGCAAAAACTCAATTTAAGAATATATAAGCAAGTAAAAACAAAATATAAACTCTGTTAATTCTTCTGCAATAAAAAGCATTGACGGGGCCGGGGTGGAGAGGGAAAGTTCTTGGATGTAGATATTAAATTGCTCCATGATTGTGTCACTGTGTAGATGAAAGTGTCTGTAGAAAAGAGGTAGACGACATTTGTGTATGGTCATTTTCAGTCAATTTAGCTATGTTTTCGAATACTCGTCAAGGCATAATCCAATGTAAATACTATGTTTTTTAGTTCTCGTAGTTGATAACTTGAGAAAAATTAAAAATCAGACATTAAATGTACCACCTGAGATTCTGCAGGTCCCGCATGGAATATTAGCCAGTCATCCTTGTTGTTTGTCTTTTGTAAACGGGAATATGCTGGACCAGACGTTTATTATTTGAGATCCACAAGGCCCCTGAAATTGCATGCAGACATTTGTATGTGTACTTACTTCTGAGTAGGTTAAAGTTTCAACATATAGTCCTTTGTATCCCAAGTTTCACTCCTCAGATTCAACCAACCACTTGTTGAAAATATATTCAAGAGAATAAAACCAATAAAAATAACAATACAACAATTAAAAATAATACAGTTTGATAATTATTTCCATAGCATTTACATTGTATTAAGCATTATTAGTAATCTAGAGATTAAAAGGTATATAGGAGGATGTGCATAGGTTAAATGCAAATATGCCATTTTACATAAGGGACTTGAGCACCCACAGATTTTGGTACCCGTGGGGGTCCTGGAACCAATCTGCACAAGGAAGATTTTGGTTGGCAGCACCACTGTCCAGTCTAGTCATTGCAGCTGTTGGTCTGAGTGTGGAACTCAAAAATTCAGAGGGGGAAATCACCATATGCTGTACCCTCCCCCACAATCAGGCACTTACCACTTCGTTTTAAACATGCTCATAGTTAATCTGTGGGACAGTTTGTTCAGTTCTGCCAAAACCTTGTCAGCCGGGGGTTTGTCATGATCTTAAATATTTGAGAAGGTTGAATAAAGTTAATTGTTATTATGCAAACAGATCAGTTAAATTGAAAATTATTGAGTATTTTTTCTGTGCGAAGGCTTATTTTCAGTTTTGTGCTTTTGGAAATATTCTTAGTTGAATTTGCTAATTCCTTCAGAGAAGATGGGTCATTTGTTGGATAGGCAACACCTCTTTTAGGATTAAGGTTTCAGTGGTTAGTCCTGATATGTCCTGACCCATATCCCTACCAATCCCAAATATATTTCCTAGCTCTCGTTTGAAAGGGAACAATTTTAGCCCTGGGTGACTGTATTTGTTGTTCCCATGAGATAATACTTCATATAAGAAATATTGATGTGTTTGAGTCTTCTTGAAGTTTTTCCTTACTAAATGTTATGTTTGGGGATGTGGAAACATACTGGAAATAACATGGTGTTGTGGGTTGCTTATTAAAAATAAGTATAAAAGGAAGTTGGTTTTCTTTTCTTTTTTTTTTTTTTTTTTTTTTTTTTTTTTTTTGAGACAGAGTCTTGCTCTGTCGCCCAGGCTGGAGTACAGTGGCGCGATCTCGGCTCACTGCAACCTCCGTCTCCCGGGTTCAAGCGATTCTCCTGCCTCGCCTCCGGAGTAGCTGGGATTACAGGTGCACACCACCATGCCCAGCTAATTTTTGTATTTTTAGTAGAGACGGGATTTCACCATGTTCTCCAGGCTGGTCTCGAACCCCTGACCTCAGGTGATTTGCCTGCCTGAGTCTCCCAAAGTGCTGGGATTACAGGCATGAGCCACCATGCCCGGCCATAGGAGGAAGTTTTAAACGTGCTTTTTATGACTGATACATTTAATGCAGGAATACCTTATTTAAGAGGGTGAGTCTCTTTAAAGGACACTTGGAGAAGATGCTTTATTATTGGTCATGGATGGAACTCAAAATTGTGGTCTGGTTCTGAAACAATTATATTCTCAATTCTAGTATGTTGCTTTAAATGCGTTTGTTTCCCATAATGAGGGCTGGGTGCTGTTGTGGAAGACACAGTAACAGTAGGAACCATGGACAGCTGCTAGAGTAACAGGTGGGACACTGTCATTGCTGTAAACCATCAAAACAGTGGCAGGAGCTGTATTGGGTAGGGCAGCTCTGAATACTTCTCCAGGGAATCTCACCATAATAGCAACCTAAAGTAATCAAAAGAAGAAAAAATTCTTTTCCGTGTAATATTAAATGATACAGGGTCTATAGAATACAGTTTTTAAAAACTAGAATCAGTGGTGGTGCTCAATAAATGTAGTGTGGCAGTTAAGGCTTTTTTTTTTTTTCTTTTGGAATATTTTTTCTGTAGCATCCACATTCTGAGGTATATATGTGTCTGAAACTTGGGGGAAAATATATTCTTCTGATTTCACTAAGACCAAAGTTTTTAAAACTTGAATTTGCCTTATTAATATGTATATACAAGTGTGTAAGAAAAACAAAAATAGCACTTGTATACTTTTTCTTCCAAGTGTTTGTTGTACTGATTCCAAACCTTTTTTTCTCAGTCATATTGATGAGAATGTAGGACAGGTATTTTCTTTGTTTTAGCAGTTGGGAAAACAGGCTGAAGGCTGTGGTTCGTTCTTAAAAGTCATCTGCAAATTGATAAAAGAGCCAGGGCTAAAATTCCATTTTCTTAACATCTGTTACTCTTTTCACTGGCGTTACATTCAGATTAAGAAATGCAAGGGCTGATCACGTGTCTCATCCTGGGGGTCCCAGCACCTTGGGAGGCCAAGGCTGGCGGATTGCTTAAAGCCAGGAGTTTGAGACCAGCCTGAGCAACAAAGCAAGATTCTGACTATAAAAAACAAAACAAAACAAAACTGGAAACGGTGGTACGCACCTGTACTCTCAGCTACTCTGGAGACTGAGGGAGGATTGCTTGAGCCCAGGAGTTCAGGGCTACGGTGAGCTATGATCACACCACTGCACTTCAGTCTGGGTGACAGAGCAAGAGCCTGTCTTAAAAAAAAAAAAAAGCGAGCAGATGAGCTCTATAAATATTACTATGCTGTGAAATCTTGTCTGATCTCAGAATCTATTATTCCAGTTCTCTGAACCCCTTCAGATTTTGGTTGTCTCATCCAAAGTGCAGCATATCCATCCTGCTCTCCTTTCCAGTAGACGTCGCTTGTCTACTGTGTTTACTTCCAATTCACCGATTCTACAAACCTTTATGCAGTGCATACACTCTTACTCATCTAGGTCAGTGCTTCATTTTTAAGAGATGGTTGATTGTACCTTCTTATAAAGCTGTTTAGCTTAGAGTAAAAAATGCTTTACTCTATTACTCTGCTCCAAAATTAGACAAGTAGCTGTCTTTACTTTCATTCTCTTCTGAGTTCTTGTACCTCAATTAAGACATTCTTTGGCCATGAAACTGCGTGGGCTTCTAGTTTATTTTTAACTTTTAAAAATGGATATAACTGAAACACAAGAATAGAAATAATCTCCCTGTTCATCACCCAGCATCAACAGTTTGTATATTGGCAGGCCTCTTGATCTTCATAAATACTGTACGGACTTATTGTTTTTGTTAAGCCATCAGCTTAACAGTGCACTTGTATAAAAGTGCATTCTGGGCAAAAAACTGGCTCAACACCATTAGTCATTGGGGAATTACAAATTAAAATCACATTGGGATGCTACTATACACCCACGTTAATGGCTCAGATTAAAAAGACTGACAGAACGAAGTGTTGTTGAGGATATGGAGCAATTGGAATGCTCATACTTTGCTGGAGGGAATGTAAAATAGTACAATCCCTTTGAAAAAGAGTTTGGCAGTTTATTATATAATTGAATATATATCTTGCCATAAAGTTAAACATATACTTGCCATAGGCATTTTAGCCAAGATAAATGAAAACATATGTCTGCACAAAGACTTGTTAATGAATGTTCATCTCAGCTTTATTTATAATAGTGGCAAGCTGGAAAAAGCCCAAATATCCATCAGCAGGAGCCTGGATAAACAAAACACATAACAACATGGATGATTCTCAGAAATACTCTGCAATGAAAGTAGCCTTACACATAAAGAAGAGTATATAGTGTATAATTCCATTTATGTGAAATTCCAGGAAAGACAAATGGAATCCGTAGTTACAGAAAACATCAGTGGCCTCCTGGAGCTGGGAATGGGGATTGTCTAGAAGCGGCACCGAAGAGGATGAGGGGTGATGATTAATAGCTGTATACATTTGTCAAAACTTCTTAAAACTGTACACTTTATTGTATATAGATTGTACCTCATTAAAATTTACCCTGTGCAAGCATTGGCCATGTCAGTAAACTGCAGCACCTGTTCTTCTTCACGTTTTTTGTTTTTATTTTTGTTTGGATGGCAGGTAATCATTCACCTGTAAACAAGCAGGGTGTAATTTTGGAGGTACCACTAGTCTTTAGTTCTATTCCAGCTGTAGGGAGGGCTGGATAGGGTCAGAAGTAATGGGATTCTTTGCTGCTTTCCTCTACTACAGGCTGTTTGGGTCTTCTTTGGAAGATGAAGCTTTGGCTCTTAAATCCTTATTCCTGGGCAGGATAGCTCCAGTTTCTTTCAGAGACCGAAATATTTTCACCTCCCTTCCCCACTATCCCAGAAAAACATACTTAATGTTTTAGAGAACACTTTGTTTAACTAATGAATCTATCGTTATTTCTCCTGATAGTTCTACTTTTGGCCACAAATTGTTTGATGCTCAAGTTTGTCTTTAGAACACAGCAGTTTCTCATTATCTGAGGTATTCGATTAGTGATACAAATTAGTTTAAAACTCCAACAAAATATAGTCATAATGATATTCAGAGCTCCCCCACCTAACTTTTGGTGTTGGTTATGCTGTCTGGAATATAAGGCTAATTGGGATAGGGTGTAATGATATATCACTTTGCGTCACTTACTAGTTAGAATATTGTAATCCTTCTCTAGGTGGCCCGTAATGGTTTTGAGTACAGTGCTTAGGAATGTGAAGAAGTCCAAGAAACATCTGTTCCTAAAAATCATCTAGATTTTTAAGAGTTCGAGAAAGGATTGGGGCTTGTCAAAAGGAAATAGGGATTGGGTGCAGTGGCTCACACCTGTTAACCCAGCACTTCGGGAGGCTGAGGTGGGCAGATCACTTGAGCCCAGGAGTTCAAAACCAGCCTGGGCAACACAGTAAGACCCTATCCCTACAATTAATTAGTTAATAAGCCAGGCGTGGTGTCATGTGCCTGTATGTAATCCCAGCTACTCAGAAGGCTGAGGTGGGAGGTTCACTTGAGCCTGGATATTTGAGGCTGCAGTGAGCTATGATCACTCCATTGCATTTCAGCCTGCTCAGTAGAGTGAGACCCCGTCTCTTTTTATTTAAAAAAAAAAAAAAAAAAAGAGAGAGAGAGAGAAAATAGGAGACAGCCCAAAGGAGGAGCTCCTGATGGCCAAAGCTGGAACAATTTGAGCAAAAAAATATATAATGACAGTTTTCTATTTTAACCTATAGGATAAAATAAGTATCCATGAATTCATATTGATATAAATAATTGAGTAAATATATGGGAGAGTAGAGACAGCTCTTAAAGAAAAATTCCACTTAATAATTATAAAAGGAAAGCGGGAACTAGAAAATCACTATTAGGACAAAAATACCACCACTACCAACAAAAAGTTAAGAGATTTGTGCCAAATCACGTTTGGACGCTAAAATTAGTAGCTTAAAGTTTCAGGAGAAAGAGCTTATTTATATAGTCTCAATATCTCTGCCAAAGTATTTATTTGAAAGACAATAACTTTAAGGTGGAGAAACATAGCAACATCATGAACCCTTTGGTGTGATACACTGAGGAGGGCACATATTGCCGTGGTGTTGTAAAAAGGCACGACCTTCATTCTGATAATGAGAAAACATCAGACAGACCCAAATTAAGGAGCATTTCTGCAAAATAACTGACCAGTCCTCAAGAGTTTCAGGTTCATAAAGGACAAAGGCCAGAAAACTATCACAAGGAGCCCAGAAAATGAGAAATAACAACAGAATGTGATGTGAGACCTAGATAGGATCCTGAAACAGAAAAAGGTCATCAGTGGGAAAACAGGTGAGATTCAGGAAAGGTCTGTGGTTTAGTTAACGGAATTGTACAGATGTTAGTGTTCCAGTTTTGATCATTCTGTGTTTATATAAGATGGTAACATTAGGGGGAACTGGGTGAGGGGTATATGAGAGCCCTACTATTTTTGCAACTTTTCTGTAAGTCCAAAATTAGTTAAAGCATCTAAAATTTCTACTTCTAAAAGGCATTCGAAAAATCTGTTTTCTCTTTGCAAATTAGTGAATCATTTTCAGCAAGTCTTTGCAGAAAGTATACTTACAGCAGTTTAGTTTGGTGGGGAGGGAGGTGTCCCCTCCCTCTCTCCCTCCCTTCCTTCTGTGGGGAGGTATCTCCCTCCCTCCCAACAGGGTCTTGCGCTGTCGCACAGGTTAGAGTGTCGTGGTGCATGATCACAGCTCGCTGCATCCTTGAGCTTCTGGGCTCAAGCAATTTGCCCACCACAGCCTCCTGAGTAACTGGAACTGCAGGTGCGTGCCACCACACCCAGCTAATTTTTTTGCATTTTGGTAGAGTTGGGGTCTTCCCATGTTGCCCAGGCTGATCTTGAACTTGGGGGTCAAGTAATTGGTCCGCCTCAGCCTCTCAAAGTGCTAGTATTACAGGTGTGAGCCATCACACCTGGCTTCCCTCCCACCCCCCTCAAATAAAGACATTTCAGAGTCATTTATGGAACATACAGAATCCTCACCTTGTTGGAAACTTTTTACAAGGGATAAAAATTGGATTACACTGATGCCAAAGGCAGATAATTTGGAGTGGAATACTAAATTGAAAAGCTGTTGTGTCAGAATGATTACACTCATGCAGGTACTTTCATGTATGCAGTATACAATCCCAATTTTCAAAATACCTGTTTTTTAAAGCTACGATTTTAGGTAAGTCTGTAATTGGAGATCTTGCTAGTAGTGTGAGAATCTCACTTGATGCCACAATACTTGGGCTTGTGATAATGTAGTTTCTCTGAGGTTAAATAAGCAGGCATATTATGCCATGCTCTGGGGACTCAGTTTTTACTAGCTATAGACCTTTTCTGTTTTGATAGAGAAAGAGAAAAAGACAAAGAGCATTCCTGAAGGACTAGATTCAACTTCTTGTGAAGTTTGTTCTAGTTCCTTGTTCTAAGATTTTTTAAAATCATAGGCATTGTGGAGCAGATTGCAAAAGTAGCTTTTTTCATACCAGTATAGGTGGGACATGTTTTGATAGTTGGACTATTTGAGGTAGGAGGAAAGGTGGAGGGTTAAGGGGCATGTATGTAATCTGGTGAAGGAATTGGAAAAGAAACGCTTTGGAAGGATACCTTCCTGATTGCCAGGTTCAGAGGCTTGTCCTCAGGCCTTATTTGCTATAGCTTTTAAGATTATTTTTAATATTATTGACCATTCTTTCCTTGAAAAGCTTCTCTCCCTTTTAAAATGGTATCTCATTCTCTTCGTTTTCCCCTCTTTTACTGGCTTCTGTTCATCTCCTTTCTTTCTCACTGTTTAGTGGAAAGAGCAGAAACTTGGGTTAAACTCTGCTTGTGCTAGTCTCGTTTTTACTGTTGGGTGTTTGGTTTATTTAATAACTTCAAGAAGTCATGAGGATAGTGAGAAGTAATGTATGTAGAATGCTCAGCACAGTGCTTCCTCATAGGAAACATTCATTACCTGTTAATTTTCTTACTTCTTTCCCTCTTTTAACGGGGAGCAGTTCTATCTCTGGGTAGATCTTTATATTCATTGAGGTCTCTCTCTCTCTCATGTATCATATACATTGAGATCTCTCTCTCATATATATAATATCCCTAAAGAGCTCAGTTCTGAGGCCCAGAGAGAGACAGTTAAGTACATCATTATAATACAATGTTATGCAACATGCTGATGTAGCATCTGCTGTCTGCACTGCATTGTACAGAGGACATACACTCTTGTAGCCAGCATTAGCTGACCTACTGGCAGGAAATTATTATTTTGATGCAAGTTTGGGGAGTATACATAACATTGAAAAGATCGGTACTGTCTCAGAGATGTTAATCATCTAGTAGGGAGACATAGACAAGCAGGGTGGTAAATTATAATGTAGAACTTTAAGTGGTGGACGTATGTCAGGGTGGTTTGGGAACACTGAAAACCTGACCACAAACTTATTTGCCAGGAGAAGTTGGGAAAGAAGCGGCATTTGAGCTGGGTCTTAAAGCAGGTATGGGTTTTACAGAAGAAGTATGGAGAAAAAGGGCATTGCAGAAGCTAAGGAATAGATAAGCAAATAAAACAAGTAGTAAAAGGTATCTTCTGAAAAAGATAAGATAAAGTTTAGTGTGGCTTGAGTTCCTATGAATGAGAGACCTGGGACAGTGAGTGTGGAGAAAAAGCAAGCTGAGAGAAATGTCTGAAGAAACTTGTGAAGAGTCTATATATCATGCTAGGGAGTTAGGATTTCATTCTGTTAGCAGCAGGCTGCGGCAGAGTTTTAAGCAGAGGAAAGGGAATTCACCTTTTCTCTTTAGGCCCTTTGGTCTTTAGCATCATGTATGATAGCTAGAGGGAGGACTAGAAAAGACCAGATAGGATCTTATGGACATAGGAAGATATTTAGGTCCTGAACTAGCATGGAGGAAGACAATGAAAATGAAAGGTGGGGATAGGAGATTAGAGAGTCCTTTCTGAGGTTTCCTTGGCATGTGAAGAATGAGGGTGGGGGGAGAATTCACATACTAGAGTATTCCCAGCGGTGTGTTCTGAACGTAATCGTCTTAACTAACTGATGCTGAAGACATTAGATGATACACATTCTGATACATTTTTTTTTTAACATCATTTCACCACACTTGTTTGGAAAGTTCTTTGGAGAATTTTGCTTAGGTAAGAAAAGTACTCATGAGTGGGAGCTGTGCAGAATTTTTATGTAGAAGTAGTTATTAACACCACTCTGGTCCTTCAAAATGAAAAGAGTACAGAATGAAAGAATTGATTAAGATTTTCCGACAAATGTTTTCTTTAGTTAGAGTGGACTTTGATACTTGCATGATTAATTTCTTAGGCACTAAGATGTGCATGCTTGAGTGTGTTAGGATGTGATACGTGACTACTGACAGCCTCAAAGATTCTCTTCTTTATTCAAGTTTCTATTCTTATGCAAATGTTTTCTGGTTATTCTGATAAATATTTCATCCATATGTAAAAAAATATGACCAACATTTTAAGTTCAGAGATCACTATTTAAATTGACGTACGAATTGTCATCTACCTGTGCCAATCTGTGCCCTCCCAGCCCCCAGAAAAACAAAACCATATTTATGGAGTTGAAGGAATTATCAGACTCAGTGCTAGTGTCTCTAGTAATAGATACCAGTAATTTTAGAGTCGTCTTCACCTTTATTAATATCTGATTTTTCAGCCATTTGACCAAGTAAATAAAGATACCCTAAAACTTTTCTTCCCTTACTCAAAAGCCATTTCCTTCCGTTACTGGAAATAAAGACCATGATTACCAGAAATGTTTGAGGTATAGATGGTATTGTCACAGTTGTAATTGTATAGGGACCATCAAATTGTCTTTCCATCTGGCAGGAGAAGAGTGATCACACATCTCAATACAGAGATAACATAGTATCAGTATACTCAGTGTTCTTGGGATTCCTCTCCCTATGTCCTACCCTTTTATAGCCTGGCCTACCAGTCAGAACAATGAACACATTGCAGATGTCTTGGGCAGGCATCTTTTGATAAAACTGATGAGAGAAGTTCTCTTTGTTTTAGATTGCCCTCCCATATTTGCAAAAATTTCTACTCCCTTATATTGTATTCCTGTAGTTAACGTTAGACATTAGCCCAGTGATTCTCACCTGGGAGTGATTTTTTCCTTCCAGGGAACATTTGGCAATGTCTAGAAGCAAATTTGGGTGTCACAACTTGAGAGAGTGTGGTACTGCTGGCGTCTAGTGGGCTGCTAAACATTCGCCAATGCATAGCACGGCCCCCACAACAAAGAACTAAGGGGCCCAAAATAATCAATAATGCTCAGATTGTGAACACTGCAGTTAGTGAAGTGTTGAGAGTCTTCTGAAGTGATAATGGGCTTCAAGAAAGTTTTTAATAACCAGTAATGTAATTTTTAATAACCAGTAATAACATTTTAAAGTATTAAAACCAATAAAGTTTTAATAACCAGTAATTATAATAGATCTCTTGACCATGAATGAATTTGTCAGGGCTGTTATTTTGTATTACTTAAGTTTTTGTTTTGTTTTAAAGGTTAGATTTGAGGGAAACCTTAAAAGTTTACCTTAGTTTAGTTGGAATCTTAATTTGATAGGTGAGGAAACTCACACCTGAGGAGGGCAGCTAGTTTAGTATTTGTTAGACTGTGGCTTATCTAGTAGCTTCTTTCTTTGATGAATTACTAATTCTTTTGTGTTTTGGAAGTACCCATGTTTGTGACATGAACTGTAATTTCAGAATCGTTAAATGCATTTTAAATAGGATCTTTGACAGCTTTAAAGTAATTTGCAGAGCAGATTGGATTGCTTTAGTGTAATGTTTCTTGGAGAAAGACTTGATTTGTCAAATTTATTTGCATCTGAAAATAGCATTTGCTTAGAGATTCTTAGTTTCTGGGATTCATCTTAATCATTGACATGGTTTAGAAGGTACATTTGTGTATCTTTTTTGGTGGGTGGCGGGGAAGGAGCAGTCATGTCTAAGTCACTAAACCAACAGTATGTAGTTTTAGAAGGTTTGTAAAAGCATGATGTTTATTTCGGACTTGAATGAGTTACTAAGAACATAAACTGCAAACTTGCCTGCACCTCAAGAACAAATACTTTATTTAAGTGTCTTTATTAAATACTCAATACAAGTGTCTGAGCTAAAGGAACCTTAGAGATCACTTACTCTAATCCTTTTATCAACAAAGAACTTGAAGTTTGGAGAGATTATCTAACTCATCCAAAGTCACAGACTTAGGGTTCCAAGATAATATGAAAGTGAAAAGGGGAGGTCTAGATATCTCTACCACTAAAGGCCTGTGTCCCAGCTTGTGTGACAGGGCAGACCCCATGTAAGACAAAGGACCTCGCCAGAGGTCTGGGCTGTTGGAGTCTCTTGTGTTATTATCCCATCGGCCCCTTGGAAAATGAGCGTGTATCCACACACATCCAGAATACACAGCACTGTGCCTCTACATTTAGTAGGCACTGGGAGAAGTCTGTTGCATGAGTTTGAAAACGTAAGTCAAAATGCTAAAGGTGAAACTGAGATGGAGAGGAGATCGCATAAGCCAAAATGCCAGAGATAGAGTTGAGATGGGAGAGGAGATGGCACAAGAAATGTTACATCTCTGACGCAGAGAGTAGGGTTGGGTGTCCAGGTAGGCTTTGCTCCTTCCAAGGAGGCAGGTGAGGAGAGGTTTGCCTCTACCTCTCTTGTAGTTGCAGTACCAGCAGCTGCCGTGGTGCTCACACTGCCTCAAATGGGACAGTGATCCTACAGCACTACTAAACCAGATAATCAGCAAGCAAAAAAAGTCTTTTACCATAGAAGAAAGTTTATGTTGAAAATATGGAATGGAGGTATCAAAAAGAAATGTAACCATTTTCAAACAAAAGTCCATTTTCAAAACAATTTAGGAAATCTTTTTCTTTACGTGATAAATTGAACTAACACATTCTTTGTCAGTGGGCATGTTCTTTGGAGAAGGGCTGAGGGAGAGCTGAAGGGCTTATTTATTATGGGACATTTACTTAAAATATTTGAATAACCACGAATAAAATTTGTTATAGGCACCACAAGAGAGAGGAAATGGAAGGAAGCCAGCATTATAGTCTATGGCTTAAGTACTCGAAGCCCATTTTTAGAGAGTTGTTCTAGTTTTAAATAAGTTTAAGATTTTTCTTTATTCTCAAAATGTTTCCAGCAATTCGAGTCAATGCTCCTTTTCACCTTCTTTTTTTTGTTTTGTTTTTTTGAGGAAAAATTTAAGCCTGAGAAGTTACCTTCTCAAGACTGTCTCTTTCTTTGCCCGCGATGCAGTAGACTTGCACAGTCCAGTATTGGGCATGGTGCTGCGGTGGCCGTTTGCAAGCGTTTTGGTCAGAAGATCCCTTACATTTCCTAAGAGTATTAATGACCCCAAGGAGCTTTTGTTCATCTTAGTTATATATATAGATACTTCCCGTATCAGAAATTAGAACTAAGAAATGTTTAAAACATGGAAATATACAAGCTCTCAGACCAATGACGTCAGATGTCATTGCTTTGGAAAGCTGCATTGTAAACTCTTGAAGAAAGGAAAATGAAAAGGCAAGTAATGTTTTAAAATTATTGTGGAAATAGTTTTGTCTTGTAGATCCTCCTGGAAGGGTCTTGGGGACACCCAAGAGTCTCTGGATCAATACTTTGAGACCCACTGGGCTGAGATAACTGTCTGTTGCTGCCAGATTGGTTTATAAAATAGGTCTTTTGTTTCCAAAAATCAGAACCACTTTTAGTTCTTTTTATTTATTGAATATATGTTCCTGAGTTGCAGAAAAGTTACGGTGCTTTCACCTATTGGTGCTCAGGTAGTTAAAGTCTGTTTTCAGGGCATAAGAGACATTTTAATATCCAAAATGAAAATTTAAGGTGAAGGAGAACATTTCAGAATCTGCTGTTTATTAAGGTAAAGATACCTGTTAGTCGTGTGGAGCCAGTTATTTCTAACCAAGCAGTATCTGGTGAGAGTTTGTGTAACACCATGTGTGGATATTTTACAATTGAAGTTCAGTGGCCTTCCCTAAAGGCATCCTCTTTTAAAAGGGATTTCTGCAAAACCAAAATTCTCTCCGAAATACGCAGAAAAACTGGCAGCTATGTTAGTGAGGCTCCTTAGTGCTGCTGTTGCTGTTAGACAGCATAATTAACTTTAGGATGCTAACATATGCGAAGGATTTATGTCTCTAGAACCATTTCCCAGGGCTCAGACTTACCAGCTCCTTTCACTTGTAAATCTTTCCATTTGCCTTCCAGTATCTGAAGAAGGGTGGCAGACACATCTACGGCTGGAAAAGTAGTGCTTTGGAATGTATGTATTACTTGTACAGGGAATTGTCTTGTGGAATATCTCTCTACATGTCCTGTTGCAAGAGCTAAGTGAATGGTACCTAATTTTGTCCTCATTTCATCCTGACCTCAGCCCTGTGAAAATAGGTGTGGCCTCATTCTCATTTCAGGTAATTTACCTTAGCTCAGTAGCAGGTGTGGATAAAGTCCAAAGGCTGTCTTAACTCCAAAGTCTATACTCTTCCTTTATACTACTCCGTTTCCCTATTACCTGTGAAGATGACAGAAGGAAAGATCAGGGAGAAAGGGGATGACTTGAGTTTTGAAATTCTGATAGGATCAAATTTGAGGGAAGTTTTAGTTCTCTAATACAGAGCAGAGTGATTCTCTTGAGTCAAGGATGTGTGTGGGAAAGAGTAACCTAGAATGGGACTAAGACCCCCTTCAGGTCACCTAGTAGCTCCTTGTAGATGGGTCGAAGGATTTGAGAAATTGAAGAAAAGTGTTTACATGAAAGAGGAAAGTACTATTTAAGAAAAAAAAGAACTACAAAAAAACAATACTGTTTGGGAAGCAGAGGGAAATTAATAATGTCCTGCAATGTATGATCCTGGTAAAGTGACAGTTGAGTTTTTAATTATCCATATTATAATGATGGTTGGCTTCAGTCAAGTCATGAGGTCATATAGGTTCCTTGGTATATAAAAAATACAATGGAACAGACTGTATGGGTTAAGTGAACAGAAAACAAATTTTATTAATCATCAAAGCCAGAGACCAATACTGTTTACTGGACAGTGCTGTTGGGATAAAACAACTCAGGTGCTTTCACACTTTAACACTGCTTTCCTTAGAAGTAAATACATATGTTGCCCAACTTAAAAATGGATTGTATTCCACAAACATATTTGCAATTTGGTTATTTACAACTTGGAATACATTATCGTAGACAAGTCCAGACAAAGATTTAGCCTCAGTATGTCTTTAACAAGGTACTTTTGCAAAGAAAAAAAAAGTTGTGTTCAGTTTATAAAGCATTTTCACACATGTGGCCCACCTAGTTTCCTGCAGTTGGATTTTACTACCATTCCTATTTTGTTTTTAGAATGTTTTAGTCAGCAGGTGTTAAAGAATAACAGCCGAGTTGTATACTTCGGTAGGTTCCAACCTGGGATATATGCATTTTGGGACATCAGTAATATAAAAATTCAGTCATTATTGGATGGGGTAAAATCTGTCCTAGCCAATCCAGTGCACATGTGTATGTCTGTACAGTGTACATGTATATGACCTTCTGGATGTAGGGACAGGAAAACAGGTCATGTGAGAAGGCTCCTTTTAATTACAGTATCATAATGTGACCTGTCATAAAGAGTCCTGATAAAGAGTACATTCAGTGGAGTGACTTGCCCAGAGTTGCTAAATTCTTTGAAGTTGCTAATTCTTAGACTAATAGATTGCCAAGGCAAGGAAGGGTTAGGGGGAACATAAAAGCAGCATATGAAGAACTCAAGGGCTCGATGTAAGCTGATTTGATGAAGACATTTTGTAGGTTGTAAGGAACTGTCTTAATTGTAAAGTACCTTTTGTTTGAGATGGATGGGTTTATTGCCTTAGTTCCACAACCTGTGGGTATTTTAATCGAAAAGTGAAATGCCAGGTGGAATTAAAAGTGAGCACAATGGACACATGATTGATAGTTTATGAAAAGCTGGACACATAATCAAGGAAAAGATACAATTTATTAGAGACTCTTCTTGCTCTTTATTGCCTGAATCACAAGAAGATGGCTTTGTCATCTCGTTGCTCGTTGTGGTAGCTGAGATCCAGAGAAGTATATGAGAAATGAGCAGTAAGATCTCAGGTTGCACAAGAGGAAAAGGAAAACAAGAGTAGTACACGGGGGAAATGCCTCTTTAAAAAATAACTGTTTTGCCTGTGCTCCCTGAAAGTGGTATCGGTACACATACCAAAGCAATCCAGAAAAGGTGTCTTGTTTTCTGTTCTCATTTGTGCTCGTGTACATTTGAACTCTCTGAAGTTTTTCCTTTCCAGACACTAAGAATGCCCCAGATAAAGATCTGCTTCACTTTTTATAGAATGGACTCTTTTCTAAAATGTTAGCTGTTTAAATGCAAATAAATATTTTCCTGATGATGTCTATTATTGAAGTTTCATAGCACATTTTCACTTACATGCTACTAAAATGGCAACAATAAACCTGTAAAATAATATTTCAAGAAGACACCCTTGTCATAAGAAAATATAGTCGTGAAGAAGATACAAAAAGCTTGTTTGCTAAATTTATGAGGGAAACTGTGTTTACTATCTTGAATCTCTGGTCTTTTTTTTTTTTTTTTTTTGGAGATTGGTGGTGGCGGTGGTGATGATTGATTGGTTTTAATTTGAGACTTAGACACCAAAAGTTGTAGGCCATGGGCTCTGATCTAATATTTACCACTGTATTGTGAAGGTGTTTAACTGCTTATTTAACGTTAGTTGGGGAAACTTGAATGATCTCGGAGACTCAGACTGTCAGCTTCGTATTGAAGAAATGACTTGCCACAACATGTTGAAAGTTTTGCCCATTAAATGAGTGCTATTTACAGTGTGTTGTATGACACTTAGAAGACTTCATTAAGCAATGCGAATTTGTGGGAAGTCACTGTTTCTCACTCATCAGCAGTGTTAAATATCATAATATGGGTGTTCATTCCTTACAGAGAATGTTCTGAAGGCAGTGGAAAGCAAGGAAAACATTCTTGCCTGTTCCCTCTGCCCCCTTTTCTTTTCTTAAGGACAACCAAGTAGTCCCCTTCTTGCCGGAGTAAGGCACGGTGAGGCTAACAGGTGGCAGTGGTGTTCTCAGGGAGGAGTCCAGCTAAACTGTAACTTGGGGACCTGAGTTTTTCAACCCCTAGTACCCTCATCACCCTTTTCATCTCACATTGCCACCCCTGACACACATGCAAGGCTGTACTCTTCAAAGGCATACCTGTAGAGTGTTTAAGGATACCTGAAGATAAGAGGAGTCCATGAAGAGTCCAGATGGAGCTGAACCTTGGATGAATTTCTTAACTCTTTCTGCTCCTCAGTCTTCCTAATTTGTAAAATGGAGATGACAGTTCCTCCTTGAGGGGAGGTTGTGCTGACTCTGACTTCTTGATGTGCCTGTCCTGTGATAGCTTTGAAAAGGTTCTACCTGTCTCCCATGTTGGGTACATTTGTAAAGTTTAACCAACCTGGAGAGCCTGGCACAGCATCCCAGGAGTGGAATGTGGGAGTGTGCATAGCTCTCAATGGAAATTGGACTTTCTCATTCTTCCACTTGCCACGCAGCGAAGAGAGTATTAGCCCAGAAGTGGGGAGGGGACAGATTTCAAGAGCTGCCAGAACAGCTCTGATGGTGCAGTATCTTTATATGGGAGGGCTCAGCCTGGTCGCCCTTGTATTTTTCTTTTCCTTCGCCTTCCAAAAGGTGAATTTCCCTACCTCATCCCCTGCCCCCCAACTCTAGGAGTACTGTGGCATTTATTGGGAGAACTAGTTTGAAAAAGCAGTTATGCTAATTAAGATGATAAATGCTCACCTGTTGTTGAGGGGTTTGGGTGGGGAAGGGGGGCAAGTGATGGTTTAAGAGTTAGGTTGTCATTTAAGGACACATAGAAGACATTCAGAACACAGCAGCAGTTTTCAAACAACACAGGTAGTTTAGCAGATGCCCCATTTTTCTTGGTAATAACCAGATCCCAAATAGTCTTGCGGCCTTTTCATTTGTGAAGTTTTGGTTTGTTGACCAACAGAGGGAGAAACGCTTCACCGTACTAGTCAAACATTTTCTTAGGAGCAAGTGAGACATTCACCCAGTTGTGCTTATATGTTGCATTTTAGGAGGACTTATGGCTGAAATTTACCTTTTGTACATACAGACTTCATCCTGTAGATACCAGATTGTGTTGCATGCACTGAAGAATTCTGAGCGTGCATTTGCTGAACTGTTGAATGATAGCAGTGGCAGAACCATCCAGAGGGCACCTTACATGTTGTCTACAGTGTGCCAATAAATAGTCCTGGCAGACGGGCCGTGTTTTAGGGAATAAGTCATTTTGGATAAGCATGATCTCTGGGTAGTGGAGACCTGCTTCTTTTAGGCATACTATATTCATGCTATTAAGGGTAATTTGTGAGATGCGAGTAAATTTCCTTTTCTCTCTCTGTTCATCACTTGCTCTCTTTTCTCCTATACTGTCCAAACCAGGCACTGCTTTCGATCTCCGTGGTTCATTTAATCTCTTTTCTGATTTCTCATTTCCAAATTCTGCTCACGACCCCTACACTACCTCTGCCATATTGCCTGCCTCCCTGTGAAGGGAGAGGCCAACTGAGAGAACGTCCTCAGATTGTCATCTTTCTAGTAAAAATGTCACTTTATCTTTACCTAGCATCTCTCTTATGTCTCAGCAGAAAGTGTCCCCATTTCTTTCCCCAGGACTTCTGTTTGATTGTGTTCTTTCTCTCCCTTTGACCAGTGATTTAACCTCTCTGTCTTGCATGCCCTCTATCGTTCTCCCTTTTTGATTGTACAGCATCATCCAAGACCCTATTTCCTACAGAAATTCTTCTCAGTTTGCTTGGGTAATAAGCAGAGCAATCTCTTAATTCAGCACCACAGTTCTGAGGTAAGGAAGAGCTCCTGTGCTCTTCGTCTGACAACCTTCAGGCTCTTAATTCTTGCCGCCCTCATCCCACATAGCCTGCTCTCCTAAAAGTCACCAGCGACCTCGATTTCCAAAGCTTGGGCCCTTTTCTCAATTTGCATCCTACTTTGTCTTTCTCTGCAGTGTTCATTTATTCATCCAGTAGATAATTTTATTGAGTACCTAGCACTGCTTAATGCCACGATGACAAAGATGATTAAATGTGGTCTTTGCTGTGGAGTAGTACACAGTTGATTGACAGTTACAGTGTAATGTGTTAAGTGACAACTTTTATAGGTTGTCCTGGAGTAAGGTAGGCTCCTCCGTCTCAAGATTGGATGGGCCTGGTGATTAGGCTGAGATTTCTCTGGGGCCAAGCACGTGGCTTACCTTTGATTCTCTCTGTGTTTAGGATAGTCTTAAATTGGTGTTCAGCTGTCCTCTCTTGTTCTTGGATCAGATTTCTCTGGCGTAAAGTACCCATACTGGCTTAATTGAAACTCTTCATCAGGGTGTAGTTTCCCATAAAGTTTGAGTGGTTTATTCACATTATTAACTCTGGCTACATTATTTCATTTTAACACCTAAATATTGGTTAATGTATGGTAGTTTATTTTAGCACTAATTTAAACTGTTTGGTAATCCCTCTAGACATCTAATCTGTGGCCCCAGTGAGTGCATGTGCAATGTTTTGTAGCGGTCATTTTTTTTTAAGTATTAACACAATCATACTTCCTCTTTAAAAGGAGTAAAATGTGTTAGAATGGCTACTGCTGCTGTTAGAATCTGTGAAAAAGGGAAAGTCACCTTTCACCTAGGGGGTCCTGTGTGTTTCTTGGAAGAGAGGGGCCTAGAGTAAGTACATGCCCCTTCTCCAGGGTGCTTTCACATGTGTTTGAATCCATCCCTTGTCACTTGTGATCCAGGCTCAGGTAATACAAGGTTTCGTGGTATGCCATCCCATGACCAAAACTTGTATTGCTAGAGGCCACGACCAGTACTGAAACACTCAGAATATACCCAGTTCAATGCTCAGATTAACTTTGATACTGTCATGGCATAAGCATCTGTCCCTACCTCTCCTGCGTCACCTGTCAGCTGTATCATAGCCACTGCCCAAGAGGTGCTCCAGTAACCACACTTAGCTTAGGGAGCCAACATATCATGCACCTAGTGACTCTCATTTTGTTTCCTGGTAAAGAATAGCAACATTGGCCAGGTGCAGTGGCTCACACCATATTACCCCCAAGCACTTTGGGAGGCCGAGGCGGGTGGATCGGGAGTTCGAGACCAGCCTGGCCAACATGGTGAAACCCCGTCTTTACTAAAAATACAAAAATAGCCAGGTATGGTGGCAGGCGCCTGCAGTCCAACCAAGCTACTCAGGAGGCTGAATCAGGAGAATCGCTCAAACCTGGAAGGTGGAGGTTGTAGTGAGCCAAGATCGTGCCACTGCATTCCAGCCTGGGCAACAGAGTGAGACTGTCTCAAAACAAAAAAGAATAGCAGCATTAGGTAAGAATGCAGCAGCTTTGTTTTGGGTTTTGTTTTTAGATTTTTGTTTTCTAATCCTCCACCGCTGACTCTCCCATTGATGAGTCAGACTTGGTCTGTCCAGTTATTTTTCTCCAGTCCCTTTCTCCATCCTGGGGAATTGGAGAGGGAGCTGTCGGTTCTGAAGGGGACTATTACATTGTGGCAGCCAGTTGTTTTACTTTGTTAATGAACCATTCGTATATTTGTTTTCCATCTTAAACTTGGAGAGTTTATTATATTGTAAATGTCTATCTAGATGGGAATGTCTTGGAGAGTTAATATTATTTAGAAATAAAGCATAGGCATTCCTGTCTCCCTTTCTCATTTAGGGCTGTGAATGGTCATGCATTGTGAAAGTGTTTGGCATCTCTTAGAATTTGTGAACAATAGTGCTAAGAGCCAGTGTCAGTTGGAGATTGGCACAGACATAATGGTTTATGGCACAATGAATGTGTCACTTGTGTATGATTTTTTTACAGTGACTTTCAGTCTTCACTCCCTTGGGAGCTAGTATGAGCCATAGTTACCTTTGTTGCTCTCTATGTGTTGTCTGTGCCAATCACAGAGCTGCAGGGGAACAGAACAAGTTGGAATAATTAGATTGAGGAGTGAATGTCACACTTCTAATTTCATTCTCTTTTCAAGGGATTACCAGTGTCCATTTAATAAAATGAGATTAACCCTCTGCAGCAGGAGTACTTGAAAGCTGTCAGTCAGTATAATCTTGACGGCTTGAAAGAAGTAGTGTTCTCAGCACTCTTAGAAACACTGTCATGTTTTATTGGCTCAAAAACTATTTTACTGCACAGGGATGTGTATGTTAGTGTTATCACATGTGAATGTATCATTTCCTTTGAAAAAGGAAAAGTTTAGTATCCATACTAAATAATCCATACAAAATAATGCAGAAATAACATGAACCTTATAATTTAGTTTTGAGTTGGCAGATATCAGTAATAAAATACCCAAGGAATGTGAGACCAGATAAAAATGTTTAAAAACTTTATAAAGCAAATAGTGATATATATTTTTTGAACATTTCAGAAAACCTCGGATCAATTCTCAGCTGGTGGCACAACAAGTGGCACAACAGTATGCCACCCCACCACCCCCTAAAAAGGAGAAGAAGGAGAAAGTTGAAAAGCAGGACAAAGAGAAACCTGAGAAAGACAAGGAAATTAGTCCTAGTGTTACCAAGAAAAATACCAACAAGAAAACCAAGTAAGTTTCTGGTTAACTAAGTACAGGATATTACTTTGCAAGTGAATTCAAGATATCTTCTAAATGCCTGTTTTTTTTGTTTGTTTGTTTGTTTTGTATCTCCCTCATTTAGACCAAAGTCTGACATTCTGAAAGATCCTCCTAGTGAAGCAAACAGCATACAGTCTGCAAATGCTACAACAAAGACCAGCGAAACAAATCACACCTCAAGGTACTTGGAAACTAGAATGACATACTAAATCACTGCTCTGATTTACTTAATCGTAATCATGAATCCAGGGTGGTTTTGTGCCTTGGGTTTGTAGGCTAAGAAGGTGAAGAGCTAAGTATGGGTGGGGCTGGTGACTTTTTCTCTTTTTTAAATACTGTGGCCAGAACAGGAAACAGATAATAGTAATTTTACATTGGTCCCAAGCTTTGCTATCCGTGCTTGTTGGATTATTGCTAAAACTGAGTAGCACACTCTGTAGTCGGCTTTGGCATGTGTGGTAGGCAGTTCGGATTCATTGCCACAGTGTCATGAAGTCTTGTGCGTATTGATGATATTCTGCCAGAAGCTGTTTTTGATCCATAACTTACTTAATTGGCTCTTCCCCTGTGGTGTTGCTTCTAGGCCCCGGCTGAAAAACGTGGACAGGAGCACTGCACAGCAGTTGGCAGTAACTGTGGGCAACGTCACCGTCATTATCACAGACTTTAAGGAAAAGACTCGCTCCTCATCGACATCCTCATCCACAGTGACCTCCAGTGCAGGGTCAGAACAGCAGAACCAGAGCAGCTCGGGGTCAGAGAGCACAGACAAGGGCTCCTCCCGTTCCTCCACGCCAAAGGGCGACATGTCAGCAGTCAATGATGAATCTTTCTGAAATTGCACATGGAATTGTGAAAACTATGAATCAGGGTATGAAATTCAAAACCTCCACCTGCCCATGCTGCTTGCATCCCTGGAGAATCTTCTGTGGACATCGACCTCTTAGTGATGCTGCCAGGATAATTTCTGCTTGCCATGGGCATCTGGCCACCAAGGAATTTCGCACCCTGACGATTACTCTTGACACTTTTATGTATTCCATTGTTTTATATGATTTTCCTAACAATCATTTATAATTGGATGTGCTCCTGAATCTACTTTTTATAAAAAAAAAAAAAATCTGCTGTGCACAATTTTCCATGTACATTACAACTGGTTTTTTGTTTTTGTTTTGTTGCCGGTGGGGAGGGCTGGGAGGGGGAGGGAACTTTTATTTATTGTGTTCACAAACTCCATCCTTTCAGCATATCCTTTTAAGTTTAGTTCTTTCTTCCAGTTATACTATGTACTATCAGTTTTGATATAACTATATATATATAAATATAAAATTATATATAAAGGGTTATTTGAAACCAATCCATGGCAACGCTGGTGCTTGATACACTGTGAAGTGAATACAACATTGAACAGTTACAGATCTGGGACAGTCCCTTCTATGAAAGTGCTGAAATTTAATTAAAATCAGTCTTACATGAAGTATGTTCCAATCCATGTGGGAACTTGACTCTCTCATCTGTCTAAAGAGTACTGGACGATATAAAAATATATATTTTTTAAACAATGTGATCTCAAATTTAAAGACTGCTCCAGATAGCCTGCATTTGCAATGGAATAACTGACAAATCACAAGTGGTTTAGTTGGGCAGGGCTTTGATCATTCAAAAGTAACTAAAGTAGCTCCAGAATGCCAAGTATTCGTGTAAATTACGGTTACATGTTATCATTTGCTGTTCTTACATAAGCACTCATGAAAATATGGTATTCTGTAACTTGAATTCCATCCATTTTCCAGACGTCTACTCATGTCTGAGGTAAATCTAGAAATTGTCTTAGTTTTAGGATTGAAACAGTCTATAAACTGTATTTTTGGTCCATCCAGGAAGCTAGTCCCTTGTTTCTCCTTTCTACATGACATTGCAGTGGTGGTTTCTGTAATTAAAATTTGTTTGCCTCATGTCCCTTTGTCTGATAAACCTTCACTCTACCGATTCAGTTGTGAGCATTCTTTTTTTCCTTCTCAAAACCTACTATGATTTGTTTTACTGAACAAAGGTTATCAACCACACATCCAGTCCTGACATGGAGCTTTTCAGTGTTTGGAGACATTTCTCAATCCCCTGCTGTGGTAGGAACTCCAGTGGTGAACGGCTTGCGCGCCTGCAGCCAGAGTTGCAGGGAAAGCTCGTACTTACTGCGAGCAGCATGTAATCTTTTTTCTTCCTGGACATAAAGATAGCTTGAGTAAACTGTTCTATTTCATTCTCTTCACTCTTTTTACTGTCTTGCAAAAAAAAAAATAATAATAATAATAATCAAAGACCACTAATAAGATTCCACCTCTCCTTATTAAAATAATTTTTTAAAATTTTGTTTTGCTTTTGTTTGGATGTGGGGTCTCTCTTCTATTTGACTTTTACATTTAGATACAGAGTTTGTAGTACTTCAGAGACATTTCAAGCATGAGAATTTGAGGTTACCTCTCTTTATTTGACCTTTAGGGACTCACGGGAGGGCAGCCTGATTTGTAATGAAGCACCACATTTTGGTGTTAAAAACCTGGTTTGCTTAATAATAGCAGTAATTTCTGTCTGTGGAGGCAACAAATAAAAAAATTAACAGCTTGAATTGAGTAGCCAACAGGAAAGGTTCCTTTCACATTTACATTAAAACTATTCTGTAGTCACTAATGTACCATAATTTAAATTCTTTTCTCAAAGGTATAGATTATAAAGCAGTGCCATTTGTTGCTGTGGTCCTATTCTCAAATGCATGGACAATGTTCCCCCCTTTTTAAAATAATGCTTGTGTCTGGGATGCAAGCTTTGCTTATCTTTTTAAATACATTTTTAAAGTATTTATTAATGAACCAAAGGAAATCAGATGCTTTCTATAAGCATCAGAATATATAATACATAGTGATTTGACTATGAATTTTAAATCCACATTTTAATATTGGTGGGATATTGCAAAGACATTCCTTCTAAAGTTTTAATATTCCTTTTATTAAGGGTCTCAGGGAGGGTAAATTAGTCAGCCATATTTATTTTCCAGAGGTTTAAGAAATTGCTGTTTTTAACTTTTTGAAAAAACTTAAATGCCACCAAACTCATGTAGGTTGCACTGCTTATTGAACCAATAACTGTTGGTATGCACTTTGTTCAGACACACTGTGTACTTTTTCAAAAACTAGTTTCATGTAAAGTGATTGGACCCCATAGATTAGTGGAAAAAGCTGATTAACCAGCTACTCATAGGCTGCTAATTCATTCATGCCAATGTTTTGGTTTTTCAGTTTTGCCTCCGTGATAAATTAAAGAATGGGGAGGGGTGAAGGAAGGGGAAGAAGATTGCTTTAGAACAAGTGGCATGAAATTACCATCTTTGTAGAAACCGCAGCTAACAGTGGGAGTTATCTAAGCAATCAGATGTTACAGGGCCAGCCCTTTAGCTGCTGTGGTGTATTCTGTTGGGTAGTGAGGTAGTAGGTACTTTATAGACTTTTAATTTTGGAAATTGATGACATCCCTCAGGCATGTATTCTGGAAATGGAATTCCTGTAACTTCCTGTGTCTGCAGTATGCCCTACAATTAGTAGGCAGCGTGTAAAAACACTAGTGTAGATTATAAAGATATACATTAAAAGAGGACCAGAAATACTTGGTATTCAGTGGCACAGAAAGCAGGTTAAACAAACAAAAAGCACAGTGTTACGCTTGCAAGTTTCCATTTGTTTTAATACCACGCAATCTTTCACACTCGTGCGTGTGCGCGCACACAGAGCTTACCTGACTTGCTCTGCTTGAGTCATGCAGTTACAAAAAAAAAGACATCTTGACACCCACACAATATTCTAATCAAAACCTTTCAGTTTCAATCTGGATATTTAAAAACATTGGCAGAAGCTTCTGTGAGTTTAGTTCCACTAAGATGTTTCACCTGCCTTATCAAGACCATTCTCAGTCTACTTTTTTAAGCTACCGTATCTTAAATTATTGAAAATTTATTAATTGCTGAATATATAATAACCTTTGCTTGTATGTAACCGAAAATGGTTTAAGAGCCAACATTTAGAGTATGACAATGGAGCTGAACAGTTTTTAATGCGCAAGCAGTTCTGTTCTTGTGTATGACTTGTAACCTTAATTTACTGTGTAAAGATGGTTACATTATTTCCTTAGCTTTGTTTGTTGGAGACAAATAGAGAATGCTTGTTAAGTATGTCAAAACAATCTTATCTTGTGAATTTTTGTTAATGTATTATACGAGCTATATTTTTCATTTGCCCAGAAAGACAGCTTGTATAACGCTTTTGGAAGTTTCTGCTCTGTAATGTCTTTAGAGCTGACAGTCTGTTAGGTTTGTTTTTTTCTTCATGCTAAAGTGTCAGTTGGTGGTTTTGTGAACTGGTCAAAAATTCACAGGTCTTAAATGTTTTGGGGGAAATTTATATTGGACACTGCTCTTTGTCTAGCAAATAAAAGATGTTAATATATTCCTGTTACTGGCATGTGCACGACTATGTTATTAGAAGCCACTTTATCATTTTCCTGCTTTAAATAGAAATGTCTATTTATGAATTCTGCTTGTAGTTTTTTCACAAATAAAATAGTAAAATTTACATTGGAAATCTTTATTTTTGTGTGTATAGATTTTAGCCTTTAGAATAATAGTTAATTTTTAATCTGTGGAATATTTCCAATGTGAATAGGAAGCTCACTTTGTATTTTAGAACTTGTTTATCAGAAGCTGAAATAGCTGGGTATCTTAAGTACATACCTCAAAGATGCAAAAGGAGACATAATGGGGCAAAAGAATCACCAAAATTTGAAAGAAAATGAACTGTCTCCTAAGTGTAACCTTTGAGATAGATTGCAATGATGTAAAGGAAGGAAATGGGATTTAAGGAAAGAAAATGGAGATGATGCTAAAATATGCTAATTGAGGACTGAAAATCCTCAAAAGACAACCCCTGTTTCTGGCCAACTGGATTTAGGTCAACTATGTCTCAGAGATGTGAATAAAGTGTGTTACTAACCTAAAAGCCACACAAGCTCACTTATTGCCCCATGCGAGGGAGACTCCTGCCTGCTGCTGCAGGTGCTGAGGCATACCAGTCTATAACCTTCCAAAGAATTAAGAAACCACTTAAAACATGTCAAGATCCATCCCCGATTATTTTGTCCTGGGTCTGCACCTGAACTAGCACTGGAAGGAAGAGAGTGTAAATAGCGCAGGATGTTGAGTTGAAAATGGGTCTGTTCTGATAAAACAGCAAGTTCCATTCTTCGTCCTCATTTTTTAGTACTGAACGTGACCCAAGTTTGGCCCCTCAGAAGTCTTGGAAAGGATCTGGAAGGGTTGAAGGACAGGGATTGGATGGGGTCTCTCATGTTTCCCACAGGCCATTTTGGATACAGACGTGCGATCTGCTAACCCCATGCCCCTCTGCTTGCTTTTGTGCCTGAGGAGTTCACTGTGAGGGCCCCCACTGCTGGTGGCACTGGTACCATCCTTTGGAGGAGGATGGGAATTGTCTCCCATACCAGGTGTGGACCAAAGCAAGCACTTGGTCTTTACAGGGGAGGCACAAGGAAGAGTCGTTTCTTTCCAGTTGTGTGGACGGAAAGGGAGGCAAAAAGGTTTTCTCTAATCCTCAGCCAAACTCTAGTGTTAACACCAAGTGTCCAGATCCCCATTGAGAAATCCCATGGCTAGAGTGTGACAGGATCATGGAAGCAGCTCTTGCTCAATTATTCTTGATCAAGGGTGGAATGACGACTTCAGCCAGCAAGGGCCCAGGCTTGTGCTCTCTGATTTCATAGCCCTACGGCGTGGAAATGGAAACCAGCCAGACTCCACCTTGGGCAGTGAAGAGAACATAAGGGACGTCCAGGAGGCCCTTGGTCTAGCACGCCCCTGACCTCCCAGCGGTTCTGGAAGGCCACTCCTAACCCTTCAAACCATAGCAAGGAAGGTTAGAGCTATCTTTGTGTTAGGATCAAAACTCGAGAAGGTTCTGTTTGCTAACCACTGAAGGAAGCCCACGGCCTGTCTTTAGGGCTTCTGTCAGGAGAGGACAATGGACATAGACAACTAGATACTGCAGGAGGGCTCTGGTTTTCTCAGACAGGATCCTAGGATGTGTCTGGAAGCCTGCGGAGTGAAGGTAGACATGCAGGTGTGATGTTCTGCCTGATAGTGCCTCTCTCCAGGCATTAACTACAAGGCTGGGTGGGGGCTTACGGTAAGGCATCGAGTCCCTAAGCATTTATACAGTCCCAATTGTGCATCAGTGCAGTGCTGGTTATAACAGGGAAGAATTTGTGGAGGGGAGGGCACAGGCTGAAATTGGCCCATTCCTACACATGCTCTTGACCTAGACCTAGAGTAAGTGACATTGACCCCAACCGTCCCCCTACCCACCTCCAGCTTGTGCCAGACATCACTAATCAGTCACAGCGCTTCTTTCCAGCTGAATCCAGACTCAGAATCCTCATTAGAGCTCATTGTTAGCACGTCTTCCTGAAGTGCAACCCATTTGCCATTCCTTCCCTGGACGAAACCCACCCCAAATAACTGGGAAACCCTTCAAGGCAGTTTTTAATCAACACTTCAATTGTGGAACTGCATGAATCCAAGAAGGCCAGCTGAGAAGCTCGGAGGAGTCAGGAAGGAAGAAAACTAAATATCCAACACCCAACTCTTCAAAGAGTTCAACTTCCTGTTCAAAACAGGGTCAGACCAGGGGATTCTTAGTGAGGCCAGTGATGAGCACTGTAACTTTAAATGCAGCCCTGAACCCCAGACCTGAAGGCCTGCCAGTGTCTTACCCTACAGGCCAGACCGGGACCTACTTGCCCAAGCTGTCCTACTGGTTCTGTCAACCGGGGGCTCTCAAATAACAGAGTAGAACACCACATGGATATGATTCCTGGAAACCACAGAACTAGGTGAGACTCCTACCTCTGACTGCCTGGGTGTCCTTGGGCAAGTCAGCTGACCGGGCCATTTCCCTCAGTTGTCAAGTAGGGATTAGAGGTGTATGTGCTCCTACTGTGTTCTCTGCTCCAAGGAATCATGGCGCAGTGCTCCCAGAGGTGGGTTGTGTGTTACCATGTTTTTAACAACGGGAAGCAAAAACTTTATTTGAACTTTCATTCTGATGCTTCACTGATGACACCGGAAATGAAGATAATTTGTTTTGTGATTGTTTTATTGTGTTTTCAAGTTTTAATTCATGAATTTTCCTGTACTAAAACAAAGAGCAAAGTTGGTTAAAGCCTGCATGTAAATAAAGTCCAGTGGGATTTTTGACACCTGCTTGACGTTTCTATGTCTACAAACAGTGTTGTAATGAATACGGCCTTTCATCATTAAACATTCGATTTTTTAAAAATGACGTTTACTGTCCTGTTATTATTGAAAAGGTAAAAGTTGAAACTTGATGGAAGAAGTAGAGATGTGCACGGCATCTGCTGTGATCACACTGTAGAAGCTTACTAAGCATTAGTTGCTGGATTGTGCGTAAATAACACGTATAACGTACACACATGTATATCTTCTTAATTGAGAATGGGATTCTTTTCATGTGGTGCATAAATGCCACAGGCTTCTTGCACAGAGAAGTTTGAGGTACAAACCCCTAGATCTGCCACAAACACACTCATGGTGTGAATTCTAGATGAGAATCATTTTTTCAGCCTGAGTAATTCGGCCATCACAGCAGCCCCAGAATGAGGAGCACTCGGTGTCTGGGAGCCAGGCAGATTTATAAATTGTATTCATTGCCTCTTCACATTAAAAGGAATTTGTACCCGTTTGGAGAAGTCTCCAATAGAGTTATCTTATTGGTTGGAATTATAGCAATCTAGAAAATGTGTGAATCCAAGGCATTCCCAAGAGGCAGAAACCTCTAATAAATTGTACTGTGAAGTTCCAAGCAACTCCTGCTTGTAGAAATCACCCTGACAATGCACACGAAGGCAGCAAACAAATAGGGGAATAAGAGGGAGAATTGCAAGTGGCTTCCATTCATCTTAGAACAATCAGCGGCCTCCGGCGCTGTTAATGCCATTAATCGTGTCGTGGTGTCGCGTGTGGCCTGTGCTGGCCGGCAAGATGGGGACCACTTTGGTGGGCTGCTGAGCAGAGGCAGGAATGCCAACACCCCAGCTGGGCTCGCCCCTCTTCTGCAGAGATTGATAAATCCCGAGTGGGAGCTTAGGCCTAGATGAGACTGAGTGAACTGGAAATGGGGACACATGTGAGTAGAAGTGGTGGGACCAACAGTTCACTCTACAACCTTTGTTTATGTTCCCAGCCCTCTGACCGTTATTCATTAGTGGTTTGTTTTTTGGTTTTTTTGTTTTTCTTGTTTTCTGAGACGGAGTTTTGCTCTTGTTGCCCAGGCTGGAGTGCAATGGGGCAATCTTGGCTCACGGCAACCTCCACCTCCTGGGTACAAGGGATTCTCCTGCCTCAGCCCTCCAAATAGGTGGGATTAAAGGTATGTGCCACCACGCCCAGCTAATTTTTTGGATTTAGCAGAGACAGGGTTTCACCATGTTGGGCAGGCTGGTCTCGAACTCCTGACCTCAAGTGATCCTCCCGCCTCAGCCTCCCAAAGTGCTGGGATTACAGGCGTGAGCCACCATGCCTGGCCAGTTATTCATTAGTTCTATGCAACATGGATTGGTATCATCACAGCAAAACTTATCGAAGTAGAAAGAATGGCACATTTTATTGGTACTGTTTTATGCCTTATGTAGACACGTTTCATCTTCACAGTGACTCTATTGAATATAGCAGGCGTTGGCAACTACAGCCCATGGGCCTAATCCATCCCAATGCCTGTCTTTGTACAGCCCTCTAGCTAAGAATTACTTTTACATTGTTTTAATGGTTGAAAAAAATATTTAAAGAATAATAATTTAGGCCGGGCGCAGTGGCTCACACCTGTAATCTCAACACTTTGGGAGGCCAAGGCAGGCGGATCTCTTGAGGTCGAGAGTTCAAGACCAGCCTGGCCAACGTGGTGAAACCCCATCTCTACTAAAAATACAAAAAATTAGCTGGGTGTGGTGGCGTGCACCTGTAATCCCAACTACTCAGGAGGCTGAGGTAGGCGAATCACTTGAACTCAGGAGGCAGACATTGCAGTGAGCCGAGATCATGCCATGGCACTCCAGCCTGGCAACAGAGCGAGATTCCATCTCAAAAAATATATAAATAAATAAATAATCTTAATGATTATTAAATGATTTTTGAAGAATAATTGTGATGTGAAAATTATATGAAATTCAAATTTTAGTGTTTGTCAATAAAGTTTTATTGGAACACAGCACACTTATTCATTTATCTATTGTCTATGGCTGGCTGTTTTCCCCACTACGATAGCAGAATGGAGTCATTGCAACAGAGACCGTGTGGCCCAGGGCCTAAAATGTTTAAACTCTGGCCCTTTCTACAAAAAGTGTGCTAACCCCTGCAATATACTCCCATCTTAGTCACGTTCTATGAGGTAAGCACTGTTACAGCCCTCCATGTCTGGAGACTTAGTAAAAACTCAATAAATCGTTGTGGATTGCAGGAATCCTAACTCCCTGCTTTACAAATGAGGACACTTGGGCACAGGAAGGTTACCCAGCTAGTAAGTGGGGGAGTCAAGGTTTGAATCAAGGCTGTCTAATGTAGAGCTCTGGCTTTTAGTTTTCAAGAGAACGAATGCACAGCTTGCCCCAAAGCGTGTTCCTTGAAACATCAAGTAGGCCAGATGCCTAGCTTTGGCCAAATGTGTTTGGCAATAACTGTTTAACATAGACGCCTTCTTGAAGTTTCACAGTGATCATTAGCGTAACAAAGGCTCTCAGAAGTGCTACAGGAAAGAGACCCATTTAACTTTCTTTACTATGGTGTTTTAAAAACTTAAAAAAATTTGACCTACCTTCCACCAACTTATATAGCTTGGGTGAAAGCTTAAGTGAACAGAGCAAGGGAGTTGCAGGTAAGACATACTAGGTACAAATTGCGTCTGTGACCTTGAGCGCATCATTAAACCTCTCTGAACCTCCGTTTTTTTTTCTCTGTAGAATGCTAAGACAGTTGTAAGGATTTAGTGAGCTGATGAGGTCCTGGCTCCTGGTAGATGCCCAGAAAATGACAGTTCCCTGCTCCACCTGGGTACTAACTCAGATGTCCTGCAACCTGCTATTTCCCACCATAGGGACCACATTGGGAACCAATGTAGCTTTGCAAAGTGACAGCTCATTTCATGTTCAGGAGCCTAGTGGTTACAGATAGGACCATTCAGAGCCATCAAATGCAATCCCAACTGCAGAAGAGGGAAGGTTCTGGCATCCTAACCGCAGACCAGAAAATGCTCCCGGAGCATCTGCATGCCAACAGCATGGCCTGGCCCAGCACCGTGGCAGGGAGCCACACTCCCTGCCTTGTGGGTTTCTCGTCCATCATTTTCTGGGAGAGATCTAACAGTGTACTCCGGCTGTCAGTAGCGCTCTAGAATCTGCTCTCATCTTAGTCACACTCCTGCTTAAGTGAGTCGTTCTTGATTCCCTGGACACCAGAAGCCTTTCTTCCTGACAGCAGGTGAGAGGCTGGCAGCCTCTTGACATGACCATTCACTTCAGTGCTTTCGAAAATCCCCGGCTGCCCCGCGACCCAGACATCTGAAGATTTTGCTTAATAGACTCTGCTGCCAGAAGGTGTGTTGGGACTTGGCGAGCCCAGCCTTGGACTTGCTCTGCCTGAGCCAGGGTAATTCCTTCATCAGTGCCTACCCTTGCCTTCCTGGAAAAGGCTGGCCCTCCCCAGGGGGAAGAGAGGGAAGGTGGCACACCACCTGGCACACAGCAGAAGGTCAGTAGATGATCTCACTGCCCAAATTATGGAGTTAGGTGAAATGCAAATTCAACATGTATTCTAAGAACAAAAGGGAAGAACTCAGAAATTTCCTTTTCTTAGTATACTCTTCTGCCCTGATGGTACTTTGGCTGGAAAGTTTGAAAAAGCCTGCTACCTTCCTACCTCGCACTCCACAGAGTGCCTAGTTTGGGGAGGGTCGGAATGAGGGGGAGGTATATATTGACAAAGTATGAGTTCCCAGGCCCTCCCATGGGCAGGGTTTTTTGTTTGTTTGTTTGTTTCAGATTCCATGTACATTTGCTAGTTTCTGGCAGTTGGCAGATCGAGCCAGCGGCTGTCTTTCACACATACTCCTGAAGGCCTCTAAAAAGCGTGAGAATCAATCACCTCAGCACCCCAAGAAGCCAATGGAGGACCAGCATTGACTGTGCTGCCATTTTTGTTTTGTTTTGTTTTTGAGACAGAGTTTCGCTCTCGTTGCCTAGGCTGGAGTGCGATGGCACGATCTTGGCTTACTGCAACCTCTACCTCCCAGCTTCAAATGATTCTCCTGCCTCAGCCTCCCAAGTAGCTGGGATTACAGGTGTGAGCCGTCATGCCCCACTAATTTTTTGTATTTTTAGTAGAGACGGGGTTTCATCATGTTGGCCAGGCTGGTCTCAAACTCCTGACCTCAGGTAATCTACCCACCTTGGCCTCCCAAAGTGCTGCGATTATAGGCATGAGCCACTGCGTCTAGCCTCTGCTGCTGTTTTGATCAAAGGACATAGTTGCAAGATAGTGACCTAGTCAATACCCTCACCCCTTTCTCCAGCTCCTCCCTGTCCTACCTCACTGTCCTCTTGGGGAACAGGTGCTCCCATTCCAGGGCCAGCCATCCTGCTGGGAGTTTGCATCTCAAGCAGCAGCAGGCCCTTCGGGAGGAGGGGAGCCAAGATGGCAGTCAGCCTTCCACTGTCACTTTGAAAGGCGTAACATTTTATTACCTGAGTTTTGTGTGCCTCCGCTTAGCTGCTCTCTTAGTGCACAGCCAGGCTGAACACCAGATTTGTCTGACAAGAAGAGCTTGTATTTGAATATAAAAGCAATGACATCTCTCAATAACTACATGGTAGAGAATTTAAATTGCTTCTCAATCTCCTTCCTTCCCCTTCTCTTTCTTTTTTTTTTTTTTTTTTTTTTTTTTTTTTTTTTTTTTTTTTTTTGAGACGAAGTCTTGCTCTTGTTGCCCAGGCTGGAGTGCAATGACATGATCTTGGCTAACTGCAACCTCTGCCTCCCAGGTTCAAGCAATTCTCCTGCCTCAGCCTCCTGAGTAGCTGGGATTACAGGTGCCTGCCACCACGGCCGGCTAATTTTTGTATTTTCAGTAGAGATGGGGTTTCACCATGTTGGCCAGGCCGGTCTCAAACTCCTCACCTCAGGTGATCCCCATGCCTCGGCCTCCCAAAGTGCTGGGATTACAGGCATGAGCCATCACACCTGGTCTTTTCTTCCCTTCCTTTTTCATAATGGAATCCCAGTGATTAGCCGGGCTGATTGCCTTCTAGGATGAAGACAACATTTCCCAGCCTCCCTTACAAAGCTAAGCATGGCCATGTGACCATTTTCTAGCCAATGTGAAGCAAGCTGAAGTGCCATGTGTCTCTTCTGGGAAGTGTTCTCGAAAGATGGGGGTGGAAGTGGAGAGACAAGCATCCTCTAGCTTTCCAGCTTGGAACTTGAATGTGATGCCTGGAACTCTACCAGTGATCTTAGACCATAAGGGAAACATTAAGGATGGAAGTCACATGTTAAGTATAGCAAGAGCTGAACGACAGAAGCCCGGGTCCCAGGTGAACCCATGGAGTTGCTGTTCCAGGTTGGCCCTGGCTAGCATTTGACCTCTCATAGATGTCATAAATAAAGTTCTCTTTTATTTAAGGCACTATTACTTTTGAGTTTTCTTTCTGTTATATGCAGATGAAGTTAATATTAACTGATTTTAAAAATTTCTAGTAAAACTGCTGCTCCCCTCCCCCCAGAAAAAAATAGGCCACACTTCTCCTGAAGCCTCCTGTAGCCCTGGGTTTGAGTAGCTTGGAACTACGGACAATGCAAGGGTTTAAGGTCAGTGGATTTGGGGTCCAAATCCACCTATCACTTAATAACTAGATGACCTCGAGGATTTTTCCTATACAACGAGGTCATATTAATACCTTTTTTCGTAGAGCTGCTGTGTTTAATCCAATATATATTTCTTGACTGCCTGCTTTGTACCAATTACCATATTGATCCAGAGCTGAATAATACAGTCCCTGTCTTCTAGCAGAAATTGTCTTAAGTGCTATGTTAGGTTTCAGCTAGCCGACTTAGTCTCTGCTGCTGGGAGGTTTTAAAGATGAGAGTGAAGTTAGATCTTAAAGGAAGGATTCATGAATGGCTTCAGAAGGTCTGTGACATGAGTTCCTTGAAAATTTTCACAAAAATTGTGTGTGTGTATGTGTGTGTGTGTGATAGCAAATGTGCATTTTTATTGGAGGCAGTGTTTGTAATTTTTTTTTTTAAACAGAGTCTCTCTCCGTTGCCTAGGCTGGAGTGCAATGGGTGACCGCAGTCTGCCTCCTGGGTTCAAGCGATTCTCCTGCCTCAGCCTCCCAAGTAGCCGGGATTACAGGTGCCTGCCACCATGCCTTGCCAATTTTTGTGTTTTTAGTAGAGACAGGGTTTCACCATGTTGGCCAAGCTGGTCTCGAACTCCTGACTTCAAGTGATCTGCCTGCCTCTGCATCCCAGTGCTGGGATTACAGACGTGAGCCACTGTGCCTGGCCAGGTTTGTAATTTTTATTAGAGTCTAGAATGCTTCCATGGTCTTAAGTGGAAGTGCTACTGCGAGCTAAAAAGGATCCAGATAATCTTGGTATGGCTCTCACTTCTCTTCTGCTAAATGGCTTCCTCCTTGAAAAAAAATCTGTATAATGCAGAGAATGTGATGGCCACATAAGTTAATGGGGCACTGTTGGGCTGCTTCGAATGGAAGATATGCCCACCAGAATCAATCAGCTGAGGCTGTGTTTTGCTACTGTAACAAATGACCTCAAATCTCCAAGGCTAACAACAAAGGCTTGTTTCTCACCCATGCCAGTGTCCCTGTGCATTACTCTGGAACCCAAGCTGATGGAGCAACCTCTCTCTGGGATATTATTGTCAACCTTGGGGCAGAAGGGATAGCAAACCGTGCACTGGCTCTTCAACCTCTGTTTAGAGGTGACACGCATCACTTTTGCTCACATTTTACTAGGCTAAGAAGTACATGATCACTCCTGACCACAGAAGACTGGGATCCCATGAGAAGGGTGCCAGAGGAAGAGAAAACACACATTCTGAGCATTAATCGATCTACCACACCATGTTATTGGGATACAAGAATGCAAACAGAAATTAATCAAAAACGAGCAGGAATTAAACCTAACCCAGCTTCCTCAATTTCACTGTACTCAACACTCTGCAGTCAAGGAGACACGCTGAACAAAAAAATCTGGTTTTCCATTCTTGCCACATTGTTAAAATTGGAAGAAAATCAAAACCAGGTAGAGGCACTTGGACTCCGGGAGTCTTTGTGATGGGCAAAAGACAAGACTAGTAAAATGGGTGTGTTTAACAAATGTCTACCATTAGCCAAACTCGGGGCCTGCCTCTTTATGCCCCCAGTACTGGCCTTTATATCAGGATGCTTTTAACACATAGTTCATGCTCCCTGGATGTACCTTGCTTAACATGCTCACAGCCTGAAGAATTTCCTAGATCCACACAGCATGCTAAGTGTAATGGATTGGATCGTGTCCTCGCCACCCCAGCTACCACCACCAAATTCATATGTTGATGTTGAAGCCCTAAACCTGTATTTGGACACAGAGCCTTTAAAGAAGTGATCAAGGTTAAATGAAGTTACAAGGGCAGGGCCCTAACCTAATAGGACTGGTGTCCTTGTAAGAAGAGGAAGAGATACAGAGGAATGGCCATGTGAGGACACAGCATGAAGACAATGATCTGAAAGCCAGGGAGAGAGGCCTCAGGAGGGACCCGCCCTGCTGGCACCATGATCTTAGATGGTCAGCCTCCAGAACAGTGAGAAATAAATATCTGTTGTTTAAGCCACCTAGTCTTTGGTATTTTGTTATGACAGCCCAAGCATCGCAATACATTAAGAAAAACTGGCCGGGTGTGGTGGCTCACACCTGTAATCTCAGCACTTTGGGAGGCTGAGGCAGGAACATTGCTTGAGCCCAGCCTGAGCAACATAGTGGGACCCCCATCTCTGCAAAAAAAATTAAAAAATTAGTCACACATGGTGGAGTGCACATGTCGTCCCAGCTACTCAGGAGGCTGAGGTGGGAGGATCATTTGAGCTCAGCGGGTAGAGGCTGCAGTGAGCTGAGACTGAGCCACTGCACTCCAGCCTGGGTAACAGCGAGACCCTGTCTCAAAATAAAAGAAAGAAAGAAAAAGGAAAACAGCAGCCCCAATCCCCAGCCCTACCCTCTTCCCTTCTCCCCTTCTTCAGAGGAACATTTTCTGTTCTGCATCATGATTTCTTTGGTACTCGTTTCCACATCTCTTAAGAATCATGCCTAGAGCTCCTTGCTGTGTTTTCCATCTTAAGTGTTATCTCTTGACTTTCCACTATGGAAGATAAGATTTTAGCCCTTATTCCTTCTGCCCATCCTCATCCTATGTAAGCAGACTTTTCTCTCACCCCCTGCCCAACTCTCAATATTATTATACTGTATTTGGCTCAATCAATATTCATTATTTCTATTGTTTTGACTTTATTAGTGCACATCATCACAGTGGTGTTTTATGGTAAAACCACGATTGTTTTTCCTTTCCTACACAATTTTTGTTTTCCTAGAGTTTATGATTATTTTTTTGTTTGCTTCTTTATCATCAGTTCTACCACAAACACAGGCAGGGTGAGTTGGAGTCCTGGTTGGACGCAGCATTTCACACAGAGGTTTTAATCCAAGGGTTTGTAAATGAAGGGGCTGTTGAGAGAGGTGTGGACGAGGATGGAGAGGCACCCCAGGACTTCAGCAACAGTAGGAAGCTGTTGACAGTGCCAGGCCTGAAGGGCAAGGGAAGGAAATAGTGTTCCTGGAGCCTAGGAGATTGAGCTGTAGAGGAGATGCCCGTAGGAGCTGTGTTTGGGGAGGGATGACATAGCCACTGCTGAAATGGCGGTTTATTAGTTTGTTCCCATATTGTTGTAAGGACCTACCTGAGACCGGGTAATGTATAAGGAAAAGAGTTTTAATTGGCTCTCAGTTCTGCATGCTGTACAGGAAGCATGGCGGGGGAGACCTCAGGAAACTTACAATCACGGCAGAAGGTGAAGAGGAAGGAGGCACATCCTACCATGGCGGAGCGGGAGGAAGAGAATGAAGGAGGAGGTGCTACACACCTTTAAACAACCAGTTCTCATAAGAACTCACTCACTATCACAAGAACAGCAAGGGGGATGTCCACCCCGATGATCCAGTCACCTCCCATCAGGCCCCTCCTCCAATGTTGGAGATTACAATTTGACATGAGATTTGGGTGGGGACACAAATCCAAACCTTACCAGGTGGCATCAAAGCAGTCAGGGAGAGGCATGGAATACACTTGGCCTCTCTCTTTTCTTCCGCTCCCATGTCTTCTCAGTGCCTCCCATTAGCCAAATTCAGTCAGAACCCAGGTAAGGGAGCCAGGAGTTTCAATCCACAGAGACCGCTGACCAAAGAAAGGCAGAAAATGGATGAGGTGGGCCATGGTGGAGACTCCCAGCACATTCATCCAGTAGTCTTATTTCTTCTCAGCAGATTCACTGGCTTCAGGTATTATAGGAGTTTCAGCTTTTTGGAGACATGTCTCCCAGAGCAGAGTGTCCTGACCTGCTCCATCCAGGCTGGGGGGCCCTGCTTTCATAGCGGGATCTCCTTGACCGTCATCCTGGGACTCCCTTCCTTCTCTTCAGTGTTGTATCTCCTACTTCCTGCAGGCTCTGTCTTTCTCCTTCTTTTCTTACTCCCTCATTTTGGTGGAGCTCATCGTGCAGTAGCTTCCTGAGAAAGGATGTGTGTGTGGGAGGTACATTCTTTGAGACCTTTCAAGACTAATGAAGTCTTTATTCTTCCTTTACATTTGACTGATAGCTTGACTGGCATAATCTCCCAGGAGGAAGTGGCTTTCCTTCCTCACAACTGGTGACACTGATGAGAAAATCAAAGCCCTCTGATTCCTGATTCTGTGCATGGAGATTGTTTTCTCTCTGGAAACTTAAAGAATCTTCTCTGTGTCTTCAGTATACCGAGGTTTCATGACTATGCTCTTTGGTGTGGGTCCCTTTTCACCACTGTGCCAAATACCCAATGGGCCCTTTCAATCCTTCAGTGTTGGGAAATTTCCTTGAAATATTTCACTAACGACTTCCTTCTCTTCATTTTTTTCTGTCTTCTTCCTAGACCTCCAGCTATTCAGGTATTGTATCTCCTCTAATTTTCTTACAATTTCTGTCTTGTGTTGTGTTGTCTTGTGTATCTCTTTATGCTTTTGTTCTTCTTGGAAAGAGATTTCTTCGTGTTATGGGTTGCATTGTGTCTCTCCAGAAGATGTTGAAGTCCTAACCCCATTGCCTATGAATGTGACCTTATTTGAAAATAGGGTCTTTGCAGATGATCAGGTTAAGATGAGATCATTATTAGGGCAGGTCCCTAATCCAATATGACTGTATCCTTATACAAAGGGAAAATCTCGATACAGAGACAAACACACACACAGGGAGAACACCGTATAAAGACAGATCTGACAATAAATCTACAAGCCAAGGAATGCTCAAGAGTGCCAGCAACCCACCGGGAACTAAGAGAGGAGCAGGGCACAGATGGCTCTCACAGCCCCAGGAGGAACCAACACTGCCAATTTCCCCTTCTAGGCTTCAGAAAAGTGAGATGATACATTTCTGTTGTTTAAACCACTCAGTTTGTGGTACCTTGTATTAAGCTTAGCCTCTACTTTAGCCCAAAGCTGCCTGCTTACATATTTCAAGTTCAACCTAGAGGTTTCTCGGCACACAGTGAACTGTAACCCAACTGGTTGTGGAAACAGACTCTAACCTACTCTTGTACTAGTCACAGAGTTTTGGCCAATCACAGGCTGCCAGCTCTTCAAACCATGTTCAAATAAGTCAAACGCCCAGCTATAGCCAATTCAGCTGTTTCTGTGCCTCACTTCCATTTCCTGTACCTCACTTTCCTTTTTCTCTCCATAAATATTACCCTATCATGTGGCAGCCCCAGAGTGTCTCTGAACGTATTCTGGTTCAAGGAGCTGCCCAATTCTCAAATTGTTCTTTACTCAATTAAACTCCATTAAATGTGATTTGCCTAAAGTTTTTCTTTCCACATGTGTTATGGCAGCCCTGGCAAACTAATATACTTCATTGTTGCCTCTAGTTCTTACTATTAAGTTCTTCCATTCTTCCATCATGTTTCAAATTTCCAAGAGCCATTCATTTTTACATATCCTTTTGGTCACCTCTACTTCTCTCTCTCTTTCTTTCTCTCTCTTTTTTTTTTTTTTTTTTTTAATTAGAGATAGGGTTTTACCATATTGGCCAGGCTGGTCTCGACCTCCTGACCTCAAGTGATCCACCCACCTTGGCCTCCCGAAGTGCTGGGATAACAGGGGTGAGCCACCACTCCTGGCCCTGTTACATCCTCTTCTTATTTCATACCTGCAATATATTCTTTCATTTCTCTGAGAAGATTAATGATGCAAATATTCAAAGCTTTCTTTTCCCAGACTGGTCTCTGTTGTCAAGTTCCTTGTTTCATGTCTGTCCTGTTAGAGGATTTTCTCAGGTGTGTCTAAATCTCCTAAATCTCCTATTTAACAGTGGAGGAGGGCCAGGCACAGTGGCTCATGCCTGTAATCCCAGCACTTTGGGAGGTGAAAGTGGGAGGATTGCTTGAGGCTGGGAGTTCGAGACTGGTCTGGGCAACATAATGAGAGCTTGTCTCTACAAAAAATTTAAAAATTAGTTGGGTGTGGTGGTGCACGCTGGTAGTCCCAGCTACTCAGAAAGTTGAGGTGAGGGGATTGCTTTAGCCTGGGAGGTTGAGGCTGCAGTGAGCCATGATGGCACCACTGCACTCCAGCCTGGGCCATAGAACGAGACACTGTATCAAAAAAAGAAAAAGAAAAGAAGTGTGGAGGACAATAAAGGTGAAAACACCAAGCCAAGAGCAGAGGGCATTAAACTTAGAGGGATGTGGTGGGCTCTGTTTTGGGGAAACCCAAATATAAATGTCTTAGGTCTTCCCCCTTGGCCTAGTCAGCCCTTCCAGTCTCCTGCCTGGACAGCAGTCTGGAGTCTCAGTCTCCATTATGTGAAGTCACACATCCTGCCCTGGGGACGTCTGTGTCACCCTTTCCAGAGGGCAAAGCCTCACCTAGAGTGGATTGGGGAGGACAGTTTCCTACAGCCTGGAGTGAGGGCTGGGCCTAAGGAGCAGATCTGGGAAACCATCTACTCCTTTAACAGCTTTAACCCACTCCTTATTTAGTCCTCCCCACCATTCACCTCCACTTCTGGAATTACAAGAGCAACAACAAATTCCTGAGCTCTGGAGGATTCCATTGATTCTCAGTTTTTACAACTTGGCTTAGGATTTGGCTTTCTCAAGGCAGTGCCTGCCTACCCATCTATTTTCAGCTTAAAATATTTTCTTGTTGTCTTCTCTCCATTCTCCCAGTCCTGTGGGGTTTTTGTTTGTTTGTTTGTTTTTCAGTAAAGAAAAAAATAAATCCTTTACTCTACTTTTAGTGGTTCCAAGAGGGAACAAAATGACCTGTGTTCAAGGGTTCATCTTTGCCTGCAGATCCTAAGGTCTCTTTTTAAAACTAACATTTACTTTTATGATTAAAAAAAACACTGAACAAATGAGGACTAGAAGGAAACTTTCTTAATGTGATAAAGGGCACCTATGAAAAACCTACAGTTGGCATCCCCCTTAGGGATGAGAGATTGAATGCCTTCCCCTGAGATCAGGAATGAGACAAGACAAGAAGTGCTCTTGCCACTTCTGTACAACCTTGTACTGGGACGTCTAGCCAGGAATCCAATAATTAGGCAAAAAAATGACATTAAAGGCATGCAGATGGAAAGGAAGAAGTAAAATTATCTCTATTTGCAGATGACATGATCTTATATATGGAATATCCTAAGCAATCTGCTAAATACCTATTATAGCTAATGAACAAGTTCTGCAAGGTTGCAAGATAAAAGACCAATATACAAAAATCACTTGTATTTCTATACACTTACAGTGAAAAATCTGAAAATGAAATTAAGAAAACAATTCCATTTTACAATAGCATCAGAAAGAACAAAATACTTAAGAATAAGTTTAACAAGGAAGTGCAAAACCTCCTTTGTGTGGGCCTGTTTTTGGACTCCTTACTCTCTATCTGATATATGAGTCGTTCCTTTCACCAATGCCACATCATTTTGATTATCTTCCTCCAATTTTACTCTTCTTTGCAAAAATTGTTCTGATTATTCTAGTTTCTTTGCCTTTCCATACAAATTTTAGAATTAACTTGTCTACATCAGCAACAACAGAAATCCTGCTGGAATTGTGTTAAATCTATTTATCAATTTGGGTAATACTGACATTTTTACTCTGTAGAATCTTCTGATCCGTGAACATAGTATGTCTCCCCATTGCTTTAGGTCTTTGATTTCTTTCATCAGTGTTTGTAGTTTTCAGCATACAGATCTTATAGGCATATATTGTCATTTTTATAAATACATGTATAATACATATTATTTCTATAAATGAAATAAATTCAGGTTGAGTATCCCTTTAAAAATAAAATAAAATAAAATTTAAAAGTGCAAAACCTATGCTTTGAAAACTATAAAACATTGTTGAAAGAAATTTTTAAAAGACCTAAATAAATAGAAAGACACCGCATATTCACCAACCAAAAGATTTAATATCGGTAAGATGGCAGGACTTCTTTGAATTGCTCTACAGACTCAACACAGTCCCTATTCACTGACTTCTTTGCAGAAATTGACAAGCTGATCCCAATAGTCATATGGAAATACAAGGGACTCAGAATAGCCAAAACAATCTTAAAAAAAAACAAAAAGAAAATTAAGGGGCTCACACTTTCTGATTTGAAAACTTACTACAAAGCAACAGTAAACAAGGCAATCTTGGTACTGACATAGACATATAGATCAATGGAATAGAATTGAGAGTCCAGAAATAAATTCTCACATTTATGGTCAATTGATTTTTCATGAGGTTACCAAAACAGTGCAATAGGGAAAGAATAATATTTTCCACAAATGGTGCTGGGACAATTGAATATCCACATGCAAAAGAATAAAGACAGATCTCTATTTCACATGGTATAAAATATGAACTCAAAATGGATCAAGATCCTAAATGTCGGAGCTAAAACTATAAAAGTCTTAGAACAGCCTGGGCAACATAGGGAGGCCCCATCTCTACAAAAAATAAAAATAAATAAATTAGCCAGGTGTGGTGGCACACACCGGTGGTCCCAGCTACTTGGGAGGCTGAGGTGGGAGGATCACTTAAGCCCAGGGGGTTGAGGCTGCAGTGAGCTGTGATCACATTGAACTCCAGCCTGTGTGACAGAGTGAGACCCTGTCAAAAAGGAAAAAAAAAAAAAAAACAACTCTTAGAAGAAAACAAGGATGAATCTTCATGACCTTAGATTGGCAATGTTTTTTTTTACATTATACCAAAACAAAAGCAACTAAATAAGCATTGATAAATTGGACTCCATTAAAATGTAAAACTTTTGTGTTTTAAAGGATACAATCAAGAAACTGAAAAGATAACTCATGAAATGGGAGAAAATATTTGCAAATCATATGTTAAGGGATTTGCTTATAGAACATATAACGAACTCTTACAATTCAATAATAAAAAGACAATCTAATTAGATGGGCCAGACATCCTAAGTAGTGGTGTGCACCTGTAGTCCCAGGTACTTGGGAGGCTGAGGTGGGAGGATGACTTTAGGCCAGGAGTTCAAAGCTGTATCGCTTCTGCACTCTAGCCTAGGAAACATAGTGAGACCCTGTCTCAAAAAAACAAAAAACAAAAAGACAACCCAGTTAAAAATTGAACCAAAGATCTGAATAGACAGTTCTCTAAAAAATTACATACGAATGGCCAATAAGAACATGAAAAGATGCTCAACCTCATTAGCTATCAGGGAAATGCAAAAGACAGATAATAATAACAATAACAAGTGTTGTTGAAGATGTAGAGAAACTGGAACCATGACACATTGCTGGTGAGAATGTAAAATGGGGCAGCCACTTTGGAAAATAGTCTGGAAATTCCTCAAAATGTTAAATATAGACTTACCGTGGAACCCAGAAATGTCTGGGTATATAACCAAGGCATAAAAACATGAAAACTTGCACACAAATATTCATGGCAGAATTATTTATAATAGCCAAAAAGTGAAAACAACTCAGATTTCCCTCAACTGATCAATGGATACATTCAATGTAATGTATGATATAAATTCCAATGTTGGGAATAAAAAGAAACAAAGTACTGATACATGCCACAACATGATGAACCTTGAAACAATTCTAAGTATAAGAATCCAGACACACAGCTCACATATTGCATGATTCTATTGACATGAAATGTCCAGAACAGACAAATCTGTAGAGACAGAAAGTAGATTAGTGGTAGTTTAGGGTTGGGGAGGGATTTGGACAGCAACATAGAGTTACTGCTAATTGGCACAGAGTTTCTTTGGGGAGGGTGATGAAAATGTTCTGAAATTGATTTTGGTGATGGTTGTATATTCTGACATGAATATAAAAAAAATTGTCTAGTCCACTTTAAATGGTTGAATTGCGTGGTATGAGAATCATATATAAATTAGTCTGTTTTTTTTAATTAAAATTTTTTCCCTTTTGCTATGGTGCTGATGTTATTTTCTAAGCCTAATTTTAACTGTCCTGGCTTCTGTGTTCCTACCACAGCCCTTTATGTTAGTTTTTTTTTTTTTTTTTCTTTTTTTTGAGACAGAGTCTCGCTCTGTTTCCCAGGCTGGAGTGCAGTGGCGCAATCTCGGCTCACTGCAAGCTCTGCCTCCCAGGTTCATGCCATTCTCCTGCCTCAGCCTCGTGAGTAGCTGGGACTACAGGTGCCCGCCACCACCCCCGGCTAATTTTTTTTTTTTTTTGTATTTTTACTAGAGACGGGGTTTCACTGCGTTAGCCAGGATGGTCTCGATCTCCTGACCTCATGATCCACCCGCCTCGGCTTCCCAAAGTGCTGGGATTACAGGCGTGAGCCACCGCGCCCGGCATCCTTTATGTTAATTTTTAAAGTAGTTGGGCTATGCATTAAAATTAGCATAAGGACACTATAGCTTTAGAAGGAAGATTATGGACAGTGAATCAGGTAGACCTGAATGGATTCTGGAACATCTGCCGCTTGTTTGCTCTATAGTTTTGGACAAGTAGCTTAACTTCTTTGGGCCTCATAGTTTCATAGTCTGCAGAATGAAATTACTGATAGAACCACAGGAAGGGGTTTTGTGTTTATAGGAGCTCTGTGCTAAATGGACTATAGGAAACACTAAGATGCTTTTAGCCTATCTTCCACACAGGAAGGACATGTTAGAAGTATGTATTAAGCAAGACTCTTTTGGTTGTAAGACACAATAAAACAAAGCAGCTTGGAGGGAATGAATTGGCTTGTGTTACCTGAGAAATCCAGGGGTAGCTTCATGCATGGCTGGATCCAGGGGCTTAATTGATGTCATCCCTTTCTCTTTCCCTTGCTCACTCTCTGGTAATGGTTAAGAGTAAAGACTCTCAAGTCAGACACCTAGGTTTGAATCTTACTTCTTATGTGACCTTGGGCAAGTGGCTTAGCCTTTCTATGCCCCAGTTTATTCATCTACATAGAATGGGTGGTGATAAGAGTGTTGAGGAGGAGGAGGAGGCTTGTGGGATTCAGTGAGGTAATATGTGTAATGTGCTTAAAATAGTGTTAGGCACAGTAAATACTAAATAAGTCTTTGCTATTATCATTATTATTTTTTATTTTGTGATCCAGCTGCAGCCAGGAATATTCCATCAGGCCAGACAGTTGGTTCTTAGAAGCGTGAATCTATATCCCTATAGCACAAAAATGTAAGAAAAAAAAAAAGAGAGAAGGACTATTTTTACACACGAGCTTTGAATCCCAGGGAATGTGGTTTATGTGCCCATCCCTGAACCAAACAGAGGGACACAGTTGCCCTATGATTGGCACAGTCTGGGGCATGGACCCATGATGCCCAGGGTCTGGGCACCATAGTAACAACCTGTTGAGACCACGTGGAGACACATGGAGTTAAAGAGGGCAGAGGAAGCAGAAAGTAGTCAGGTAGACATAAACCAGTACTACCTCCACCTACTGCAAGAAGTTTCCAAGCATTGCTGGAGAGAACTGAATCTGGGAAGGATGTGATGGGACCATGGCTCTTTGGTAGAGCTTATGGTGGGGAAGAAGCTCAGCCTTGGTACTGGAGGCTTGCTCTGCACTCTGCCATTCCAGTTATCTCTAGAAATATGAGGCCTCTGAGGCTTCCTTGAGGCTAAAGAATGCCATGTGGTATGCATTATCCGCCAAGTAATAGGCCATTTACCTTCCCCAAAGCTGGGAGCAAGCAGACCTAATTGGTGTAGCCGCTGGAATATTGTATGTCTCCCATTGGGGTCCCAGAACTTGAGACCCTCTTACTTTTGCAACCAGGACAACATGCTGAAAAGATGGTGGTCTTTTTTCTAAATGGAAAAAGCAACAAAACCACATTTTAGATGGTTATGGGTGTTTTGAAGTGGTTTCTGGTTAATCCCAGCTCCATGGAGCCATCTGAGAGGTTTGCTATATCTGGGGTCTGCTAGCATGAGGAAGCGATTTTGCTAAGCCAGCCTGTGTCTGCATTCCCAAATACGGAGTTCAAGGACTCATCTTGGAGAAACTGAAACAGAAGCTTCCAACAAAGGGTTCTTGAAGTCGGTTTGTAATTAACCTTTCTGTGTAATGTGAGATTTCTCAACTAAATAAAGGGTAGAAAAATAGATTCAATTTTAATAATTAACAGATACTTGATTACAGGAGTTCCAATGTGCCTCGCAGAGTATTGGTTGCCATATGCTGGGGGTATTAGTCCACAGCCACATATAAACTGATCTGACCTATCTATCTTTTAAATTTCGGTTTCTTCTCTATGTGACAAGCAGGCTGGGCCTCGTCCGGCTCTGTGACAGGCAGGAGTGCAGCTTCTGGAGCCCGGAGCATGAACACCACAGCGAGGCCCAGGCTGCAGTCCCTGCCCTCATTTAATCTGTGACCTCACGGACTCGTCTCCAAACCATAATTGAATTCCCATTTGATCTGTTTGACCTCAGCCTCCCACAGTGCCAATTCCCTGGTGGACAGGGTGTGCTCTGAGAACTCTCCAGGCTGCAGGGGTTGCCACCTGCGCCCTCTCGGGCAGAACGTGGCCTCCAGACAAATCTTATTTGGCCTAGCCAGGGTTGAAAAACGCTTTTGAACGTGGATGCCTTTGGATGCTGTATTTGTTCCCTGGGGCTGCCGTAACAAAGTACCACAAACTGGGTGGAGTAAACAACTGAAATTGTCTCGTGCTTCTGGAGGCTGGAAGTCTGAGATCAAGGCATGGGCAGACTTGGTTTCTTCTGAGGGCTGTAGGGGATGGATCTATTCTGTGCCTCTCTCCTTGGCTTGTAGATGGCCATCTTCTCCCTGTATCTTCACACTGTCTTCCTTCTGTACACGTCTGTGCTTGAATTTCCCTTTTTTATAAGGACATTAGTCACACTGGATCGGGGCCCACTGTAATGACCTCACGTTAACTTGATTATCCCTGTAAAGTCCCCATCTTCAAATAAGGTTGCATTCTGAGATACCAGGGGTTAGGACTTCAGCATGTGAATTTTGGGGGGGTGTAATTCAGTCCATAACAGATGCCATGGCACTTCGTTTTGCCATGGTACCATCCATTTGTGAGTATCTTACACCGGCGCTTCTCCTCTCACTTGTTTACATGCCCTCCTGGCTCCTGTATATCTTTTTTGGGGGATGGAGTCTCACTCACTCTGTCGCCAGGCTGCAATTTCTGCTCACTGCAACCTCTGCGTCCTGGGTTCAAGCAATTCTCCTTCCTCAGCCTCCCAAGTAGCTGGAACTACAGGCGTGCACCACCAAGCCCGGCTAATTATTGTATTTTTAGTAGACATGGGGTTTCACTATGTTGGCCAGTCTGGCCTCAAGTGATCCACCTGCCTCAAACTCCTGGGCTCAAGTGATCCGCCCGCCTTGGCCTCCCAAAATGCTGGGATTACAGGTGTGAGCCACCATGTCTGGCCTCCTGTGTGCTTTTGGATGGTGACTCCTCCCTTGTTAGTTTATAGTTCATTCATTCATTTGTTCAATCATTCATCCTCATAAGATTGTTGAAAAAAATGAAATAATTTATTTCCATGTTAGCTTAATATCTGGCATATATAGGTATTCAGCAGCATTTATTTATTTATTCATTTACCCATATTTATCAAGCAAACATCCACCAAATGCCAGGAATGCAGCAAAGCCAGACAAGGTCACTCCCCCGATGGAGTGTATAGTGAGGTAGGGGAGAGACTCGATCCAGTGTTCACAGTGTAAATGTATGAACCAACTGTGATAAGTGCTCTGAGCTGCAAGGGGCAGCGGGAGGCCAGGCCATATGGAGCCTGCAGCCCGTGGGAAGGCATCTGAGCTTCTTTGGAATGTATCAGATGGTCAAACTGATAACTTATCAGCAAAGGGTGACACTCTCAGGGTAGCACTGGGGCAATCAGGTTGGAAGTGGGCAAGAAGGGATTCTGGAGATCTCAGGGAGGCTGCTGCAGGTGCCCCAAGAGAGAGATGGGAGCTTGGTCTCGAAGGGAGTGGAGAAGATGGAGAGGGGTGGATGGCTTTGAGAAATTAGGGGTAGATTGGCAGGACGTGCAGATGGGAGGGAGGTGCCAGGGATGGACAGGCTTACAGATGTGGCTGGGCGGTGTGGCTTCTCACTGAGAGAAGCAAGAGGATCCAGTTTATAGGTACATGTTGAATCTGAGGAGTCTGAACTTGATAAAACATGGAGCGTCACTGTCAATCATCTACTCCTTCATTCGACAATCATTTATGGGGCACTTGGACATGGGCAAGAGTGGTGTTAGATGTCAGGAATACTGCAGGAAGCAATGCAAACTGCCTTATGCGATGGACATTCTAACGAGGAGACAGACAGTAAATAAGTAAGCAAATAGATAAGACTATTACAGAGTATGATAAGAAAATAACGCCAGGTGAGGGGCTAAGGAGTGATTGGGGGTAAAAAGGGTGGGCTAATTAAGTTGGGGTGGACAAGAAAGGCTACTGTGAAGGGCTGCCATTTGAGCGGAAGCGTGAATGGTGAGAAAGAGCTGGATATGGAAGAGATAGGGGACAGTCATCTCAGGTAGGGGGCATAGCATGTGCAAAGGCCCAGAGGCAGGAACGGCTCAAAATGGGGTTGGTGTGAGAATCAGGGACCAGAATGTGCGCGTACTTACAGGCTAAAGTAAGGCATTCACACCTTTCCCCAGGTCCATTTAAGAAGGAAAGCCATGTAAGAAAGGCCTTAAGCCAGGGAGTGACAGCGTCTGCTTTCCTCGTTACAAAGATCAGCTCGATTTTGAGAAAAGACAAGATGGAATTTTAGGGACCTTGCCCATACCTTTCTCTTTTTGCTTAACTTGGTTCGAATTGAGTTTTTGTCTCTTGCACCCCAAGAGTTTTGATGAGCACATTTGGGAAGAAAAACCTTTCTGGTGGGACGTGTGTCAAGATCCAAGATTCACAGAAAGTCAGAGCTGGGTGGGGCCTCCGGGATGGGCTAGGTCAGGAGTATCGTGACTGCTCCCTACGGAGACTGAGGGGCGCCAAGACCCAGGCCTCTTTTGTCTGGAACAGCTGCTCTTTCATTGGTTTTGCACACACAGAGACCTGCGAGCGCTTTCATCAGTGCTTTCCTTGACTGACAATGTCTGGAAACCACTGAGACAAGTTTATGCCACTGCTTTATACATGGGGAAACTGGGGCTCAGGGAGATTAGGCCACACGGCCGGGAAGAGGTCAGACGTGGCTGTGCCACTCCTAACTCAGTGCCCTTGGCAGTGGAGAAGGCTGCCTGCCTCCAAGGCTGGAACTGGGCAGTTTGCTGTGAGGGCAGAAGGTTCTTCCTTTCTTTCCTGGATGTGGCCAGAGAGGGGCCTGAAGGAGCTGCAGCTTTGTGATCCACCTCTTCCAGGACATGCGGGGAGCCACGGGGCCAATTCACAGGCTGGGACAGATCATGCATAAATAGAAGAAGGCAGGCCCTGGAGCTGAGCTGCCTTCTGGGGTTCCGCACATGATTGTCACTTACCCAGCCTCCTCTGAGGACTCAGGACCTCAGAGTCCTCGGGACAATGGACCATGCACTGTGGCCCAAAATAGGGTTTCGGGCACAAGCTTTGGAAGTAGAGCTGGGTTCAAGTCCCAGATCTTCCCCACATCTAGCTGTGGACACATTATTTACATTCTCTGAGTGGCAGTTTCCTCGGCTGAGAGAGAACGCATAGCAGCCTCCCAGCAATGTGGTGAGAACTAAATGAAGCACTTAGCACATCAAGCACTGAGCATGGTGCTTGGTACCTGGTCAGCGCCCAATACGTGGCTGTTCTTCTATTATAATAATTTAAGAATGATCACTATTTTCGTTCCAAGTTCCACACTGCACAGTAGGGGACAGGAGGCTGAGGAAGGCAGAGCCTGAAGGAGTCTGAACTGGGCGCTGGTTTGTCAATTGGCATGAAAATCCCACCTCATAGTAAATTTCCGATGGAAACGAAGCGTGAGAGTTCAGTGTTTTCCCACTTAATGGAATTGTGACTTTTCTTCTAGCCACGGTTCTTTGTCCTGAGTAAAGTTGTAGCAAAGGCTGTCACTGTTCGCACTTCTTTGTTTTATTTTTACTTGTGTGAAGAGCAATCAAAATAAATAAATCGGCTGTGTGATTTCAAGTAACTAAAACAGAAGCCAAAAATTGAGGGAGAAAAAAACCCCAACAAACCAAAACAAAACCAATCAAAATTTGCTTCTTCAGTGGCCCAAATGCCTCTTCTGAGTTTAGGCACCCGGGGGTTTGTCTGCTCCGGAGAACAGACACACCAATTGCATGGTGTTCCCAAGGCTTAGAGGAGCAGACTGAACAGTCAAATGCATTTTTGCTCTTCCAGCAATTTCAAAAACAAATAATTATAAACCTAACATTTTTTGAACTATTTATCATGTGCCAGGTGCTATAAATGTGTGTTTTACATGCATTCTGTCCATTAGTTCCTCCAAAAGCTAAGGATTAGTATCATTCCCTTTTACAGGTGAAGAAACTAAGGCTGAAAGAGGGCAATTAACTTGCTTATGGCCACGCAGCTGGTAAAGATCCCGGGAGACTCAGGATGCAGGGTAGGGCAGATTGCTCCAGAAAAGATGCTGAAATTCCTTCTGGAGACTCTGCTGGGTGGGGGTTGAAATATGGTGGTTGAGCCCTTCTGTGTTCCTAGGGCATCTTGGGAAGAATATAGAGTGGCCACGGCTCAGAGGACCCACTTCCTGACAGACTGTTTACTTCCAAGAGTAGTGGCCTCCCTCAATGGAAGAACCCCTAGACTTTCAAAGTGTGTTAGTCAGATTTTGCACTGTGATATGCTGCATGACAAGCACCCCCACAAAATCTCAGGGGCTCACAACCAACACTCTTTCTTTGTCTTGCTCTTGGGTCTGTGGGTCATCTGGGGGTAGATCTGCTCTAGGCTTTGGGTTAGGATCAGGAATGTTCCATGTGCTTCATTCTGGAATCAGAGGTTTCACAGAGGATGTCTTATGGGGAATGGCAGAAGTACAAAAGACCCAGCCAAACCAGCAAGCACATTTAAAACCTCTGCTCACCTCACATTCACTTACATTCTGTTGGCCAAAAGAAGCCAAGCATTCCATCACTGTACAAAGCAGATGCACAACCCACTTCCTCTGCAGTCCCATCTCCACACAATGGCAGCTTACTGCAAGACCACCTTGCCTTAAAAACTTTTGCCTCTTCTTTCCATGAGAATGAGGTTGGAAATTTTCCCAAAACAAAACAAAACAAAAAAAAGAAAAAAAGAAAAAAACTTTACTAAAGACTAAAGGGAGAAACACAGAGAGGCTGTAGGGGATGTCCACCAGTTCTGCTTGTGAAGCCTCCATTCAGCTGGTAATTCCCAATCTCCTCTTAGAGAATCACCTCTCCTCATTCTCGGTCCCTGTGATTTGAGGGTGAGAGGTTACTGCCCTGGCCTGCCAACGTCAGGGGTGGACACCTGATCCATTCCTGGCCAATGGAAATACTGCTGCAAATCCTTGTCCATATGACTGTCTCTGGGCTGGTCATCTCACCCAAACTGGGCCAGTGACTTATACTAGGGCTATTAGAACAGGGATTCACATTTCTGGTGAGTCTGTGAAGCTTCTAGTATATAAGCTGGGAGCCTCTGGTAGCCATATTTGGTACCTCTCATACCATAAAGTGAAGCTCACACAGAGGCAAACAGGGCCAAAGGATGAGGCAACATTGAGAGAACATTGAGCATCTGGATCCAGCTGTGCCTGAAAGCCCTAAACTACAACAAATTTCTTTTTGGGGTAGGGGTTGGGGATAAGCCAGTTTGAATTGGATATTTGTCCCTTGCAACCAAACAACACCTTACTAATTCAGAAATAGAGGCAAAGGTAAGTAAGATGGTTGAGATCAGACTTGGGTTCAAATCCTGGCCCTGCCACTTAGAGCTGTGTGCCCTTGAGGAGTCTTGATCTCCGCATCTGTCAAATGGGAATAGTCATGCTGCCTTTGAGGTGGTTGTGAGGGTAAACCATATAAAACGGGTTGTCTGGGTCTGGTGAATGGCTGATGCGTATGCTAACTCGAGGATTCAGAAGCAGGCTTCCTGTCTGCCCTGGGCGAAAGTCCAGCCTCACAGTTTCTTTGCCCACAGATCCCACAAGTCACGCGACCTCCCCTTCCTGTTGCTCACAGGAGGCCGGGGTTGGCACGGGCTCCGAGCTCTGGCAGGCTGCGCCTTCTCTCCCAGAACGTCCCTCTCGCCAGCTCTCGCCTTCTCTCCAGGCCACCTCTGGGCCCAGCAGCTCTGTACCTTGGAATGCGGCTGTGCTCGCCCTGCAGACCGGCCCCGCCCTGCCCCTGGCGGAGGAGCTTTTCCCCTTCACAGAACTGCAGGCCCTTAGTGGCAGGAGACCGGGGGCCCTAGAGACTCCTTCAGCTTTCTTGGAGGGAAATCTCAGGTTCCCAGGGCACAGAGCAGCAAGTGGCACGCCCAGAATTCAAACCCTGGCCTTTGCCTCCATGCTGCTTCTGCCCTCAACTCCCTCCCTGGGAGCACTGCCCCACGTGGGGGTCACAATCAGGGGACATACCAACCAAGGAAATTTTTTTTTTTTTGGAGACAGGGTCTTGCTCTGTTGCCAGGCTGGAGTGCAGTGGCATGAACATGGCTCACTGCAGCCTTGACCTCCTAGGTTCAAGTGACCCTCCCACCTTGACCTCCCAAAGTGCTGGGATTACAGGCATGAGCCATCATGACTGGCCCCAAGGAATATTTTTAATCTTCATAGCTATAGACAAGTCAGCAGCTATTCCCAGCCCCTTCTGCACGAGAATGCAAGCTCCACAAGGACGGGGTTTTTTTGTCTGCTTCATCCCTACTGTGTTTCCAGAGCCTTAAATACTGCCCCATTCACAGTCAGTGCTTCATAAATGTTTCGTTGACAGAATAAGAGGATGGAGTGAATGAATGCATGCGGTGCTGCTTCTCCCTCTGATAAGTGACATAAAGTTCTATTTGTAAATATTTTATATGGCTTTTTTTTTTGACATAGAGTCTCGCTCTGTTGCTCAGGCTGGAGTGTAGTGGCGCGACCTTGGCTCACTGCAACCTCAGCCTCCTGGGTTCAAGTGATTCTCGTGCCTCAGCCTCCTGAGTAGCAGGGATTACACTCAACAAATATTCATAGCCCCCACACCAGGCTAATTTTTTTAATTTTAGTAGAGGCTGCGTTTCACTATGTTGGCCAGGCTGGTCTCAAACTCCTGGCCTCAAGTGATCCGCTCATCTCGGCCTCCTAAAATGCTGGGATTACAGACATGAACCATGGCTCCCAGCCTGTAAATACATTTGAGTAAGAAAAAGTTAAGTCAGTTAGAAGGCAAATGCTAAGGGAAGAGCAGCAGGGTGGTGAGTGGAAGTAGAAACAGCAGTCAGGTGGGGCCGGGATGCTGGGATTTAGGCAATGTCGGGTGACTCAGCTCTGCTGTTCCTTCCAGCAGAAAATTCTGTGGTTCTCAGAAGCATGCTCTTCATGGGCTGAAGCAAGAGGTGAGTTCGCTCTTCCCCTGTGTATTCGTTTCCTGTAGCTGTCATAACAAATTAACTACAAACTGGTGGCTTACAACAACAGAAAAGTATTCTTTTACAGTTCTGGAGGCCGGAAGTCTGACCAAGTTGTCAGCAGGGCCACGCTCCCTTCGAAGGCGCTGGGGGAGAATGCTTCCCAGCCTCTTCCAGATTCTGGCTCCAGGCTTTCCATGGCTGTGGCCCCATCACTCCAATATATCTGCCTCTGTTTTCACATGGCCTTCTCCTCTGTGTTGGTATCTTCACCTCTTCCCTTTCTTAAAAGGATGCTTGTCATTGGATTTAAGACCCACACAGGTAATCTAAGATGATCTCATCTTGAGATCCTTAATTTAATTACATCTGCAAATACCTTTTTTCAAATGTAATCAGGTCACATTCACAGGCTTCAGGGGTTAGGACTTACACATGTCTTTTTGGTGGCCACCGTTCAACCCACTATACCTGGATCTGGTCCCTATTCGGCACCAATCCCTGTTCTGCAGTGCTGCCCTCTCCAGGGAAGCCTCGCTATGTCCTGAGGCCCCTTGGGGGATGAGGACTGGGGGCATCTTTGACGGGGCCCGGGTGTGGAGCAGCAAGAGTCTTTCTGGGGAAGCGGCTTGCTCCCAGGCAGCCATTGTGGGGGCCTGTTTGCTCTGGTCATCCATTTCTGAAGAAGGAGGAAAGGGGCTGAACTGGGAGGATTTGGTCCTCAGGGAATTTGTTGAGGGCGGAGGCCTGCTTATCCACCTCTTTGGAGTTATCTAGTTCCTCCGTAGACTTTGATGAATATTGCTTTCTGAATGCAGTGCGGGGAAGAAAGAGAGGAGAGGAGGGTCTGCATCAGGCATGTGACTTGGGAGTCCCATAGCCTGGATGCCAGTGCTGCATTCACTTGGCAGATATTCATAGATCACCTACTATGTGATAGAGCAGCAGGAACACAGCGCCAGGAGCTTGCAGCCCAGAGAGATTAGACAGATAAAACAATGACAAAAACTGTGATCACTGCTAGAAAGGAAATAGACTGGGTGTGGGGATGGAGAGTGTCAGGCAAAGCCTCTCAGAGGAAGTGGTATTTGAGCTGAGACCTAGAGCTGGAGGAAAAGCATTCCAGACAGAGGGAGCAGCATGCACAAAGGCCCTGAGGTTAGAAAGAGCCCAGCTCATAAATGGAAAAATGTCCAGTGCTGGAATGTACTCAGTGGGGGTGAGAGTGGGAGAGGTACTGAATCCTACTGGCCTCCTGGGCTGTGGGAAGGAATTTGGATTTTATTCAAAAGATTTTAAACACGTTGTGCCATGACTTGAGTCAGCATTTTTAAAGATCCCTTTGGGGACCGGCAGAGAATAAATTCTAGGGCAGTGGTCAGAAACCTTTCTCTCTAAAGGTGCAGATGGAAAATATTTTTGGCTTTTGGCCGGGCACTGTGGATCATGCCTGTAATACCCGCACTTTGGGAGGCCAAGGCGGGTGGATCACTTGAGCTCACGAGTTTGAGACTAGCCTGGGCAACCTGCATTTTTTGTCTCTAAAAAAATACAAAAATAAGCCAGACGTGGTGGTGAGTGCCTGTAGTCCCAGCTGCTCAGGAGGCTAAGGTGGGAGGATGGCTTGAGCCTTGGAAGCGAAGGTTGCAGTGAGCTGAGATCATGCCACTGCACTCCAGCCTGAGTGATAGAGCCAGACCTTGTCTCAATTAAAAAAGAAAGAAAGAAAATATTTTTGGCTTTGGGGGCCATATAGTCTCTGCGGTAACTACTCTGCTGTTGTAGCCCCAAAGCAGCCAGAGGTAATACATGAGCAACCAGGCATGGCTGTGTGCCAATAAAACTTTATAAAAACAGGCAGTGGCTGGCCTGGCCTGCGGGGCTGTGCTTTGCTGACCTCTGTTGTAAAGTGGAAATGAGAAGAGTCTTGTGGTCCAGGGCAAGTGACTTAACTCTGTGCCTCAGTTTTCTCATCTGTAGAACAGGCACATCTTACCTCATAGAGATGTTGTGAAATTTCTGAGTGTTAATAGAAATAAAGTTCTGAGCGCGGAGCCCTGGCCCGTAGTAGGTGGTCGACTCTCAGTGGCCATAACAACACTAGTGGCTGCACTAATTATTATTACATCCAGCTGGGATGATCATCACAATTATAAAGCAAAGACTTGGAGTGAGTATAGTTCACCAATGCTGGTCATTGTAGTACTTCAGTGGTGGGTTGGAATGTCTGTGTATGGAGTTGAATGAATCCTACAGTGACATGAATTAGAGCTTCCTCCTTGGGTGTGCCAACATATCTTCCTCAAATCTTGCTCAAAGGCAAGATTTGTCCTGAAACTTTATTCTTCAATGTAGCGTCTGCCACATCCTGTCTGCCAGCCCAAGTGGCCCTCCTGTCATCCTGTCCCCCTTTGGGGAATATCTTTCCAGCTGCAGCAGCTGCCCTAGGCTGTTCCTCTGGGTTGCATATGAGGTTTAATTAATCTTTGTTTACACCTTCTTCTTGCTTTTTTTCCTCTCCCAACACGGGGGGGTTTCAAGACTTCTCTTTCCAGTAACTTGGTAGGAAGGAAACTATAGAGAAGGATAAGGTTCAGTTTTTCTCAAAAATCTCACCTGGGGAAGGAAGAGGTAGGTACAGAAGAGAGACGTGGGTGGGGAAAATGTGGGTAGGTGTATGGGGGAGTCTAAGAGACCACATTTGTCTACATGTTCTGGCTGATTTAGAGGGCACAGCTCAGGCTGAAAGGCAGGAAGGGTAACCTGGGGCCTTTTCCTCACCTCTGTGTCCTCAGGGTCACTGTTATGTTCCCTGACCTCTGAGACCAGGTGCATCAGGGGAGGTGGGAGAGGCCTAGTCCTAAGGCATTTCTGGGTGGGACCGATCACAAAACCAAGAGGGACAGAGGCAAGAGGGATGGGCACAGAAGCAGGGAATGAGGCTAGGACTTTCGAGTAGAAAAATGGGGGTTCCTAAAGTTCACTGTCTCCTAAGCCTGCTCTCCCAGAGCAAAGACCTCCATGGTACAGTTTGGGAAGAAGGGGAACCTTGTTCAGAATTCTGTGTTCTTCCAGTTGAATATCCCACGGTTGGGTAAACGTTGTGAGTCTAGGAACTGCTACAAAATAGAAACAGACAGATAAGATAGATAGATGGGTGGGTGGATGGATGGATGGATGGGCAGAAGAATGGATAGACAGACAGAGAGATAGAAGATGGATGGATGGATGGCTAGACATATGATAGATGAATAGGTGAATAGATACATATAGAGCAGATCTTCTCTGTGCAATCAAGTGAGAGTCATTCATCATTTATTAACAAAGATTTCATGAGCACCAACTATGTGCCAACTATGTGTCTAGTACTGATTAGACAATGCCAAGTGAAACAGGTGGGCTCTCTGCTCTCGCAGTGCCCTCAGTCTCTTGTAAAATCTAATGCTCTGGGCCAAGAGAAACTATTACGATTTCTCTCAGTGTTATTTCTTAGTGTGAGTCACAGAGGAGCCCACATCCTCCACCAGGAGAAGGCAGAGGGAAGGGCCTGAAGGCCTGGTACCCACATAAGTAAATTTTAAGAGGCTGACAGGCGTCATTGAGCCAAACCATTAAGGCTTTGGAGTCAGGCCTACCTGGGTTCAAATCCCTGGTTTTGCCACTTTATAATTTGTGACCTTGGACAAGTCACATCCCCTCTCTGAGTTTCAGTAGCCCCATTTGTTCACTCATTATTTATTTTGAGTTCTTGCTAGATACTAGATACTGATTTAGGTGCTGAGGAGGCTGTAGTCAACAAGATAGATAAAGTCCCAGTCTTTCTGCAGTTTATAATATACCTGTGGGGAGACAGAAAATAAATAAAAACATCAATTTCTAATACACCAGTTCGTGATGAGTGGATGGAGAAAAGTCAAGCATGGGGCGAGGGGTTTCATATGAGCAGCTCCCTGACGGAGGCGAAGAAATGAGCCATGTGTATGTCTCGGGGAAAAGCATTTCGGGTGGAGGGAACAGCACACACAAAGGCCCTGAGGCAGGGGGCACTTTGCAGATGTGATTAAGCTCAGGATCTTGAGAAGAGACGATCGTCCAGGGGGGATCACGAAGGTCCTTCTAAGAAGGAGGCAGGAGACTGGAGGGACAGAAGGCAATGTGACAAGGGAAGCAAGAGGTTGGAGGGATCCGAGGAAGGGACCATGAGCCTGGGAACACAGGCAGCCTCCAGAAGTTGGAAGAGACAAAGGGGATGGTTTCTCCCCTGAGGCCTTCAGAAGGAAGACCTTCGGAATGCAGACCTGCTGTCACGCTGATGCTAGACTTCAGACCTCCATAACTCTAAGAGAATCAATCTGTTTTAAGCCATCGAGTTTGTGGCAACTTGTTCCAGCAGCAATAGGAAACTAGTCCAAGAATGCCTTTCTTCTTTTGTGAAACAGGACCGTGAGAGTCCCTGACTGAGGCCCTGTAGAATTAGGGGACAGGAAGCCTGGCAGCTCTGCCTGAGGAGGGAGAGCTGGCTTGGAGATGGCCTGAGAACCAGGCTACCCCTGGGAGTCCAGCTCCAGCCCCTCTGGCAGGTCCGAGGTACCCCTGGAGGCTCCACTCTCTCCTGCCTCCAGGCCTCTGCACAGGCCCTCCCTTCTGCCAGGAGCTCCCCCATCTGGCCCCATCCATCCTTTGGCTAAGCCCCAGATGGCTCTGACCCTTTCTTTCCCTTCCTCATCACCCTAACCAAGTAAGTGGAGCTCCTGCTTCTGGATTTATACCCTAACTGAGCCCTTGCACACTCTTAGCATTTAAATACTTGTTTTCTACTTTGCATTCCCCTCTAAGAGTAAGACAAATAGCTCACCGTTTATGGGGCCCTTACTGTTTGCCAGACAGGGCCACTGTGAAGAGCTGCACAGGCCATGACTGATCAACCCTGGTGTGAACAGCACCCACTAGAGCTGTGTGAGGTGGTAGCAACAGTGCTAAGTGCTCATTCATTCTTCACAGTGACCCCGTAGGGTAGGGCCGTATGCCCACTTTACAGATGAGGAAGGAATTATGGGGCAGAAGGGACACACTCACAGCTCCCTGGAACATATTTTCTAAGCATTTATTGAATATTTTGTTAAATCCTCACCATGACCCAGTAAGATTGGTGCCATAACTATTCCCATTTTACAGATAGGAAAATTGAGGCTCGGAGGAGAAAAGCCACTGGCCCATGGTTGCAGATCTAGTAAACATGTGAGCTGGGATTCAAGAGTGGGTCTGCCTGGCTCCTGAATCTGAGGTCTTAAGCCTCTGCTGTGCTGTCCTCCCGACTACACACCTCTAGAGCCAGAGACCGGGCCCTCATCACTGTTGTTTCTGCCTGGTTCAACAGAAGAAATGCTCATAAAAACTTGCTGAAGGAATGAATGAGGAAGGAATGCATCAGGAGGTGGCCCTGAAGTTCCTTGGCTATGACCTTGGGGATGCTTTATTACCTGGCGTGTTGTAATTTACAGTTATAAGTGGCTGTGAAGGTCAAATGAGCTCACCTCCCCAGCAGCCCTCTGAGAACAGGACAGCAGTGTTACCGTGGGAGGGATTTTCCTGGGCCCACACCCAGGTTCTCAGCCTCCTGGGGAAATTCTGCCTTTCTGGCTGCCCTTACTCTTCTCAGCTTCAGAGAAGAGTCTGGCTTTTTCTTCAGCTTCTGGAGGGCCTGAGACTCTGGGCGTTCCTGGAAGAGGCTCCTGTCCCCACCAAGGCCTATGTGTGACACCTGGGCCCTTGGCTCTTACCTGGGGGAACCCCAGAAAATTTCCTCCTGTTTTCACCTCCCTGTCCCTGGGGACCAGGCCCCAGTGGCTGTGGTATCAGGAGCAGCTGGTGCCTCCCAGAGGGTCTGTAAGATCCTTTGGGGAAGCAGGTGGCATTTCAGGGTGGCTGCGGAGGGCCCAGCTGGGCTCATCGGTGGCACCATTACCAGGCTGTGCCCCTGTGCCTCCCAACACTTTGGGGCTGAACGTCATGGCTTCCCAAGTACATGCGCGTCAAAGATCTTGATTAATCCTAATGCCTCCCAAGAGATGAGGATTAATCATTGTGCAGGTTCACATTTCTGGGTTGTTTACTAGGTGCCAGGCACCGAGCTGAAGTCTTCATGTGGATTGTGTTTTTCCTCCTCATGACAAGCTTATGAAGTAAGTGCCTTTCTTGAGCCCGTTCCCATTTGTGAATGGGGACACCGAGGCGCAAAATGCAAAGCTCCCTGCTGGAGACCACACAGGTGGTGGCAGAGGCATCTGGGCACCCAATCCGAGTTCTGCCAAGTGGCTTCTATCAGAAACAGCTGTTTAACTGATGAAGCAACTGAGGCTCAGAGAGATGGAGTAACTTGCCCAAGGTCATCGACCCTGCCCCCCAAATTCTGCTGCCCAGCATCTTGCGGGAGAGTAAGGGAGGGCTGAGGCTCACCACCTGCCCGGGCTCTGGGGGACAGCCCCAGGGGGGGCCGGGTGTGGGAAATGCCCTGGGCTCTTGAGGGCTGTGGGCCTCTGTTTCCCCAGCTATAAAATGGTGGCGGTAACAGAGGTGTGACTGACAGACACATTGCTCCTTCCTAAGACTTCTCCAGCCCTGCATTCCAAGACCTGGATTTTCTAGGGCAGCGTTTGGCCCCAATCCAAGCCCCATAAATGGCTGCCCGTGGCCCGCCCCACCCCCACCCAGCTATCCTCTCTCCCCCAGCCCTATAATTGGAGTCCTGTAGGTGAGTTATTGGCTCAATATGTTTATAGGTTCCCCCAGCTCCCCTCCCCCCTCACCCCCAAACAAAGGAGCTATAAGACTAGAGCCAAAACACAGCTCCAAGAACGTGTGCCTGTGACCCAGCCCCCGCCAGGGTGAGGTGGAGAACTTTCCGTGTGGCCCATTCCTGGGCAGGGCCTACTCCTCTTCTCCCTCCAGCGGCTCCTGCTTCCCTCTTCCTGTCCCTGCTGCTCCACAGAAGCTGCTCTGTCCCCTCAGGCTGGGCCAGCTCCCACTGCAGCACTTTAATGGTTTTGGGAAGGGTAGGGACTGTGTTGACAGGCTACCTGGAGGCAGTTGGCCAGGAAAGTCAGTCAGTCTGCCCTTGTCTCACAGTCAGACTCCGAGACACAGCCAGGGCCACACAGTGAGGCATGGCCACGCACACCGTGAGTCCCAGGCACGGTCAGCTGGTCTGTTGGCCAGCCTCAAGCAGTCAGCCAGTTGGCACACTGGGCCAGTCAGGGAGTTAGCTGTTGTCTCACAGCCAGACTTGCCTATACGAGTCAGGGCCACCCAGTCAACGCCCACTCACATCAGGAGTTGCAGTCACAGCTGGTCAGTCAGACACCCAGCCAATCTCAGTCAGTTGGTCAGTCAATTAGTCATTGTCTCTTGGTCAGATTGTGTTACACAGTCAGACATGGCCGCTCACACAGTGAGTCACAGCCGTGGTCAGCAGGTCTCCTGCTGCCTGGTCAAACTCGATCTGTCAGCCCATCAATCAGTCAGTCAAGGCAGGGTTAGCCAGTCAGCCAGGAGTCATCAGTCACCCACATAGCCAATCAGATTCAGCCACCCAGTCAACACATTCAAGTCAGTCAATCCACAGGTTATTGTCTCACAGCCAGACTCAGTTACATTGTCACAGCCATCCAGTCAGACAAAGCCACTCACCACGAGTCACCCAGCTGTCTCTTGGCTGGCCTGTTCATCTCAGTCAGTCTCTGGCAGTTGAGTCAGCCAGAGTCAGTTTTCCATGACTAAGGCAGGTGGTCAGTCCACCCGGTCTGTCCTGTGAGTTGGGTGTAGTCAGTTTCATGGTTAGTCACAGGTAGCCGTAGGCTGTGCCACAGCCACAATGAAACACCAGGCAACCAGCCAGTCAGTTGATCTCAAAATGTCAGGCATGCAATCAAGGCGGTCAGTCAAGACGCAGGGGTCACAGTCAGACCCACGGTTACCAAGTCAGTCTGGAAGAGACAGCCAATCCCAGAGCCGGCTAGTCAGTCAGTCAAGATCATCACTGACGGCTATCAGTTAGGAGATCATAGTCATCCAGACATCCAGTCAGTCTGAATCAGCCTGCCAGTCACACTGACTCAGTTATTCCCTCAGTCAGCCAGGCAGGCAGTCACAATAGTCAGTCATAGTAAGCTGCCTAGTTATCCAGTCAGTTTGAATTAAACAACCAACCAGTCAACCATACACCAAACCCATTGTCATCAACTGGCCAGTCAGTCCATCATGCATGTGGTCAATGAGTTGGTCTCCTTGTCAACCTGTCTCCTCACCAGTCATGTTCAATCCACTGAATCCATCAGCCCAGTTGCAGTTGGCCCAGTCATAGTCACAAGCTCCCACAGTCCATGGCCTGGTCAGTCCAGATCACAGCCAGCCAGCTACAGTGAAACCCACAGTGACCATCAGTCAGTCAGTCAGTCAGTCAGTCAGTCAGTCAATCAATCATCTAACCTTGTCAACACCAAGGCCCTGACTGACTTCTTACAGTATCACATGAATCACTAGCGATCACTGACAGAAACCCTAGATCAAACCGAAAGCATGCCTTGACCCTCTTCAGCAATGTCCAGAATAAGTGGTCCCCAGTCAGCCAGCTACTCCTATTCATCAGGAAGGATAGGGGCAGGGGGAGGCAATTAAGTTGACATATGAGTTCAGGGGAACCCACTTGTCAGCCAGAGAGGCCATGGGGCTGACGGCCATGGAGAGAGGGCAGAAGACCCTTGGGACAGTTTTCCAGTCCACCACCTGGATGCCCCATGAGGGTTTTCTCAGAGCAGGGACCCCCAGTGCCCTTTCCAACACCCCTGCTGTCCCCAGGTAGGGGAGAGTGAGAGTATGAGATACCCCTGCAATCGCTGGCCTCCTCCTTTTGCCTCCCTCGCTTCCCCCTTCCTTTTCCTCCCTCTCCTCTTGCTCCTCCACTTCCTCGTCACTTCCGCCTTGCTCTACATAGGTGAACCTAACCCACCCACACTCAGATCCTGTCCTGGTGTTCCACAGTGCCAGTCCCTCCCCCCCACACACACACCACACAATCACAAACACTCCCACCACACACATACACACACCAGTCACAAACCACCACACATACCACACACATACCCACACACCACACACGTACACCCACACACCACATATACACACATACACACCCACACACATCACACACATACAGACCCACACCCACCACACATACACACACACCACACATACACAAACACTCCCCGCCACACACCAGACACCGTGTGCATGTGCACATACCACATGCATATACACACCCACACACACCACATACATCACATATGCCACACGTCACACACAGACACCACACTCACACATAGCCCTCGCACACCACACCCTCCCACGTGCACGTGCACTTACAACACAGGGCACACACACCACACATGCACACATGCATATACCACATGCACGTATGCACACCACGCACACACACACATACGCTACACAGACACGCACACACGCCCTGCTTCTTGGCTAGCCTCCTCGTTTTGGAACATCCTGTTCCAGGCAGCCTGGGAGAAGGCGCTCAGACACTCCTTGGGCCGGCCCCTCCCCCTCTGCTCCCAGGGTTTCCGCCTCCTGTCGCCGCCCTTGCTGGGGTAGGGGGCGGCCTCCTGGCATAAGCCCGAGCACAGTGTCCTCCTGGGTGTGGACTCTTTCTGCAGGAACTCCTCCTTCCAGCTCCTCTGGAGGAGAGGGATGAGCGGGGGAAGGCTGGGGACGGGAGGTGTCTTGCTCACTTCATTTCTCTGCCTGGGGGCCCCCCCCGCCGGCTTCCCTGGAGTCAAGCAGGGCTCCCCAGGCAATTCCGTTACCTGGGTGAACACTGGCAGGAGTCCAGCTCAGAGAAGCAGCTGGGAGTTCTAAGCCCGAGGGGAGAGCTGTTCATCTCAGGCTGACTGGGGCTGCTTTCTGCTCGAGCGGGCCACACTCTAGGCAGAGGTGCTCTCTGGACCTCTTTCTGGCACCTGGACTCCACCACTTACTAGCCTTGTGATCACATTGGGCACATTAATTGGGGTTTAGGAGCCTCAGCTTCCTCTTCTTTAAAATAGAGAGGATAACAGAGCCCACCTGCTTGGGTCTGGGTAATGATGAAACGAAGAACACGTGGAGAGGGCTCAGGGCAGCATCTGGTAGCTCCTGTGACTGCCGACTTGGGGCTCATTTGTTCCCACCAGGCAATTTGGTGGCCAGGCCACAGGGGGTTCTAGAAGCTTCTTTCCATGCCCCTTCTCTCACCTGGCTCCATGACCCCCTGCCCTATTGCAGCTTCCAGTCACCGAGGGCTCCTAAGTGCCCAATACCACGCTGGGTGCTCTGTTGACATTATCACCCTGCACCCTCACAGTAGCCCCATGATGTCGGTGCCCGTACTATACCCATTTTACAGAGGAATAAACTGAGGTTCTGGGAGTTAGAGTAATATGCCCAAAGCTGCAGGTAGTGAGTGGAAGAGCCAGAACTGGCTGACTTCCTGAGGCCCATAGGGTGGCATGGTACCTGCCCTGGTACTGAAAGCCACATGTGCATCTTTGGGGCCTTTGGGGAGGGTGGGGAGGTGTTTTCCATGCCCCAGTTATCCCAGGTTCCCAGCTTCTGCTCTATCTTGTACTGGTTACCTGACATGTTTGTTGACAACATTCATTGACTTTGCATTGGTGAAGAGTTGAGTGGATGTTGGTGGAAGCACAGGCACTCCAGAAGCTGGGGTGGGTGGGTGGAGGCACTCCTCAGACTAGGGAGGCCCCAGGGACACTTCCAAAGCTCTGGTTTGGCTGAGGAATTCATATCTGAAAGGAATGTATGAGAAGGCTTTGGGAAACACAGAGAAGCTATCTTTTATGGGCGTAGGGGAGGCCGCAGAAGAACAGCATCCAAATCTCCACATCATGTGGACCTTGCTGTCGATAACAGCAATCTTAATGACAATCTCTACAGGCCCTGGGCTCCTTAGGAGGTAGGAGGAGGGTGTCTTTATCCAGAAACCCTTTCTATTAACAGTAACAACATAAGGATTCCACCCAGTGCCTCTGGGGCTGGTGGCGAGAGGACTCCAGCTTGGGGCCACCCCCTAGGAGAGATTCCTGTGAGCAGCCCTCGAGGGCCTCGCAGTGATGCCCCCCAGCCTTCCAGCTTTCCCTCAACCCGCAGGTGGCTCTGCGAAGGCGTCTCTTTATTTGGAATTGCACTTGGCAGTGATGACACTTTTTGAAGGGCTGCAGGGTGGAAGTCGGCAGCAGAAGCCCTTAATTCCCAGACCCGAGGGGGCTTTGCAAAGACAGCTCCTCTCCTGCTGAGCACAAACCCACCATTTCTCTCACTTCCAGGCTCCAAGGAGGAGGGCCAGGCCACAGTGTGAAATGCTCTTAGAGGACACCCGCTGGGGTGACAAGGCTCAGAAGAAAAAGGCAGATGGCTCCCCACTGCCCTCGGATGACATCCAAACGGCCTGCCTGCTGAATTAACAAAGGCCATCCTCATCCTGCCTCCGGGCACTGCTCCAGCCCAGGCCTTTGCCACGCACACCATTCCAGCTACTGCCTGCGAGCTTCTCAGTCCTTACAGCAGGACTCCCGGAACCCCAAGCTGCCCCCTCTACAGAGAATATGCTTCCCTCCCATCATCTCTCAGCTAACTCCTATGCATCCTTCAGGACTTAGGCGTCACTTCCTCCAAGAAGCCTTCCCAGAATGCCTCTCCCCTAGCGTCTAGTAGCCTCAGGCGTTCTTTAGCTTGTACATTGCATTCTCCTGGTGTCTTCTCACTGTCTTCCTCTGTGCATGTCTGTCTCTGTCCATTTCCCCTTTGTATAAGGACACCAGTTATATTGGATTAGGGCCCATTCTAATCATTTTATGTTAACTCGATTACTTCCGTAAGAGCCTATCTCCAAATAAGGTCACATTCTGAGGTTCTGGAGTTTAGGAGTTCAACACATCTTTGAGAGAAAGAGCACAATTAAACCAGAACACTTGCTTCGTGACCTTAACTTCTAAGCTAAGTGTATTTCCTTAACTTCTCTGAGCCCTGCTTTTCTGTCTGTTAAATAGGGATTGTGAAAGGGAGAATTACCCCAGGATGCTGGGGACTTTGGCTCAAGACTGGGTTCCACTGAGCGGCTGTGTGACCTTGGGCAGCCCCTTATCCTCTCTGAATCAGTTATCTACTGCTGCAAACAGACCACCTCCAAGCTCAGTGGCTTACAACAACATCATATATTTTGTTCATAAATCTGCAATTTGGGCAGGGCATGGAGAGGAGGGCTTTTCTCAGTTCCCATGTGACAGAAGCTGAGGCAGCTCCACTGGGTTGGAGGATACAATTTCAAGATGGCTCGCTCATGTGGCTGCGGCTAGCAAGTAGGTCTGTTGGTCGGCTGGGAGCTCAGCCTGGAGCTGTGGGTTGGGGACCTTGGATTTTCTCCATGTGTAGGATTTTCTCCATGGGCTGTGTGGGCTTCCTCACAGTATGGTGGCTGGGTCCCAAGAGTGAGCATCCCAAGAGAACCAGGCAGAAGTTGCATTATCTTTTGTGACCGGGCCTTGGAAGTTGCGTAGTGTCACTTCCATTGTAATCACAAGCCTGCCCAGATTCCAGGGAGAGAACCCAAGTTCTGTCTTCTGGTGGAAGAGTGCCGAAGTTATGTATTTTGGAAAACATGATTTGCCGCATCCTTCACTGACTTAGGCAACAAGAGTTACCACTTAACCAGGCATAGGTGGTGAGCTGAGGCCTTTACACAGATTATCCCATCTAATCCCCACAACAACCGCCTGCTGCTGGTGGTATTGTTATCTCATTCCACGGATTAGGAAATTGAGGTTCAGAGAGGTAACTTGCCCAAGGTCACCCAGCTAGGCAGTGACAGAGTCAGACCTTCCTTCCCTCCAGAGCCTTCTGTTACTCAGATGGACATCACTAGTCACTGCTGTCTAGAAGGTCCTGCCCACCCCTTCTCCCTCCTCCTTTGGAGTCCCCTGAACTTAGTGCTTATAGTGTTCTTGGCCTTGTGAAGTTTGCCTTTTGTACCCAGTCTTTTCTCATATAAGAAGATCTAGCTGGTGGTGGGGTGAGGCTGATGTGGGGCTCTGAGCCAGCCGTTAGGCACATGGTGGCTTAAAGAAGCTTTTGCAGGCTGGGAACACTGTTTCTATGGGAAAAGCATTCAGAGTCCATCCCATTAATTTTCAGACACTTCTGGAAACTTCTAGAAAGATAGTTAGATACTGCCTTTACCAATAACTTCATCTAGATTGGTATGTAGGTAAACGTGTGTGTGTGGTGGTGGCGGTATTTCTTTAAATATAGGGTTTAGAGTCTGACAGATTGGGTCTGAGTTTCTTTTTTCTTTTTTGAGACAGGGTTTTGCTCTTACCCAGGCTGGAGTGCAGAGACATGATCTCGGCTCCCTGCAACCTCCGGCTCCTGGGTTCAAGTGATTCTCCTGCCTCAGCCTCCCGAGTAGCTGGGATTACAGCTGTGTACCACCATGCCCAGCTAATTTTTGTATTTTTAGTAGAGACGGGGTTTCACCATGTTGGCCAGGCTGATCTCAGGCGATCCGCATGCCTCGGCCTCCCAAAGTGGGGGATTATAGGTGTGAGCCACCGTGCCCCGCTGGGTCTGAGTTCAATTCTATAATAATAGTCAAAGGGCATTAGTTTATAATCAGAATACAAAGACCCAACCCTCACCACCACCCCATTTTACAGATGAAGAGTCTGAGGTTCAGAGAGGTGAACTGACTTACCCAAGGTCACAGAATGAGTAAGGGTAGGAATGGGGAATTGACTCTTGAGCCTGAGCCCTTTTCATCTTAACTCCTCCACTTAAGGCTGAGTCATGGATAGCCATTAGCCATTGGATGAAAACATGACAGCGGTTGCATGGCTGGTGAGAGGAACCTGGCTCCTCGAGGCTCTGCACCAGCTGGTGGTTCAAGGGGAGAATGAGCATTTGTGCAGCTTGGTGGTTAGGTCAAGGTTTACCAGGCTGAAGATTCCCAGAGACCTTGCTTGGGATCTTGGCTTTGCCACTTACTGACTGTTCTGTCACCTTGGAAAAACACTTATCCTCCCTGAGAGTTCAATTCCCTGCCTGTGAGAGGGGTCTAATAATAGCGACTTTACTGGGTCATTGTGAGTAGGAAGGAAGAGAATGCCCATGGAGGTCTTTGCATGGGGTCTGGCGCATGGGACACCTTCAGTAAAGGCATCTGTTTTATTCATATCCAGAGATGTCTGAGATGGAGCTGGTGTCAGAGGCTTGGCACGTGGAGTTCCTCCATTGCTCCATAAATGTTTGTTGCCTGAATAACAAATCTCATTTTCTAGAGATGGAAACTGAGGCCCACGGAACTAACTTTTTATGCTCATACAATGACAGATAGGCAATGAGGATCTGAAGCATGAATGAATGCATGAACGAATGAATGAATGACTTCTGTGTTAGGCTGGATTCCCTTGGAAGCAGACTCTGAGGTGAAGATTTGAGGACCAGTAGTTCGTGTGGGAGGTGACCCCAGGAAACTCTGGGAGGATGTGGGAAGCAGGGAACATTAATAAGCAGGTTACTGCTGTGGGTGACGGGGACTCCATCTCATCAGGGACCCTGGGAGACAGTTGGGGACATGTCTTAGAATGTTCCCCCTGAGGATGGAGGAAGCTGGGTGCTTAGCCTCCAGTTCCCCCTGTGTATCCCTGCGGCTGCTCCTGGGGCGCTAATTCCATGTCCTCCCCTGGCCAAGCACGCTCCTGGACAGAGGGCGCCATGCACAGAGGGGTGGAGGTACTTGCCCAAGAACCCTGTGGGTGTCAGGGAGCAGTAAGGGCTGATGGGGTATAGGTAAGGCACCAACAGACTCGACTTGGGCTCTGGCAGCTCTCTGATTCTGGATGTCCTTGGAAGGCAAAATATGATTCTGAAAACAATCTCCCTGTAATCCTTCTTCCTCTCCTGCGTTCTGAAGCGCCCGTGCTAACCCTCTGGTCTCTGTCTGAAGCACCTTCTCCCACTGCCACCTTCACCAGCATTTTCTCCCCAGTCCCTCTATAGCAGGGGGATCCTGCCTGGAGAGCAAGCTGAACCTCTGAGGTTGCAGCGGGGAAATGGGTGGTCAGAGCTTGAAGGAGCTGGTTTGGATGAGGCCACTTCAAGCATTTTTGGCTAAGGGAGCAAGGAAGGGGTTCTCTGTACAGGTGTCCAGAGGCCACTGGCCTGTTGTTTGTCCACACCACTGCTGCTTGCAACCCTAGGCCGGGCTCTGAGTCTTTGGAGGAAGAGGCTGGGGTGGAAGCCAAAGTCGCCTTTCTCTGTGGGATAAAGGGACAAGCTGCCTGCCTAGCATGGGGGAAGCTGACATTCCCACTAGACTTGAAGTTAGGCTTTGGTACTAATCTTGGCTGTGCCACTTCTGGCTGTGACCTTGGCAAGTCTCCAGGTTCGTTCTTCTGCGTCTATAAAATGAAGGCAGTTTTAATGCCAGTTTCACAGGGCTCATGTGAACGTGACATTAGCTATGGACACATTTGATAAATGATAGAGTGAAGGTAAAGACTGTCTCCCTACGTCAGCTTGAAACCTGGGGCTTTCTTGGGTTTGTTCTTGGAGGATCTGAGCTTTTGGGGATCCTTGGGAATCACATGCTATTGGTCTAGACATTGGGGTCCACTCAGCTGACTTGACATCTTAGCTTTCTTTACGCGCAGTAACAACTGAGCCCCAGTGGAGTATCTACTGTGTACCTGGGCCTGGGGTTAGTGATTGCCACACAGAAAAAAAATCATATTTCATCCCTGCAGCAAGGAAAGAGGTAGAAACTATTACTGTCTTCGTTTTTTTTTTTTTTTTTTTTTTTTTTTTTGAGACGGAGTCTCGCTCTGTCGCCCAGGCTGGAGTGCAGTGGCGGGATCTCGGCTCACTGCAAGCTCCGCCTCCCGGGTTCACGCCATTCTCCTGCCTCAGCCTCCCAAGTAGCTGGGACGACAGGCGCCCGCCACTACGCCCGGCTAATTTTTTTTTTGTATTTTTAGTAGAGACGGGGTTTCACCGTTTTAGCCGGGATGGTCTCGATCTCCTGACCTCGTGATCCGCCCGCCTCGGCCTCCCAAAGTGCTGGGTACTGTCTTCGTTTTTACAGACAAGGAAACGCAGGCTCAGAAAAGTGAAGGCGATTCCTGGGAGTGCACAGCTACAAAGCGGCAGAGCTGGGATTGGAACCCAAGCCTGGGTGACTTCAGAACCTGAATCTCAGCTGTGAACACAATACAAAGAAAGTGCCCCTTGATTCTGAACAGGAGGAAGAAAAATTGAGAAACTAGTTGAGCGTGCAGATCAGAGGAACTTGCAAAGAGGGCAGGAGGGTTCTCCAGCAGCACAAGCGGCATCATTTGCAGGGCCCAGTGCAAAGTGAGAATGCAGGGACCCCTGTTAAAAAATCATTGAGAATTTCAAGTCGGTGACAGCTGAGCATTAACTAAGCATAGGGTCCTTCTAAGTGTGGGGTCCTGTTTGACTGCTTGGGTCACATGCTGCTGATGCTCGTCCTGTGCCTCTGTTTTGAACAGTGAGTGGGTACAGATGGGGTTTCCTGCAGCAGGATGGGTAAAGGGCAAACTCCTGGGTCAGATGGCTTGGGTTTGAGCCCTAGGAATTCCCAGCTTCTTAGCTAATGACTTTGAGCAACTTCTTTAACTCCTCTGGGCCTCAGTTTTCTCGTCTGCAAAATGGAATGTTGTTGGCTCTTCTTTTCTAGGAGTATTGTGGGGCAGATGCAGTAAAGTATTGTGCATAGCGCTTGGCCCATAGTACTGACCAGCAGTACCGGGTATTAGAGTTAATAGTCCCTACTGCCCCAGCTCCCCAGGGCACGGTGCCCGTGGAAATACCAGGTCCCTGCTGTCTTTACCTCTGTGCTGCTCAGCCTGGGTTGGAATCTTGGAGGCTGTAGCCTCCCCACTCTGGCAGCCCTTCTTTCCCTCCCCATCCCCCAGGCTTTTAATGAGTTTAGTATTTTCATCAAATCATTCTTCCTACAACACAGGGCTGGGGAGGCTAAAAATAGCTCCCCGAGTCACGTGACAGCTCCAAATGCGGAGGCTCCCAGCAAAGGTGCAAGTGCGACTCCCTGTTTCCTAGGAAATGAGAGTCATTGTGATGCCTGAAGCCAGGCCGCTGCCAATGCAGCCGGGCCCTCGCAGGGGCACATTGTTTCCTGTGACATCCTCCAGTGTGACAGACGGAGGGCGGGGGGGCAGAGAGGGCAATAGCACCCTCAGAACTGGCAGACCCCAGGCCTGGTGCTCCGGGCTCAGAGCCAGAAGCTGCCCCTTCCCTTCAGGAGCAACGGTCTTGGAGGCAAGGGCTTTCTCATACCTGGACACCGTGTCCCCATCCCTTTCCCAGCGAGCAGGCAAGGCATGTCTTTGCCAGCAAGAGAGATGGGTTTTTCTCTCAGGTACCCATGCTCCCTGCCCACTTGGTTCCCTCACCAACTCCTTGCAACTAAAGCTATTTTATTATTTGGGAGTAAAGGTAAATCTGTTGACAAATATCCCCCAAGGAAGCCTTTCTGGACTCCTCCCAAGTTCCTCCTCCGAATATAGAATAACTTCCAGCACCCTGGACCAGTCCCAAGAGACCCAAACTTGAGGGCATTACAGTAACGCGGAGGGCTTCTTAACACACTGGATGCTGGACGCTGGCCCTGGAATTTCTCCTCCAGCAGGTCTGGGGCTGGGCTCAAGAATCTGCATTTCCAGCAAGTCCTTGTGTGATGCTGATGCTGTGCTCCAGGAGCAACCTTTGAGAACTGCCATCCTAGATGCTGTGCTCCAGGAGCAACCTTTGAAAACTGCCATCCTAGGTGCTGTGACCCCCGCCCCTTTCTTCTTTTTCCCTAGCCCCTTTTTTCTCTTCTCTTCCCTCTCTTATCGCTGCTTGCAGCAACCCTAAACTACTTTTAGTCTCCCCATACCCTGGTCCTGCACTCACAATTTTGTGGCCTTTGGCCTTTGCTTTGCTTTGCTTTGGTCTTGCTGGCTGGAGTGCCCTCCCCGCTACTTCTCCCTTGACTAACTGCTACCCTTGCTTTAAGTAGAAATAGTAAGAGCTAGCACTTATTCACAATTCTATATGGTAAGCACTGTTGTTATCCCCACTTTACAGATGAGGAAACTGACATTCAGATAGAAAGTCACACCCCTAAATTACAGAGCTAGAAAACAGAGCTGGGATTTCAGGTGGTTTAATTTCACACCTACAGGTGAGTTACAGTTCACCTGTTGACTCCCATAGGAAGCCTTCCCTAAAGCTTCCAGACTGGATTTCATACACCTTCTTGGAGGTCTCCTGCACTAACAGCCTTGCAGAACAGTTTTCTATTGATGGGTCTGTCTTCTTGCTTAGACTGTTCGTTGCTAAAAGGCATGGACTTTGTCCTAATAATCACAGTATCCCAAGTGCCTGGAACAGGGTCTGGCACTAGTAAATGCTCACTAAATGCCAGCTTGCTGGCTGATTGACTAAATAATGACTGCGCAAATGTTCACTGAATAAATCAGTAAATGTTTGTTGCCTAATTACTATTAAGTGAATACATAAATAGTAGGTGCTCAATGCTGAATAAATGAATGAGATATTAAATTCTCTATACATGCTGGTTGGCTGAGTGAATGAATTAATAGTAGCTCTTAATAAATATTTTCTGGATAAATGAATGAATACATGAATTGTTGGTAGGTGCTCATTAAGTGTCTGTTGCCTCACTGGGTGAATGGATGGGTTGGCTGGTAGATGATAGATGGGTTGGATTGGTAGGTGGATGGATAGGATAGCTGGATCAATGGATACGTAGATTGGTATATAGATGGATAAATAGGTGAATAGGTGGAGGTAATGGGTAGATGCATTGGTGAGTGGATGGATGGATGCATGGATGGGTGGATGGATAGGTTGGTATATAGATAGATGGATAGCTAAGTAGACAGAAACAATGGGTGGCTTGGTATATAGATGGATGAATAGGTGAATAGGTGGAGGTAATGGACAGGTGGGTTGGTGAAAGGATGGAAGAATGGAAGGGTAAGTTGGTATATAGATGGATGACTAGGTGGGTAGGCGGAGGCAATGGGTGGATTGGTATATAGATGGATGAATATGTGAATAGAGGTAAGGGACGGGTGGGTTGGTGAGTGGATGGATGGATGGGTAGATGGATAAATGGATGGATGGATGGGTATGTGGCATATAGATGGGAGGATAGTGAATACATAGAGGCAATGGGTGGGTAAACTGGTATATAGATGGATGAATAGGCGAATAGATGAAGGTGACGGATGAATGGATGGATAGGTTGGCAATAGATGGATGGATAGGTGAGTAGATGGAGGCAATGAGCGAGTGGGTTGGTGAGTGGATGGATGAATGGGTGGATGGGTAGGTTGACATATAGATGGGTGGATAGTGAATAGATGGAGGCAATGGGTGAGTGGGTTGGTGGACAGATAAATTGGTGGATGAGTAGGCTGGTATATAGACGGATGGGTGGTTGAATAGATGGAGGATGGGTGGGTAGATTGGTGGATGGAGGGATAGATAAGTGGGTTGGGAGGCAGACCCATGACTTCGACATTGTTAGCACAGGACAATCTGTGTGATGCCATTTCTGCCAGATAAATGGCAAAGAATAAGTTATCGACAGAACCCTAGGGCATGCTGGGTCTGCACTCAGCAGGACAGCCTGAGGGTTTTCTGGGCCACCAGCTGTGACTTTGGAAACCAGATGGATGATGCATCTTGAGCATCAGGAGGAGGCTGTGGAACTGTTTTAAATGTCAGGATATCACCCAGCTATGAGATTGGGGCTTGACGTTTGTCATGTTCCTGAGCATTTGTTTTAATGACTAATTATTTCCCTTTTCTGACATGGCTCCTTGGAAGGGGAGCAGGGGAGCTTGGCTGGAAGCTGGAGACCTGTGCTCGCTCTCAGCAATTGAATTCACTAACAAGCCAGAAGTGAATTAACCCCAACCTGCCAGGTGCAGAGCAAAACCTGGAGGCCCAACTCCCAGGCCCAGCCAGGTGCTGCTCAGCTGGGAGTCCCTTCCAGGGTTGGCTGGCACCTGCAAAGAATCCAGAAAGATTAAGCCAAAACCCAGGAGGATATCTGAAGAGTTAAGGAAAGGTAGATTGTTGACTTGAAAGTTACTTGATTTTTCCCCAACACAAAAACAAGATAAATGCCTCAGGTGATGGATATCCCAATCATCCCGATTTGATCATTACAAACTGTATGCTTGTATCAAAATATCACATGTGATCCCCAAATATGTACAACTATGATATATTAATTAAAAAGAAAGTTACTTGATTTTGGTCTACATGAAGTGATTAACCGTGTGTGTGTGTGTGTGTGTGTTGCAAGTACTTACTATGTATAGAACATTATATAAATACTTCACCTGAATTATCTCATGTCATCCTTGCAACAGCCCTTTGAGGTAGACTGTATTATCATCATTTTCCTCATTTTACAGATGTGGAAACTGAGGGACAGAAGTTGTTACAGTGGTTTTAAAACATGCCTGCAAATCCTGTGATACGTCCTTCAAGAAGTAAAGCCTAATTCCCTTCCCCTTGAGTATGGGCTGGGATCTGTGACTTGATTGCAAGGAATTAGAATGAGGTATAGATGGCACACGTGACCTCTGAGACTAGATTAAAATGGTGATACAGCTTCTACCTAGCTCTGTCTCTCTTGAGACATGTGCCTTTGGAGACCTGAGCCACCATGGAAGAAGCCAGGCTGCCTTGAAGCCATCATGCTGGAGAGACCACGTAGGGAGATCACACACAGAGAGAGAAAGAGCCCCAAGGAGCCCCAGCCACTCTAGTCTCAGCAGTTTGAGTCTTTCCAGCCCAGGCAGCAGACATGTAGGTCAGGAAGCCTTGGAGATGACTCTCGCCCCAGCCCCTGCCTGACTACAACTGCATGAATGACTCTGAGGGCCAACCACCCAGCTGAGCCCAGCCAGCCCCCAGAACCAGGAGTGATCATAATAGAATGATTCTTGCTATGTTTGGGTGGTTTATTATACATCCATAACTGATACGATGGTGAAATCAGCTGCCCTGTATCAAGGAGCTGGAGAAGAATGGAAACAAGATTGGAGCCAGACAGGCTGGTTCAGGAGCCATGAGCTCAGCCCATAGAGCATCCCGCCCTGCCTTCATGGTCTTGCAGATTTAGTCTATC